>NW_018654714.1:0-300000 GCF_000001405.40 Homo sapiens
GAATTCCTAGAAGCCTTAAGAGGCTGCCCAGCGTTGGAAGTTCGTATCCCCAAGAATGCTGGAGGTTCCGGCTCACACACCCCCTCCGGGCACAGAGTCAGCTGGGGGGTGCTGGGAGGGAGAACGCCCCGCTCCTCACCCCCCATCCCCGTGCACCCTGGAGCCCAGCTCCATACGTTCGGCCACCCCAGGCGGACTCGGGGTGGCCGGGTAGCGGGTGGTGGCAGGAGGGGACCGGGTAACGGCAGGCCCGAGAGGAGGTCGCTGGGCCGGGCCGGAGGCGCACAGGGGCTGCGTGGCTACCTCGGCGGCACCCGCCCCACCTCCGCCGGCTAAGCCCGGAGGGGGACGGTGAGTCAGATCTCGGGCACCCGCGGGTCGGGCGGGGAGGGGGAGGCAGGTCAGGAAATGACATCAGAGGCCTGTGCTCAGGGAGTGGGGGTCTGAGCCGGGCTGGGGCGGCGGGGGCGGCAGTGAGTGGGGTGGGGGCGAGCGGACCTCGGCGGAGCCTCCGGCCTGAGGCAGGATCAGGGCCCCTTCCTGGGGGAGTTTCCTGCCTGGTCCGCCCTTCCCCGCTCTCCCCGCCCCCTCTCCGGGCCGCTCCTTGTATGGTCTGGGCGCCGCTCTCTCCCCGCCCCCTCTCTTCTCCCTCCCTCCTCCTTCCGTGTGTCCCTCCCCGCCCGGCTGGAGGCTGCTCCGGACCGGGACGCAGAGTCTGCGGACCCGGCGCCGAGGCGGCCACCCGAGACGCGGCGCGCACGCTCCGGCCTGCGGTGAGGCGCGGGGAGCGGCAGGGCGGCCCCACGGGGAGGGGGCGCGGGGCGCCGGGAGGGGGCGAGTGGGGGTCACCAAGGGGAGCTGGGACCGCCTGGGGCTCCTGAGCCCGGCTCCGCGCTGCGTAACCCGGCGACCCACCCCAGCAGCCCGGCCCGGCCATGGCGGCCCCCCGCCCGTCTCCCGCGATCTCCGTTTCGGTCTCGGCTCCGGCTTTTTACGCCCCGCAGAAGAAGTTCGGCCCTGTGGTGGCCCCAAAGCCCAAAGTGAATCCCTTCCGGCCCGGGGACAGCGAGCCTCCCCCGGCACCCGGGGCCCAGCGCGCACAGATGGGCCGGGTGGGCGAGATTCCCCCGCCGCCCCCGGAAGGTATGCGGCGGGGCTTGGGGAATGTACCCCGGCAGGAGCCGGGGTGGGGGGCAGTCGTTTCGGGAATTTGGGGATGTCTGGAAAGGTTGTTGCCGAGGGGGCTGGGCGCAGCCACCCTGTCCCGAGCAGATGTTCTTACCTCATCGTGGAGCTCGTGGCTGGGAGCCAGGGCTCCTGGGACCGTTCCAAGTCCCCCGCCTGGGAGTGGGAGTCGGGAATGTGGGGCACGAATCTTCCCCTCCGGGTCCGTTTTCCGAAGTGTAACGGGAGCTGCACCACTCCTCGGCAGTGCGCCCGGCCTTTCCTGACCTGGTACTCCCAGGGCGCCCTGCGCCCCTCCTTTGCTTCCCCACACGCTCTGGGACCCCTGAGAGAGTTCTTGGGTTAGGGGTTAGAGCGGTTAACTGAGGGGAGCTTGGGTGAGGGGTAGAGGGACCCCGGCCGACGTCTTTCTCCTTCCTACCCCAGACTTTCCCCTGCCTCCACCTCCCCTTGCTGGGGATGGCGACGATGCAGAGGGTGCTCTGGGAGGTGCCTTCCCGCCGCCCCCTCCCCCGATCGAGGAATCATTTCCCCCTGCGCCTCTGGAGGAGGAGATCTTCCCTTCCCCGCCGCCTCCTCCGGAGGAGGAGGGAGGGCCTGAGGCCCCCATACCGCCCCCACCACAGGTACGGAGGCCTGGGAGGGGCGGCTGCACTGGACACCCCCAAGGAGAGGAGAAGAGGGCCCTTTCTTCTTACCTCCCCTGCACCTCTGCCTTGGGGGTGGGGGGATAGAGGCATGGAATAGGTGCTCTGACCTCTGACCCTCTAGCCCAGGGAGAAGGTGAGCAGTATTGATTTGGAGATCGACTCTCTGTCCTCACTGCTGGATGACATGACCAAGAATGATCCTTTCAAAGCCCGGGTAAGGGACCGGAGAGTAGGAAAAGCAGGGCTCAGGGCCAGAGAGACTGGGCATAGAACTAAGGAGGATGGTGTCCTCCTGACTGCATCTCTCTTCCCTCTCCCACCCCTTGCAGGTGTCATCTGGATATGTGCCCCCACCAGTGGCCACTCCATTCAGTTCCAAGTCCAGTACCAAGCCTGCAGCCGGGGGCACAGCACCCCTGCCTCCTTGGAAGTCCCCTTCCAGCTCCCAGCCTCTGCCCCAGGTTCCGGCTCCGGCTCAGAGCCAGACACAGTTCCATGTTCAGCCCCAGCCCCAGCCCAAGCCTCAGGTCCAACTCCATGTCCAGTCCCAGACCCAGCCTGTGTCTTTGGCTAACACCCAGCCCCGAGGGCCCCCAGCCTCATCTCCGGCTCCAGCCCCTAAGTTTTCTCCAGTGACTCCTAAGTTTACTCCTGTGGCTTCCAAGTTCAGTCCTGGAGCCCCAGGTGGATCTGGGTCACAACCAAATCAAAAATTGGGGCACCCCGAAGCTCTTTCTGCTGGCACAGGCTCCCCTCAACCTCCCAGCTTCACCTATGCCCAGCAGAGGGAGAAGCCCCGAGTGCAGGAGAAGCAGCACCCCGTGCCCCCACCGGCTCAGAACCAAAACCAGGTGAGGGATGGTGATAGGACAAGGCTTGGTACCAGGGCACTGGGGCGGGGCTGGGTCAGGAGCCAGAGCATAAGCATAAGGTGATTGGAGAGTCAGGGTGGACACGGGGGTTGCGGGGTGGCGGGATAGGAATTTTCATCCTCTGGGGTTAGCCTGGTGGAACAATGGTAGGAAAATGCTCCTCTGGAGGAGAGGCCTGGCTGGGTGTGGGGCTGGGTGGGGCCTGGCTGGGACGGCGCAGAGAGCATGGGCTCTGAATTAGGAGGATCTGGTGGACCTTTCCTTGTGCCTTTACCCCAGAAAGTTAAAGGGAGGGATGAGATCACCAGTTCCACCTTGGTTTTTCCCATTCTTGGGTCTTGAGTTAATCTCCCTGCTCCTCTGAGCACTCTTTCTGCCTGAGGGCTTGGAGGTAAGAGACAGCCCCAGTAAACACTGGTTGAGCCAGCATCCACCACGTGCCAGGCACTGTGCTCTGTGCCCAGGAGGGTAGGACATGGGAGGGAAGAGATCTCTGCAAGAAGCTCAGCCTTCAGGTGTCAGATGGACCTGGAATGGAATTCTTGGCTCAGCTTCTCCCAAGTCCTTAGACTGGGCAAGTTAGGTGAACCCTGAGCCTCAGTTTCTCAATCTTTAACATTCTCTACTCCATACAGTGGTTGTGAAGATTGGGTGAGCTAATACCTAGAGAGTGTTGGGTTCTGTATCTAGTACAGGAATGCTCAAAATAGAAAAGCTGTAATTACAAAATGGTTCTTGCCTTCTAGTTCAGGAAATAAGATCGTCCAATTTCTGGTGACGAAGATGACCCTGATGGTCATCTAGTCCAAGCATCCAGAGTCCACTGATAGTGTTGATGTCTACCTACACTCGGACACAGCATAGGAAGAAATGCCAAGGGCCAGTGAGCTTTGCAGAATCCTGTGAGTCACAGGCACTCAGACCAGGGAGTCAACTCGGGGAGTCAAATTAGGAAAGGCTTCGAAGGATGGGCAGGACGTAAGAATCCAGAGAGGAGAGGGATGTTTGGAGAACAGAAAGTGGAAGGTTCCTGTAGGAAAATGATAGAGCTATACTTGGAGAGGCAAGCGGGGCTGGAGGGTGTAGGAGGTGAAGTGGCTCACCCAAGGAGCTCTTGAGCACTGGAGAGGCATTCATGATTTTTGAGTAGGTGTGGGGTGGGTCAGGAGGGCTGGTGAAAGCAGTGTTTTTGGAAGCTTTCTGGAAAGTTTCACCAGCAGAGATGTGTATTCGAGGGAGGTCAGTGATGGGTGTGAATTCACTCTTGGGCAATAGTAATGTTAGCTGCAATGAAAATTAAACCGTGCATGTGAGAGCTGTGTGCTAGAGCTGTTGGGAAGGCACAGCCTCCAGGACTTAGCAAGGGATGAGCAATTGGAAGACAAGGGTGAGGGGAAGAGGGAAAAAAAAGTCTCCAGCACGATTTGGAGATGGGGTGTGGGCGGATGGCAGGATTGCTGACAAAATAGAGAAGTCCAGAAGGGGAAATGGTTTGGACGGGAAGAGGAGGGGTCCAGCTGTCAACGTTTTGAGCAACAGGTCCCAGGAGGACTTTCAGCTGGGGCCGTCATTCAGCTAGAAATCCAGGGCTAGGTTTCAGGAGAGGGCCAGAGATGTCTAGCATGGTAGTGGGGCACAGTGACACTGTGACGCTGGAGGGTCAGGGTCGGAGCGGAGGAGCTTCCCAGGGAGTGCAGACAGCGGGGACCAGGAGGTGCGGGAAGAAGAGTCAGGAGGAGAGTCAGGGTGCACTTGGAGAAGAGAGCTGAGCTCCTCAGTGGGGTATTTGAGGGAGTGAGGACTCAAGGCTAGAGATTAGACTGTTGGGAAATCATCAGCGGTCTTGGGATGGCCTGTTTGTGCCCTGTGGTGGGAACACAATGTGAGGAGTTGAGGAGAGAGTGGGTGGTGAGAAGTGGGGCTGCTGGTGTAGCCTGGTCTTAAAGGACTAAGGGAAGGACTGTGTGTCAGTGGTGTGTGTGTGTGTATATATACACATATGTGAATATATGAGTGGCGTGTGTGTGTGTGTTAGTGTGTGGGTGTGGGTATGGTGTATGTGAGTGTATGTGCATGTGTGAGCATGAATGTATGAGTGGCGTGTGATGTGTGTAGTGTGATTGTGTGAAAGTATGTGTATATGAGTACATGTGTGCATGTGTGAGTGAAGGTGTGTGCATGTGTGAGTGTGGCTGTGATGTGTATGGTGTGTGATTGCACAAGTGAAGGTGCACATACATACTTTCTTACAAATACACACAAGTGGCGTATGTGTATATATGTGAGTGGTGTGTGTGAGCGTGTGGTGTGGTATATCTTTTTTTTTTTTTTTTTTTTTTTTTTGGAGACGGAGTGCAGGCTGTCGCCCATGCTTACTACAACCTCCGCCCCCCTGGCTCAAACGATTCTCCTGTCTCAGCCTCCCAAGTAGCTGGGATTACAGGCACGTTCCACCACACCTGGCTAATTTTTGTATTTTTTAGTAGAGATGGGGTTTCACCATGTTGGCTAGGCTGGTCTCGAACTCCTGACCTCAAGTGATCTGCCTGCCTCAGCCTCCCAAAGTGTTGGGATTACAGGTGTGAGCCACCGCGCCTGGCCTGGTGTGGTATTATCTGAATGTGAGTGGTGTGTGTGTGTGTGGTATGGTATATGTGTGAGTGTGTGTGTGTGGTGTGGTATATGTGTGAGTGTATGTGAGTGGTGTATGTGTGTGGTCTGGTATGTGTGTGTGCATGTGAGTGGTATGTGGGTATGTGTGAGGGTGTGTGTGTTTGAGTCTGTGGTGTAGCATATGTGGTTTTTGCAAGTTAGGGGAGAAGGGCTCAGGTACGTGTGTAACCCGGGGAAGCAGGTGATGGAGGGTGAGTGTTGTGGGAGAGCAGGGGCAGGCTGCTTCGGTCCCTGGAGGAGATCTTGGTGATGTCTCCTCCCCCAGAGGCATACCAGACAGCAAGGACAGAGTGGTTGCAGCGTGGATAGGAAGGACGATGAGGGAGCTTAAGCTGGCTGGCTTCCATGTCCTCAACCATGTGGGAGGTGAGGTCACGGTGCGAGCAAAGGGACGAAGCAGGTGGGGGCTCAGGAGATGGAGAGGTCTGGAACGGCTGCTGTGGGGAAGGCTGGGCTGGAGGTCGCGCGGGTGCTGCAGTGTTGTGAGCTCACGCTGCAGTGTTCAGTGATCTCTCCACTGCTTTCTGCAGCTTGGAAGCAGAAACAGGAAGAGGGTGGTGGTGTGACTTGGGGTTGGAGACTGGGCCGGATAGCTGCGGGTGGCTGCAGGTGCCCGGAGGGACAGTGAACCCTGTAGGAGTTAGATGGTCATGGGACCAGGCTGGGGCATGGTGGACAAAGTCCAGGGGTGGGTTGCGGGTGGGGGCAACTAAGGCTTTTCTGGGTTCATGTAGTAGGTGTGGATGGGGAAGAGGAGAGGCAGATAATGGCTGGCAAGAGACTTGGAGGTAAATCTGAGGTCAAGGATGTCCCATGATGGATGATGACTGAGATGGACGGAAGTTTGGTTTGAAGCGGTGGCATTGGTGCAGGCTGGCAGAGGGGGCAGTTCTGGATAGAGTGTCCTGATGAATGGGGATACCCATGGGAGGTGATGCAGATGAGGATTCTGTGCTTCTGAAGGAGGAGCCAGGCATTTAGAATGGCACTGGAGAGCAAGGACTGACTGAGCCCCTTCACTGTGTCCCCAAGAGGCCAGGAAGGGAAGATTGGAGGAGACAAAGTTGAAGTGAGTGTTCCAGGGAACGAGTCAGTTAAGAGATGGTAGGATCTTAAGGGAAGATGGCTAAGATCTTAAGGGAAAATGGCTAAGATCTGGAGAGTTGGACTTATATGGACGCATGCTTCACTGGGCAGAAAGGACGCAACTCTGGGTACAGATGGGGGTCGGGGTGAGGGGCAGTGAAGCCAGGGCTGAGGGGAGAGGGGCTATGGGAGGAGGTAGCAGGGGGGCTTTGGAGGTTCCAGGTGTTATGGGAATGAAGGCATCTGCAGGTAGCACACTCAGTGATGGGGCCACAGTCCTGGGTAGGCTTTTCCAGACATAGAAAAGACCCACCCAGTGCACTTGCTCCTGTGGGCGTGTCTCCCGGCAGTGCTGATGCAGGTCAGACAGCCCTTCCCGGAGTTCTCAGGGTTACCTCTCAGGGTTACTGGCAGCGCTGTCCTTAACATCCACCCCCCACTCCAGTCCCCGGGATCCCCTAAATGGGAAGGTTGGGCTGGCCTAGGGGGTGGCCTTTGGACCTTCTCTGAGGCTGCTGGGGAGGGACCTGAGTGAGGTAGTTCAGAGGCCCCTCACTCGAGGGACAGGGTCTCTGTGTGGGGGTGGGGCTGGGTTCTTGCAGACAGCTCAGTGGGTTTAACCTGCAATTCCTGCCTGTGTTGTATCCTCACGCTGACAGGGGCTGCTCAGCAGCAGGCAGGCCGGGTAGGTGTGTGTGCGCGTGTGTGCACGCCATTGCGTGCCCCTGTCCCATGGGGGCGATGTCCGAGCATGCTCTGTGGAGTTGATGCGTGGCCCTGGAGTGTCCGGTGCTTCAGTGACCCGAGCTGCTGTGTGCGTGGCCTCCGTCCGCCCAGTCATTCTGGCCTGTCTGTGACTGCTCAGGGGGTTTGGGCAGAGTGGGTGGAAATGTCTTGCTGTACGAGATCCAGGCTTAGGTCCCTTCCCCTGTTATTTGTGTGGTGCTGGGGATGGCGGGGGTAGGGGGACGAGGGAGAAGCTTTAAGGGTCAAGCCTGAGCATCTGGGACACGAGCTGGGAGCTAAGCCTCATCGGAAGAAGCCGGGTAGGCTGGCCTGGGAAGGTTCTTGGAGGCAGCAGCCCTCTAGAGTGTGAGGAAAATGTTGGGATTGCAGGTGCGCTCCCCTGGGGCCCCAGGGCCCCTGACTCTGAAGGAGGTGGAGGAGCTGGAGCAGCTGACCCAGCAGCTAATGCAGGACATGGAGCATCCTCAGAGGCAGAATGTGGCTGTCAACGGTGAGCCCACCCCACCGGGACACCCCCACCCTGCCCCCACATCACGGTGGGGGCCAGGGCTGTGGCTCCACTCCCTATCTGAGCTGGCTGATCCCTCGCAGCTCTACATACTTCCTTCTATTTACTGCTGTCTTCTCTGGCCTTCCCAGAACTCTGCGGCCGATGCCATCAACCCCTGGCCCGGGCGCAGCCAGCCGTCCGCGCTCTAGGGCAGCTGTTCCACATCGCCTGCTTCACCTGCCACCAGTGTGCGCAGCAGCTCCAGGGCCAGCAGTTCTACAGTCTGGAGGGGGCGCCGTACTGCGAGGGCTGTTACACTGTGAGTCGGGCTGTGCTGGGCTGTGCTGGGCTGTGCTGGGCAGTCGGGCCCTGGAAGCTTGCTGTGGGGTGCCGGTTCCCTGCCAACCTCCTCCTGCTGCCTCCTCAGGACACCCTGGAGAAGTGTAACACCTGCGGGGAGCCCATCACTGACCGCATGCTGAGGGCCACGGGCAAGGCCTATCACCCGCACTGCTTCACCTGTGTGGTCTGCGCCCGCCCCCTGGAGGGCACCTCCTTCATCGTGGACCAGGCCAACCGGCCCCACTGTGTCCCCGACTACCACAAGTGAGGACCTGCCACCTGCCTTCTGGGTTCCCGGCGTGCTTGGTCTGGTAGCCCGGCTGCTTGCTACCCTAGCCTCAGGACAGCCCCAAACCCCTGGTGGTGTTTTCTGGTCCCATGTCCTGTCTGTAAACAGCAGGGACCAAGTCATCGGGATGTAGCTGTCCAGGGGCCTTAGGCCTGGGCATCGAGTCCTGCTGCTGTCTGGTCCCTCCCTCGCCCTTGATCACTGAAGCTTATTGTGGGTGTATGTCAGCATTTCGTGAAGTGTGCTGGAGTGACTTCATCTCACACACAGGCTGGGTTCTAAAAGTTCTTTTGGAGATCAGCTGTTTGGATTTCTGGTTTCTCCCCAGAAATAGTGTTTAGAAGGTGGCTACTTTTTCAGGCTGACCCGCAGAACCTCAGTGCAGCTGTGGGAACAGTGCAGAATCTGACCCCCACCTCTGACAGAGTGTTTGGGTAAACACTTTCAGGATTCCATCTGGGGTGGCCACAACTTCACATCCCTCCACAGTGCCAGACAGTCAGGGCAGAGGCAACGTGCATGGGGGTGGGAGGATTGGGGGAAGGTGAGGGTCAGGGACCCAGGATGGGATGGGAGGGGTACCTCAGGGCTGGCTTTCTGCAGGAGCTGCAGTGTGAATGGGACAGTAAGGGTCGAGTGGGAGAGAACACCGTGGCAGGTGTGTGGGAGGCTCCCTTGCTTTGGGAGAGTGACTGGTGAGGCAGGAAATTCCCTTTGATGAGGGCCAGTCATGGTGTCTCACTCTTAGGCCCTTCTGGTGAGCTTCCTTCACCTGGAGATGCAGGGCAGAGAAGTCTGCTTCCTTGCTGCCCAACCTGGCTTATGCGTGCGCACACCGGGGATGAAAGCCCTGGCTAACTCGGCTGGCCCTTTCTGCCCCTTCCAGGCAGTACGCCCCGAGGTGCTCCGTCTGCTCTGAGCCCATCATGCCTGAGCCTGGCCGAGATGAGACTGTGCGAGTGGTCGCCCTGGACAAGAACTTCCACATGAAGTGTTACAAGTGTGAGGTCAGCCATCCCTCTGGACTCCTTGGGCAGGTTCTGACCAGGAGGTGGCGGGAGATGCTGCTTACTAACTGGGAGGTGGAAAGCACCAGCATTCAGGAAACAGGGCTGTGATTTTGAGGGTGGCTCATGGTGGCACCCCATCTGTCCTGCCAGAATGCTTCCTGCCACTGCAGGAAATGGGGCTGTGGGGCTTCTGAGGTCACTTTGAGTCATGGATAAGCCAAGAAATGGGACAAGCCAATAGGAGAGAAGAAGGGCATGGTGTTTTACCGTGGTAGGGGATGGGGAAACAGGAGCTGAGAGAAGAGGTCTTCGAATGGAGGTGAGCCAACCTCTATTTTATTAGGGTGGTGGTGGGCAGGGGAGCAAGCACCTTGGGAGCAGCTCTACCCACTGCTTGCCCTCTTGCAGGAAGGTCCTAGTGGGTGACTGGAAGTAGGATAGGGATGGGGAGTTGGGTGTGGCTGGAAAAAGCGATGACACCAGCTCTGAGCCATGAAGCATCTTTCTAATTCCAAGATGGAGCTGGATGGGGTGGGGTAGGGTGGAGCAGAGCAGGGGCCTTCCGGTCCAGTGCCCCTCACCCTTCCTTCTTCCCAGGACTGCGGGAAGCCCCTGTCGATTGAGGCAGATGACAATGGCTGCTTCCCCCTGGACGGTCACGTGCTCTGTCGGAAGTGCCACACTGCTAGAGCCCAGACCTGAGTGAGGACAGGCCCTCTTCAGACCGCAGTCCATGCCCCATTGTGGACCACCCACACTGAGACCACCTGCCCCCACCTCAGTTATTGTTTTGATGTCTAGCCCCTCCCATTTCCAACCCCTCCCTAGCATCCCAGGTGCCCTGACCCAGGACCCAACATGGTCTAGGGATGCAGGATCCCCGCCCTGGGGTCTGGTCCTCGCCCATCCTGCAGGGATTGCCCACCGTCTTCCAGACACCCCACCTGAGGGGGGCACCAGGTTTAGTGCTGCTGCTTTCACTGCTGCACCCGCGCCCTCGGCCGGCCCCCCGAGCAGCCTTTGTACTCTGCTTGCGGAGGGCTGGGAGACCCTCCAGGACATTCCCACCCTCCCCCATGCTGCCAAGTTGTAGCTATAGCTACAAATAAAAAAAAACCTTGTTTTCCAGAATTCTCAGTAGTCAGCTCTTTTGTAGTGCCTGCAGCCCTCATGGGTGGGATGGAGGCAGAAAATCAGTTCCTGTTTATTTACAAAAATATATATATGTGTATGTATGTATATATATTAACCCCTCAGCTCCCTCCCATGATCATCCTTTTACTTCTACCCCCACCTCCCTTTTAAAACAAAGAGGTTTTCTGGGGTGCAGAGCAGGGTTCTCCTGAAAGTGGGCAGAAGCAGCACCGATAGCCTAGTCTGGCAGGTTGTGGGAAGGGGCGCAGGGAGTGACCATGAGCGACCTTGGCCCCGTCCTTGCTCCTTGCACCCTGATTGGGCATGGGGTGAGAGGAGGGATCAGTCCTTGAATCCCTGAATACTGCAAAGAATGCGCTTCTGGTGCCCGGGCAGTGTGATTCCCATCTGCGTCAGGTCCCTGTGGGCAAGGAAGGGTGGGGGCATGAGTCCGGAGGCTCCACCCCCGCAGCCCTCCCCTGCCCAGACAGCTCCAGCTCCTTACTCAGCGGTCAGCTCCAGCACACACTCCATGGTGTCCAGCCCAGCCGAGTGGAAGTGCAGGATGTAGCGTTTCATGCGTATGGACTCGAGCCACTCAGAGACGGTTCGATATGGGATCCCATCTGAGCCACTCAGGCTGGGCAGGCGAAGAGTCATCCTGTGGGACATGGGCATGTCAGTCACAGCGGGTACATGGGCTGATCTGGTTGGCCTTGGCCTCTGAGCATCAGCAGCCAGCACTGAAGTTCGGTGTCTGGGCACAGAGATCATCTAGACTGTGGATTGACCCCACCATTATCTCTGAGCCCACTTCCTGGCCTGTTTCCTGGTGTGCTCACAACAGTGGACTGGCTGACAGTCCTGCTATGTCGACAGGCCTATAGGAAGGGACTGTCCTGGGAAGCCCCAACAGAAGGGGATCACCAGCCGGTCTCCTGCTGGAGTGGCCGGTTCTGGGCACCTGACTGAGGGCTGGTTAAGACATGGAAGTCTCCTGTCTGAGAGGAAGCTGAAAGTAGGAGAACAGAGGCCTGGCACCTGGGCGTGGTCCTGCCTTTTTCCATAGTGGCTGCTTGAGTTCCGGGAGCAGTCCTTCCTCACCACCTTCAGCTTCGGCTGTTATTCTTGCACTCTGACACCCACAATACAATGAGTGTTCCTGTACTAAAGCTCGCCAGAGCCAAAAACCATTAGCAAAGTAAATCTGCTGGGGGAAAAAATATCCAGCATTCCAGAAAGATTAGCACACGCAGTCTCCAGTGTATGAGGGAGTTGCGCTCCAAAAGATAGTTTCAAAAGTTGGAACTTAGAGCATGTTTTCTCCCAGAAACAAGGTTATATATGGTGGTTGGATACAGAGGCCAGTTGGCCAGGCTGGCTACCCAATAAAGCACTTGAAGAACAGCCTTGCCTGCTTCCCCAACCTGAGCGCTCCCCCACCCCCCCATCAGTTCATTCTCTACACTCAGGCCATATTTTTGGTAAAATGCAGCTCTGACCATGTCCCCCCATCCTGTGGACAGCTTTTAAGAATTGGTTCTCCAGGCCAGGCGAGGTGGCCCACGCCTGTAATCCCAGCACTTTGGGAGGCCGAGGTGGGCGGATCATGAGGTCAGGAGTTCGAGACCAGCTTGGCCAACATGGTGAAACCCCGTTTCTACTAAAAATACAAAAATTAGCCGGGCATGGTGGTATGTGCCTGTAATCCCAGCTACTCAGGAGGCCGAGACAGGAGAATCACTTGAACCCTGGAGGTGGAGGCTGCAGTGAGCTGAGATTGCGCTGCGTTACTCCAGCCTGGGCGACAGAGCAAGACTCCGTCTCGGGGTGGAAAAAAAAACAACAACTCTGCACTCATGGTAAAATCCAAACTTCTCAACAGGGCTGGTCCTCTTTGTGTTGACTGGTTGTCTCTCCAGCCTCATGGCTGCTATTCCTAAACACAATGCCGCAGCCATCCTGCACTATCTGCAACCTACCAGCCCTCAGCTCCCCACAGACTAGCCATGTGATCCAGAAGCCTTCCCAAACCCTGCAAGGCTGCTGCTACCTACCCCACCCCAGCCTGGCTGCCCAAGCTCCCTGGAGCTTGGGTAATAAGTGCAGCTGTATCTCCAATGTCCAGCAAACAGCTTGCACCAGTAGGTCCTCCAAAACTTCATGAATGGATGACCCTTTCCTTCACATGCAGAAATATTTCTATGGGGAAGGGGATGCATCCCAAGAATGGGCCACAGTACAACACAGTGGGATTGGCAAGGATGGCTCCGGGAGTGTCTTAGGTGAGGCTGCCTGAGAAGAGAAAAGATGGGCCCCCCACCCCCAAGCCCAGGTGAAGTGAGGGAACTGGGGCCCAGCCATAACTGATTTTCTGCAAATATGCATAATCTAAAGCTGACCTCTTGGACTCTCCCCAAGGGCACGTCTTGCCTCATACACTGGACTTGGTCCAGAGCTCCCCAGGCCCAGCGCTCAAAGAAGATTGGCTGAATGCCCATTTCCACTCTCCTAGCGCTGCCTCTGGGTTCCCTAGTCCTTCCCCTGCATGGTTACCTGGGGTCAAAGTTGGCAATGGTCCGCAGGGAGTGGGGGTTGGCAAGCAGTTGCTCCAGATGTGCCTGAAGCTTCTGGAAGTGTGGCCGGCGGGCACGGTCATATGCCCAGCAGTTCTTCATGAGCTCATACAGAGGGGCAGGGCAGTCCACAGGAGGGGGCAACCGGTACCCATCCTCAATGCTCTTCATAACCTGCACGGCGGGACAGGAGGATGCTCTAGAGTAGCAAGCTAACCTGGAGGCCCATGAGAAACCGACGGTCACACAAGATAATTGCAGTGGAGATCCTAGGATGGGAGGAGGTGGGAGGACCAGGGTGGGACGATCACAGTGGGAGGATCAGGGTGGGAGGAGTAAAGAGAGCAGGGCATGAGGTGAAGAACCAGAGGAGCCAGGAGTACAGAAAAACTGAAGGTCATGAATAAATAAAGATATTTGCAGGAAAAGGCCATGGGAGGACCTTGGGAGGAAATAAGAGGTGTGAATTGGAGACAAGATGAGGAAGAATATTCTGGGCTCACCTCCTGATTGCTCATCTCCCCATAAGGCTTGTCCCCAAAGCTCAGCACCTCCCACATCACAATCCCAAAGCTCCACACATCGCTGGCTGTGGTGAAGATCCGATGGGCAATGGCTTCAGGGGCTGTCCAACGGATAGGGATCTTTCCTCCCTAAGAAGGCACATGGGTCAGGGACGGAAAGTTATGGTGTCCACCTGAGCACGAGTCTTTCTGCTTCTTTTATTGTATTTTTATTTTATTTTTTTTGAGACAAAGTCTCGCTCTGTTGCTAGGCTGCAGTGCAGTGGCGCAATCTCGGCTCACTGCAACCTCCACCTCCCAGGTTCAAGCGATTCTCCTGCCTCAGCCTCCTGAGTAGCTGGGACTACAGGCGCCTGCCACCATGCCCAGCTAATTTTTTGTATTTTTAGTAGAGACGGGGTTTCACCATGTTCGCCAGGCTGGTCTCGATCTCCTGACCTTGTGATCCACCTGCCTCGGCCTCCCAAAGTGCTGGGATTACAGGTGTGAGCCACCGTGCCTGGCCAAGTCTTTGTGCCTATATACATGTGACTGTATGAATGGCATGTTACGGGGCAATGTGAATGTGCACTGGGTTTGTACCGGCCTCTAACCTGGGTTTCGTATGTGCCATCAAAGTCATCCAGGAGGCGAGTCAGGCCAAAGTCAGACACCTTGCAGCACAGGTTTTGATTCACCAAGATGTTTCTGGCAGCCAGGTCCCGGTGGACATAATTGTGATTACTGAGGTAGTTCATGCCAGATGCTATGCCCTGCAGCATGGCCACTAGCTGCCCAGGGACCAGCTGGTCCTCCCGCTCCTGCAGCAGGGTGAGTGGGTGAGTCAGGGGATGGGCCAGGTCTCCTCCCAGTGCCCAGGGTACCATGGTGCATCCCCCTCCCCAGCTAGTCCTCTGCCCTCCTCACCCTCAGGAAGGCATCCAGGGCTCCATTCTCCATAAATTCTGTGATGATCATGATCGGCTTTCCTGAGACACAGACACACATATCACACTCAGAACCGGGCTTCCTGCCCTTGGCCACACATCCTCCCTCCACTTCCAGTGGTTTCACCCCTCTTTCCTGCATTTCCCGCCCCCAGCTGAGGGAGACCACTCATCGTACGCTTTGTGACGACGCCTTCCAGATGCAGAATATGCGGGTGGCTAAACTGGCCCATGATAGTTGCCTCTCGAAGGAAGTTCCACCACTGGCCACCTGGGGATGTGTCTTTTAAGGTCTTAATGGCCACAGTCTTGCAGTCCTGGCTGGGGAGCCTCAGGGTCCCTCGATACACTTCCCCAAACTCTCCTGGGTAGAAAGAAAACAGGCTGTGGCCCGATGCACTGCAGGGCTCCTCCAGGGGACAGGCAGCAACCCCTCCAGTCCTCCGGCCCTTTTCTTTTCTGGAGAATCAGAAGCGTGGAGTGCCCTTCCTGGGACAGGGCGTGGGCTGTCCTTCCTGGGGAAGGTCAGAGTCTGGAGCTGGAGTGCAATGCCGTGACCTATTCACCACTGTCTCCCAGTGTTTGCACAGTTCTTGGCTCACAATAGGCGCTCGGCAACTGCAGGGTGAATGAACCCTGTGGAGCGGGACTGGGCCGTGCTCATGAAGAGCAAGCTAGTGCGGCACTAGTACCCAAGTGGCAGGGACGCTGGCTATGGCCGCCTCTCTTCTGTGAGCTCCTCTGGTCCCAGCTTGCCTGGCTCAGCTGCACAATTGGCAAGGACACCACCAAGCTTTGTTCTCCACTGAGATCCATTTCCTCTGGTGACCCAAGGGAACAGGGCAGCCCAAGGACACTGGGCCT
Source organism: Homo sapiens (assembly GCF_000001405.40). Lineage (NCBI taxonomy): Eukaryota > Metazoa > Chordata > Mammalia > Primates > Hominidae > Homo > Homo sapiens. Next base: position 15,369 of record NW_018654714.1, read on the forward strand.
CTGATGGGGTGGAATGCCAGGCTAGGGAGGGAATGAGTCCTACATTTGGGCATCATCACAGAACATCTGGACCCTCAGCACAGCAGCACCTCTGTGGATGAAAACAGTGTATTTAATGCCCTTTATCAGAAACTCCAAAACCACAGAAGCAAGTGTGTAGGAGACAGGGGTTGCTCCAGGGCACCTGATGAGGGGTTTTTAACAAGAACGCAATGGTTCAAAGAGGATACAGAGCAGAGCAGAGTGAGTACCTCTGGAAACTCTTGGACCAGAGAAGCCAGCTGGGCTGCCCAGGGAAGCGCTGGAAGGAAGGGGCCTGCTGGTGGCTCTGTGCTGCCCCACATGGCGGGGGGCCTGCTGCGGTGCACAGCAGGACTCACCTTCTCCTATGACAGTGTCCACCATCAGCCACGCTGGATCAAGCTCCCGGGTAAAGTCCAGGGCTCCCTGTGCAGGGTCCTCGTATGCCTGGAGGTCCACATAAGGCTTCAGCCACAGCTTGTCCTCTATGGGCAGAACATGAGGTTGGGGAGTACCAACATCAGGGCTCAGGAGTATGGGGGTCAGGAGAAGGGCCAGCAGCGGACCACACACTTCTCCACACCTCCCTGTTTCCCAAGGTGACTCCTGTTTGGGCTGAGGTGGGAGAAAGTCTCCATTTAGCAACTAGGCCTTTCTTCTCCCTGTCTATGCTCCAAGCTCCGCTGTCCTCACTCCACAAGGTCCGGGGCGGTGGCCAGGATCCACACCCGCAGAGCATATTTGCTGCCTGAGTTGCCCAATCTTCTCAGCGGCCAGTCCCCACACTGCTCTGGTCAGTCACACCTCGTTCACATTCCCAGACAGAGCCGCGCATGGCTCCCACCCCAGCTGCCCGGATGGACCCCTCACTCTCCCCTTTGTGGGTCACCTAATGAGGTGACAAGCAAGAAGCTCATAAGCCTCGGAGGACGTCAATCCTCCTCCCGCCTGGCCTCGGCCCACAGCCCTGGCCTCCAGGATGGGGAGGGCTGTCCAGAGCCCAGGGTGACAAGACAGCGGCACCAGCAGTGAACGGACACTAACAGATAATTGCATCAGAGCCACTGGGGGGCTACCAGTACATAGTTAATTAACCAAAGTTAATTAGGTAGCAAAACACAAGAGCCCTGGGGACAACAAACCCCACATGTGCCCCCAGAGTTGGCCTAGCAAATGTGTCCCTTGATCCCTTCCCAGTGGCATCTCCCAACACACACACACACGCACACACAGGTGTGCACACGCATGTGGGGACACACGCAGGTGCACCCGACTCACCTCGATCCACATCGGTGGCGCGGTCACGCTGCCTCTGCTGCCTCTGCCGCTGGGCTCTCCTGTGGGGGTTGGGGACCAGCTCCTTCAGGGCCCCAGGACCACCTCAGGGGTCCGAGGGACTCTGGCTGAATCTTCCCCAGAAACGGGCTGGGAGTGCAGGATGGGTTTTGATACTAGGGGATGGGAGGGTCGTTGGGGCTGCAGTCAGGGGCTTCTGACCCAGGGCTGGTGGTTGGGGAGGGGGCAGGAGCTGGCACCTGGACCGGAAAACGAGAATCCCAAGCAGCAAGGCTGCACCAAGCAGCAGCCCAAAGATGACGGCTACAATCTCTCCTCCAGTCAGGCCCCTGGACACTGTAGGCACAAAGGGATGAGGAAGTGTTGGGACTCACAGTCCGTAGGAATGAGGGGGGTTAAAGGGCAGGGCCCTGGGTACACCTAGGGTCAGACCTTTCAGTGTGCATCAGGTCGGTGTCTGTCCCCTACCCCCGGAAGAAGGGAGTGTGTGTGCATGTGTGTAGAGGAAGAGGAAAAGTCACTACGTGGAACAGGAGCTGAGTTGCCTCAGTGAGGCAACAGGTGTATGTGTGTTGGGGCAGAGCACAAGATACCCCACCTGGTGGGCTGGTCCGAAACTCATGATCAGGGGAGAAAGGGCCAGGACCCAGTGGGGTCAGCATTCGGACTCTGACGATGTATGTGGTGTCAGGCTGCAGCTCTGTCAGCAAGACCCTGGGTTCTAGAACCATCTGGTACCGTTCTTCATCCTGTGGGTTGGAGTTGCATTAAGTGGGCAGTGCTGAGCCAGACCCGGGTGGATGTGATGGACAGCATCAGAGCACATGGGGAGGGGCTGGAGAGCAGAATGGTTAGGACAGGGTTCTTCATAGACTTTTGTCCTGAGAAAGCCACACAGTGGACTTCGGGTGGATTCCTCCCAACCCACACCCCAGGCTAGGAATGTTGGGGTGTGCCCGGGCATGGACACTGAAGACCATCTCTCAGTAGCATCCTGACCTGGTTCAGCACGTGCAGCTCATAGGTCAGGTTCGCCCCAGGGCTTCGGGGCCGGGACCCCGCCCAGGTCAGCTCTAGTTGCCTCGGTTCTTTCTTCACCAGTCTCAGAGACAGGCCTGACAGTGACTCTGGGGGTCCAGAGGGATAAGGTTGGATATGTAAGGAAAAAGGAAATAACCTTAGTAACTTTTCTATGGCTTCCTGCCCATCAGTTTGTTCTGTGGTCTTAAGCCCTTCTGTCTCCACCAGGTCCCTGTCCCAGCCCCTCTCAGCCTCTCACCTGCATGCCCCATGCTGATGCTGACTGAGGTGCTGGCATGGCCAGAGCTGCCCAGCCCTGACACTCCATTTTGGGCTTCCACATTAAAGGTGTAGTTGGCATAAGGTTCAAGGCCATTGACATGCACTGCAGGTGTGGTGAGCCCCCGGGCCCCCGGCGAGAAGTGCACGCCCACCCCACAGGGCTGGCAGGGCCCCCCGTCCTGTGCTGTGCCCTGACACTGGGAACACCTCACACTGTATCTGACATCCTGGCGTCCCCCCGTATCTGCTGGGGGTTCCCAACGCAGGGAGAGCTGAGTCCCTGAGGCAGAGAAGCTCAGGTTTCGGGGGGCCGAGGGGGGACCTGTGGGAGAAGAGGAGCCATCAGTAGAAGCCGACCTCGCTGTCACCCGAGCTGCTGATCCCCGGCCTCCACCACCACCCAATTCTCGATGTCCTCTGAAGTCCTCTTGGGGAGATTTGATTTCTACTGGGTTTGACTACATCTCTGCATTCTTCTAGGGAGAGCAGGGTGCCAGGGCAGGGGCTAAAAGTGCCTGACACCCTGGACCATCTCCAATATCTGACAAGCTCTGGAAAAATCCAACCCTGACAAAGTCTCAGCAAAGATCCAGCCCCTCCCTCCAGATGGCCACGCCCCACCCCCTGGACTCACCTGTGCATGCCACCTGGGGGCCCTCCCCGGGAGCTCTGTAATGGCCGCTCTCACAGGTACAGATGGTGGCCCCCTCAGACTCAGCAGTGCTCTGCTGGGGGCACGTGAGACAATGGGGTGTGTCCATGTCCATCCGGTAGGAGCCGCTAGGGCAGGCTGGAGAGAGAACGCAGCAGAGCAGTGGTTCTGTAAATGTTTTTACAGGCAGAACCACCACCACCCCTTCCTGCCCCAATCCCTTCTACTGGAAACATCTCTGCATGTGTGTGTCCGCTGCTCTGGGACACTCAGGTTAAAAACCCACTGAGGCGGAGCACTGGCCTCCTTCTCTGCCGGGGTACTCCTGCAATCCTCCCGAGTGGTTCCTCAGGTTCTCACCGCCTCCGTTCTTACCAACACATGCTTCGCCACTGCCACCTTCCTCATAGCCAGGCTCACAGTGGCACCGTCCTACAGGCACCAGCCACTCGCCATCAGGGCTGCAGTGCATGCGGGGTGCACCTGAGGGCCTGGGGCTGGCCCGCGCGTGGGGCAAGCAGGTCCCCGCCACTTCCACCAACCCAGCGGGGCCAGGCAGAGTGTCTGGGAATTGGGCCAAGCCATTCAGGGTCTCAGGACAGCGCTGGTAGAAGACCCGGACAGACACCAGGGCCACACAGGCACCCGGGTTGTGGAAAGCGAGGTAGAGGCCACGGCGGGTCAGGCGGCCCAGAGAGCAGCGCTCCACATTCAGCTTCACGGAGCCAGACACAAGGTCTCGAATGGTGAAGCTCTGGTCTGCAGCCACCGTGGTTACCTGGGTAGAAGGTGGGGAAGAAAGGGGAGCAATGGCAAAGTCCTGCTTCTTTCCCACATAACAGAAACAATCGTTTGCTTAATACTTTCCACAACCATGAACACTGAGCCTTGTATGTGTGAGGTGCCAGGCTAAGCATTTTATGTGCATTATGCTATTTAGCTCATGCAATCCTCTTATGAGGTAGGATGGCTTATTGTCTCTATTTAATAGATGAGGAAACCAAGGCTAATAGAAGATAAAGACCTTGTATAAGATCACACAGCTACCACATCATGGGGCTAGGACTGGAATCCAGGCATTGGGACTCTACAGTCCATACAATTTCTGCTATTCAGAGGCATTCCCAAACTCAGTGCCAATAACATGATGAGTTATAGAGCATATCGTTATCAATTTATTACTAGTAACAAATTTTACAACATTTTCTCTTTGGAAAGAAACAAGAGCATATCCTATCATAAAATGCTCCTTACTCTTCTGCATCCCAGGATGTTTTTTTGAGTAGGAAAGAAAGGGATGTGCTGGAGAGTACTAGCCTGCAGGGAATTGTCTTGCTACATGACTCCAGTGATACTATGGGAGTGGGTTGCTTATGAACATCGTGGGTATCAATAGGAAAAGTCTAAATAACTCTGTGCTACACTTCCCTCCTCCCCATGGTATCCTGTGATCTCAGTGGATGCTTATAAAAGCCTATAAAATAGATATAGCTGGCCCTATTGTTGTCACTATTTTATGACTAGGCAACAAAAGCTGGAGAGGTTAAATGACACCCCCAAAGTCACGGCACAGCAGAAAAGATACTCAAATCCAGCCCTTCTGATTTCCAATGCCACACTGTTCTTTTTTTCTTTAGAGACAGGATCTTGCTCTGTTGCCCAGGCTGGTGTACAGTGGCACAATCATAGATCACTGCAGCCTCAAACTCCTGGGCTCAAGTGATCCTCCTGCCTCAGCCTCCTGAGTCGCTGGGACTACAGGTATGGGCCACCATGCCCAGGTGATTTTTAATTTTTTGCAGAGATGAAGTTTTGCTATGTTGCCCAGGCTGGTCTCAAGCTCCTGGCCTCAAGTGATCTTCCCACATCGGTTTCCCAAAGCACTGGAATTACAGGCACAAGCCACCATGCCCAGCCTTCAAGCGCCAAATTCTTTTCAAGATTCTACCTCTGCACCCTCTTCCTGTCTCTGCAACCTTCTCTGGCACCCAATAAGGAGCCACCAGGGATCTGCACCAGGACCCAGATGGCATGGAGGGAAGCAGCACCTTCTGGAACAAGGGCCGTCGGAGCTGAATGCCCACATCCTGGTCACTCTCCATGTACAGAAGGTTGAAGGTCTCCTTGCAGCCCAGAGGCCCGGCTCCCCCAGGGAAACTCTTGCAGTCCCGCACGGTGAACTGCAGCTCCACGTGGACGCGGGAAGCCTCCTCCCCGCGGTAGATCCAATTGGAGCGAAGCCAGTGGTCAGTGTCTCTGCGTCCTTGCATTGGGCAGTCCTGGTACATGTACAGGGGTGTCCCATTCAGTATCTGTTGCTGTTCACTCCACTGCAAGGAGGAAATCAGAGTCAGGGACCAGATCATCCCCTGCTCCCCAAACCCTTGGTTTTTAGAGCTGATGGAGAAGCAGCTGTGTCAGAGCCCCTCAGGTTTATGCTACTTGTTCTGCCTCTCCCCACCCCTCAGCTCCAGGACAGTAGACTGAGTGTTTAGGGTTGGGGATTTGTTTGGATATAAGATGGGCAAGACAATAGTCCCTTAACATCCCTAGTTGATCCTGGTCCCTTCAGTTAGTCTAGTCCACTTATTTCATCAGCAGAACAGCCAGGTACCCCCAAGGCAAAGCTCATTTACAAAACCCTTCTGTTTCTTCAAGAGGATATTGGTGAATTTTTTGTTTTTCAGAGACAGGGTCTCGTTCTGTCTGCAGCGCAGTGGTATAATCAAAGCTCACTATAGCCTCAAACTCCTGGGCTCAGTCTCCCAAGTAGCTGGGACTACAGGTGCCTGCCAACACACTGGGCTATTTTTTCTTTCTTTTTTTTTTTTTTGGTAGAGATGAGTTCTTGCTATGCTGTCCAGGCTGATCTCAAACACCTGGACTCAGATGATCCTCTTGCTTGGCCTCCCAAAGCCTGTGAGCCACCACACCCAGCCCAAGATTTATTTTTAATTATTAAAACCCTTTAGATTTGGAGGGTAAGAACAAGCACAGAACTGTACAGAGGATTCTCATCCTCTCCAATATTTCAATTATAGCCATCATCGAAATCAACAATTGACAGATTTGGCTGGACTTCTTGATACTATCTAGTCTACTCCCCTTAACTTTTTGTTTGTTTGTTTGAGGCAAAGGTCTCACTCTGTCACCCAGGCTGGAGCTGGAGTGCAGTGGCACAATCTTGGCTCACTATAACCTCCGCCACCTAGGTTCAAGCGATTCTCCCACTTCAGCCTCCTGAGTAGTTGGGATTACAGGCATGCACCACCATGCCTGGCTAATTTTTTGTATTTTTAGTAGAGACAAGGTTTTGCCACGTTGGCCAGGCTGTTAGCTTCTTTTATCTGAAAAGAACTTTTAAACTTAGTAATATTAATGGCTAGCACTAACATAGTGCTTACTGTGGCCCAGTCACCGGTTTAAGCACTTTCCACGAGGAAACTGAGGCACAGGGAGGTCGAGTGACTTGCCAAGGTACTCAGCTATGAGAGGCAGAGCTGGGAAATGAGCCAGACACTCCAGGTTCCAGAATTCATGCCTTTAATCATTATACCTCTGTGTGCTTATTGTGAAAAGTCAAAAAGTAAAGACTTACACAGAATAAAGTTTAATTCCCTCACCCTCATCCTTCCACTCTCATTCTCAGAGGCAGCCACTCTCAGCAATTGTTAGCAAAACTTTCCAGACCATTTTTCAATGCCTCCAGAGAACTGCTTGAATGTTTCTGAGTTTTGCTTTCAACACGGGATCATACAAGTGTTATTTTGTAAGCTACTTTCTGTTTTCACAAATAATAAGTATTTGAGGGCCGGGAGTGGTGGCTCACGCCTGTAATCCTAGCACTTTGGGAGGCCCAGGAAGGCAGATTCCCTGAGGTCAGGAGTTCGAGACCAGCTTGGCCAACAAGGCAAAACCTCCCATCTCTACTAAAAATACAAAAAAATTAGCTGGGTGTGGTGGCACATGCCTGTAATCCCGGCTACTTGGGAGGCTGAGGCAGGAGAATGGCTTGAACCCAGGAGGCGGAGGTTGCAGTGAGCCAAGATCTCGCCACTGCACTCCAGCATGGGCGACAAAGCAAGATTCCCTCTCAAAAAAGTCTTTGAAAGATAGCCACAAAAGTGTATATAGAGCTTTCTTACTTTTTTTTTTTAAAGCAATCCATAAGTAATACTCCATTGTAGAGAAGGCCATAATTTATTTAGTCCCATTCACCTATTGTTGGACATTTAGACAGCTTCTAGTTTTTTTTTCTTTTTAAAGAAATCATGTACAGATTGATGTAAGATTTCCATGGAACTGCCATATCAAAGGGTAGACATACTACAGGTTTTATAAGATACTGTCAAATTGTCTTCCAAAAAAGGTTTATCAATTTACACTTCCACCAGCAACACAAGAGGGCTCATTTTCTCAAAACTTCATCAACACAGAATACTAATAACCTTTTTGCCTTTTGCCAATCCTAGGGTCAAAACACAGCTTCTTAGCATTTTAATTTGCATTTCTTAGAGGAGGAAGTTGTATATTTCTCTTTTGTTCATTGACTATTTGTATGTTTATGCAATTATCTGTCTATAACCTTTGCATGACATTCTATTATCTTTTGATTACTCAGTTGGATGAGTTTCTTTTTTAAACTTATTATAGACACGAATCATTTCCTTCAAATGTATGTTTCAAATATTTTCTCCCTGTCTGCCATACCACTTAGCTTTGCTAATGATGTTTTGATGTGGACTTACATTGTAAATTTCTTACATAATAACATCTACAGTATTTCCCTTCATGATTTCTGGGTTGTATATTTGACTTGGGAAGTTTTCCTATCTCAAGATTATAATGATCTATATTTTCTCCTAAAATTTGTGTAGGTTGGCTTTTAGGTTGAGATTTTAGTTTTCTTAGAATGAATTTTGTGTATAATGGAGAGATATATCTTTTTTTTTTTTTTATGAGACAGAGTCTTGCTCTATTGCCCAGGCTAGAGTGCAGTGGTGCGATCTTGGCTCACTGCAAGCTCTGCCTCCAGGGTTCACGCCATTCTCCTGCTTCAGCCTCCCAAGTAGCTGGGACTACAGGCGCTCGCCACCATGCCTGGCTAATTTTTTTGTATTTTTAGCAGAGATGGGGTTTCACTGTGTTAGCCAGGATGGTCTCGATCTCCTGACCTCAGGATCCGCCCGCCTCGGCCTCCCAAAGTACTGGGATTACAGGTGTGAGCCACCGCGCGTGGCTATGGAGAGATATATCTTTATATATTTATTTAAAAATTATGAATATCTAACCGTCAGTTTATTAACTAGGTATTACTTTCCATATTGATTTGCAATTCCGATGCTATCACATACTACAACCTCATATGTGTAGGCTCGTTTTTGGACTTTCTATCCTGTCCCATTAACCTGAGTGATCTTGTGCAAGACATATGTTTTAGTTATAGCTGATGGTTCTGATATCTGCTTGTCAGACAAGTCTCCCATTTCATTCTTCAAAAACTCTTCTCAACCATTCTTATTTCCTCTGTCAGATGAATTTTCAAAAGCTCTCAAATTCTATAAAGTATTCTATTGATATTTTTGTTGCAACCCCATAATTTAATGCAGAATAGACTGAGGCCCTTAGAAAGTTCACTTTCCTGAGGTTTCTACTCCATTATAATGCAGGGGCCCTCATCCCTACCCTCAGCTCTGGGAAAAGGCAAAAAAAAAAATCATTAATCAAAAATTTGGGGTGAGGTGGGGCAGAAATAGAAGCTGCTATGAGGCACATATTTCTGCATTATGTTAGGGAGTTCAAAGATTGGGCAAGGGGTGTCTAAAAGGCAAGGAAGCTGGAATGAAAAAGGCACCAGGAGGCTTCTCCTAAGGAAGGCTGTGCTGGGGAAGCCCAAGTGGAAGGCACTGGCGGGGGTCAGGTGGGCAGGGTGGTGAGTGGTTAACGTGCAGCTCATTAGCCAGATTGCCGTGGCTGAAGCTGGAGCCAGGAGAAGCAGATGTTCCCAGCTGTGCCTTGCCTCTCCCAGTTCCAGCAGTGACAGATGGGCGAGAGCCAGCTGTCCAGGATCAGCAGTAAGGATCCTTTTGCTTATCACTCAGGCGCTGCTGGCTGCCACATGGGTGCATTCTGGACCTGAATGCCTGCGTGTGCATGTGTGCGTGTGTGTGTGTGTGTGTGTGTGTGTTTTGAAAAGATGGGGAGAAGGAGGGGGACAAGGTAGATAGTGGGAGTGTATGACTGCTGGCTGTCTCCTTGCCCTCCTAGCATGCAGGACTGTTTTGCCTGTGCTGAGAAAGTGGCCTTGCTGCCATTCCAGTCAAATTAGGGAAGAGTTATTTGGGTGGAGGTGTCAAGGGCCCAAGGAAGGCCCATGGGAGCCAGAAGTCTGACCTGCAGCTATCACTGTGGGTGATTAGCTGATTTATGAGATAAGTCAACTATTAGGGCTGGATCTTCCAAACGGCCCCTCCTGGAGGATCCACTATGGTTTAGTCTATTAGCTCTAATTACAGGCTACTCTGTAGGAGAACAGAGAACGGAGCCAGGACTGTAGGACCCAGAGGGAAAGAAAGCAAGTAACCCTGACCCCAGAAACAGGGGCTGGATTGAAGTCTCAAGTACTGGGGTAAGGAAGGAAACCCTGAGAGAAGGGGTTCCAGAGCCAGAGTTGTAGATGCTCCAGTAACTTAGGCAGCCCCCTAAGTGGTTCTGTGACCAGCTGTGCTGCTGGCAGAAAGGGTGCTGTGAATTGTAAAATATATATTTGGTCTTTGTCCACATTTCCTGGCAAACAACCCCTAAAGCCCTCAAAATCCCTGAAGTGACAAATGTCTTTTTATATGCTAGTGAGCTGACTGCCGGGGATGGGAACTAGACTGGGGTGGGGGAGGCCTGGGTGGCAGAAGGCAACCTTGTGATTGGAGTTGGGACTTTCGGCCCCACCCCCAACTTCCAGGGAAGGTAGAGAGGTTGAAGGTTGAGCTGATAACCAGTGGGCAATGATCTAATTAATCACGCCTATGTAATGAAGTCTCCATAAAAGCCCAGAAGGATGGGGTTGGGAGGGCTTCTGGATGGCCATACATGATTAGGTCCCTGCAGGGTGGCTCGCCTCCTTCACATATACCTTGCCCCATGCAGCTATTCCATCTGGTGTTCATGGTACCATTTGTAATAACCGTTATAGTAAGCCAGTAAATCCAAGTCAATGTTTCCCTGAGTTCTGTGAGCCATCCTAGCAAACTAATTGAACCCGAGGAGGAGGGTCAGGTAAACCTGATTACAGCCGATGGAACAGAAGTATAGGTGACAACATGTTACTTGTGATTGTTGTCTAGAGGAGGGCAGTCTTGTGGGGCTGAGCCCTCAACCTGAGGCTATCTCCAGGTAGATAGTGTAAGAACTGAATAAGATTAGAGGACACTCAGCTACTGTCCACTGAAGAATCTGCCAGAGAGAACTGACTGCAGGCGGGAGGAATCCCTACACGCATTTTGGTGACCACAGGTCACCGAAGTGATTTGTGTTGAGAGTGCAGTAGGAAAAAACTGAGTTTGGTTTTTTGTACATCATAAGAGCTGCTCTCTGCATTTGAGTCTGAATATGCTCTCTCAGACCCACCTCACAACCTGTTCACTGAGTCTTAGGAACATCCAAGGAAGGAAGGGAACTGGAACAAGCTCTGACACTTTCAAACAGCTGGAATGCATGGTGTGCACGCAGTCAGCCTGAGGAGGTGTGGAGGATGAGCTAAGGGCTCAGAAACCTTTAGGGGAGCAGCTTTTAACTTCGGAGGAGTCAAAGACCCTTTGAAGAATTTGATGAAAGCTTTGGCTGGTCTCTCCAGAAAAAAAAATGCCCGCTTACATATACAGAATTTAGAGTACACTTTCATGGGGTTTCCCCACCCCCTGAAACCTATCAATGCAACTTCATTGGGATGAATGGATCTCAGATTGAGGATGCTTTTCTGCCTTTTCTATCCCTCCCCAAGCAAAGCACTGGTCTCAGCCTTCAACCATCCCCAGCATGGTGCATTCTCTCCCCGGGTATGTGAGCTCCTCTCCCCCTCACAAGTATCAGCTTGTATTCACAATATTCCCAAGTATTCACTGGAGGAGCCAGGCCATTCAAGCGTTCATCTTGAGGTGAAGTCTGACCCCCCCACCCCTTGTCCCATTGAGGAGGCTCTGACTCAGCCTCCTCTCCCCCTCCCTGAGGAGACACTTCCAGTTTTTCCTGCTCTTTTCTCTGTTCCTCCACCCACCTCTCCACCCCATTTCCCACTGGCCTTCAGGAGTTTTCCAAGATCCTTCCCTCTTCCGACACTTACCCCATCTTTTGGGGGATCCAGCAGCCAGCCCAGCTCTCCCTGTGCCTTGCTTGTGTCCATCAGAGTAACTGAAAGTGGGGAGAAAAGAAGTCTGTCACCTCTGGGGGAGGAGGTGCCCCTGCAGCCCACATTAATCATTCTGGGGCCTCAGCCCCAGGCTGCAACATCCTGTTCCTAAAAGCTGTGACTTCCTGAGGCTTAGGGGAGAAAAAGGGCTCAGGACTGAGGAGTGAAGAGCTCCAGGGATTTCACTCTTCTTTGTGTGTGTGAAGGAAGGCAGGTAGAGTGGGACAAGGGTTGGGGCGCTGGGTCTTTGACCAAAGTCAATGCAAGAAGAGCAGCCCCACGAGACGCTCAGTTACCCAGGCTGCTGCGTCCTGGGACACCCATCAGCTGCAGGATTGGAACGCGTGGAGGGCAGGAGGAGCTCACCTCTGCTAGCCAGGAGTGGGCAGGGTGGACCGGGGACCTCAGAAGGGGTTTCCTGGGTAGGGAGGCTCACCTCCACTGTCCGAAGCCTGCTTTGGCCTGACCTGGCCAGTGATCAGAGCCGTGAAGTGGGGATAAGAGGCACAGCTACCTGCCTGGGAAGTGGGGGGGAGTAAGGCCGGAGAGGGTGTTCCAACTTTCACATGGAATATTCGACTCGGACAACTGGGAACCCCTGTGGCGTCAGTCCTAACCCTTCTCCCGGAGGCAGCTCCCTCTGTCCCTGGCCTAGGTTGGCAGGAGGCGACTTCCCACCTTCAACTTCCAAGGGCTCAGATCTCTGGGGTGGGCACCTGAAGCTGGGACTGTCTGGGAATGCAGGCAGGGGTGCGGGTGCAGGTGCTACTTCCTGGCAAGGGTCCGGAATTCCCTCCCCACTCCCAGGAGCAGATTGCTGGCCTGCGGGAGTGGGGGTGACTGACCCGGGAGAGCAGCCGCTTGGGGTTAAAGACCAAAGATGGGCCTGGCCAGTCGATAGCCTGGCGGTCGGGCACAGCGAGAGAGCTGGCGAGGGTCTCGGGGAACATGGCCCCTAGGAATGCCGGCTTCTGCAGGGGGGTGCTGGCCGGGCCCCGGGAAGGGGCGGGGCGCGGGGGTTGGGGGCGCGGGGGCGGGGGTCGGTACCTTCCTTGGCGCGCGCCCCCGGGGGCAGCGGGGCGCAGAGCAGCAGCACCAGCCCTAGCCCCAGGGGCCAGCGCCGCTCCATAGCTCCGGGCCGGGACCTGGGACAGTGGCCCGGATGGCAGCGCCAGGTTGCAAGGGACTAGGAGAGCCGGGCGGGCCGGGCGGGGGCGGGGGGCGGGGCCAGCGCCGGGGGCGGAGTCCCGGCCTCACCTGGTTCACCTCCTTAAAGGGACAGTAGGGCAGGAAAGAAACTTGCTAGACTGGTAATCAAATTCAAGAACCGGAGGCGTCTTGACCCGAATGAGACTGCGGGCGCCGCCTAGTAGGTGGGATTAAGAATTGACGAACCTTTTCCCAATTCTAATCCTAAACTCAACCCAATCTTGATCCAGCTTTTAACCTAATTCTACCTCTGACTTGAATTACACTCCTATATTCCTCTTTCTGTCTTTGTGCAGGCCCCAGAGCTGGGTAATAGGGCCGGGGAAGGCAAGGGGTAAGAGTCATATCTTCACCCTCTAGCAGGGGAGGCTTAGATGACCACAATGCAAGGTGGGGTACAACCTGCAGTGAAGCATCTGGAGATTAGAAGAGGAAGCAAGCCCAGTCATCGGGGCACATTAGTTGAGTCTTCAGGGAGAGCTGGTGTGACCTGGGTTTTCAGTGGCAGAGATTGGGAAAGGCACCAGCAAGGGCCTGAAGGCAGGGAGCCTCAAGGTGCGCCCAGGGAGTGGTGAATGGACCAGTTTGACTGCTGGGGCGCAGGATTTGTCTTGGGAATCAGGGCAGAAAGGCAGGTGTGGGCCAGGGCTGGGTAAACAAGAAAAGGAGTTTGAACCTTGACATGCACTTACACAGCAGACATGAATATCTGGTTAAGGTTCCAGCCACAGGTGGCAGGGAAGGATATTTTAACCCATCTTAGTGGTGTCAAACCACGTGCCCTCTCACTTTCTTGCGGACTTCCTTATATTCTTTTTCTTTTTTGAGATGGAGTCTCGCTCTGTGGCCCAGGCTGCAGTGCAGTGGTGCAATCTTGGCTCACTGCAACCTCCGCCTCCCTGGTTCAAACGATCCTCCTGCCTCAGCCTCCCGAGTAACTGGGATCACAAGCGTCAAGCGTGCACCACCACACCCAGCTAATTTTTCTATTTTTAGTAGAGACGGGGTTTCACCATGTTGGCCAGCCTGGTGTCGAACTCCTGACCTTAGGTGATCCCTCCTGATCTCAAGTGATCTCCCTGCCTCTGCCTCCCAAAGTCCTGGAATTACAGGCCTGAGTTACTGCGCTCTGCCGAGACTTTCTTATATTCTATTTAGTAAATGTTTGTTCAGTTTCTGCTATGCATGCAGGAAGCTCTAGAAGCACCTAAGAACAGAAGGACAATGTCTTGCCCTATATAAGCTATTAATTTGGGGATGCTGGGGGTTGAGACATAAATAATTGCACAAATGATTGAAATGGCGGGCAGGAGTGGACCCCAGGCAAGGTACACACAGGGATCACAGTAGCTCAAAGGGGAGTGATGCATTTACTAAAGAGGCTGGGGGTCCACTCCTGGCCCCTCCTTCTTTCGCTCCATCCCATCTGGGTAAATTGTTCATAATTTTTCTATCATTTACATTGTTGCACATTTCGGTACTGTGAATGAAGGGAGGTGGTGGATTATAGGTGCTTTTTCTCATTTTCAAAATGTAATGCTTCTCAGGTTTTTTGTTTTTTTTTTTTGCTTTCTTATGCAGATACGTATATGACAAACACGGCCCATCAGTTCTTGGCTCAGACTATCCTTATTTGCATAAATAAATGTAATTCATGTACATTGGTTAGGAAATTCATGTTGAACATACAGAAACAAAATGGGAAGTAGAACCCTCTGCCCTCCAACACTCTAATTTCTGTTCCCCAAGTTAACCACCATCAACTGTTTCTTGTAAGTCCTCCCAGGATTGCTTCCTCGCTGTGTACACACCATCGTGTATTTTTCCCTCCCTCTCTCCCTCTACTCCCACACTTACATGCTTTTAAAATGTGTATACAGAGGGGCCATCTGACACACATTGCTCTGCACCAGAGGCCTCTTTTCTAATGTTAAAGACTCCAGGAAGGAGGAGGAGGCTCACGCTGGCTGGCGGGGGTCAGAGCTTTGTGATTTCAGCAGGGAGGAATGGGCGAAGGGTACAAAGCCAACAGAAGGGGGGAAATGGAGCAAGCGTTGGACAATTGCTGCTAGGACATAAGCCAGACTGTGGTGAGGTAATGCATGTGCTTGCTGCTGCAGTTTGTTAAAGTTACAAGACCCTTGGGACTCCAGAGGGTGGGGGGTGGGGGGTGGGTGTGTGGAGTGGGGGAGACTGCTCCATGCAGTGAGACATGGAGTCTAGAACCCTGGAAAAAAAAGTCTTGCTTTTTGTTTTAGGATAGGCTCTTTATCCTGGTCTGAAAGTCTCTGCATATGGGGAATGAATGTCCACTTTCTGTCTCCTTTCAGGATTATCTTGATTTGACATTTTCTGGTTAGTTTGTCATGAGAGGAGGCACATCTTCAAGTTTAGTCTCTGTTCTTAACTAGCAGTACAACTTTTGTCAAATTATTTATGTTCTCTGGACCATGGTTTCAGTTTCCCTAGACCTAGATGATTTCTGAGGCTATATTCAGGGATGGTCTCAGAAAATAAAAAGCTAGCAGGATTTTGAGTCAGGAGACTTTGGCCAGTTCCCTTAGCCATAATGTGCCTCAGTTTCCTTAGCTATAAAATGAGATTAATCACGTCCACCCCACAGAGTCAGTGTAATGATCAAAAGAGGAGAAAGTGCTTTATGAACTGTAAGGTACTGAGCAAATGTTAATTGGCTAGGAGAATGGTGGAGGCTAGGAATTGCTGGAGTTCTCCTGCAGGCCTCCCAGCTTGCTCCCAGAGCAGAACAACCTCAATTACTAAGACATCATTATTTTTCCATTCCAAAATCAACTTTACTGAGGGACAACTTGCATAAAATAAGTTGCAGCCATTCCAAGTGTACGGTTCAATGGGCTCTCACAAATGTATATGCACCACCACCTCAGTCAAGATGCAGAGCAGTTTCAGCATCTAAAAACATTCACTGGTGCTCCTGTGAATCAATCCCACCTCCAGCCTTAGGGTTTCTGTCCATTTGGGTGAGTTTTATCCTTTCCAGAATTTTATGCCGTCTCTGGACTCTGGGTCTTTCTCTTTAGTATGATGCTCCCAAGATCCATCCTTCTAAGACTCATCCTTCTAAGATCCATCTTTCTTGTTGCCTCCATCAACAGTTTCTCTTTTTCGATGCTGGGCAGTATTCCCTATAGAGATGCCCTAAGACATCATTTAAAATTACAAAATCAAACCCCAAAACTCCTCCTTTTTTTTGGTCCCCTAGGAACCACAGGCCTCGTAGCAGACAGGGCCTCCCAGAGGGACACCTCTTTCCCCTTCTGGCGTCTGGCCCTGTTCTCATTCTGCAGTCAGAAAGGAAAGCCTGCAGAGTCCCTGCAGCCCAGGCTGTGGCTTGTTCTTACAAACTTGACGTTAACACTACCCTGTTCATATTATTCCCCTTCTACTCCCTACCCAGCTCCTTTCTGACTGAGGATAAGGTGAAATTACACCCAGCCTAGGTCATGGTCTTGTATATCCATAGGCTCTGGTCAAAATGCAACCAACATCACCAGCAGGGTAACCCAGGATGTTGCTAGCAACTACTATGAGAGAATTAGTACAAACTAATTTTTTGGACTAGTATTGTCAGAGGCATGTGAACCAGAGCAACTCCATCTTGAGTAGGGGCTGGGTGAAATGAGGCTGAGATCTACTGGGCTGCATTCCCAGACAGTTAAGGCATTCTAAGTCACAGGATGAGATAAGAGGTAGGCACAAGTTACAGGTCATAAAAACCTTGCTGATAAAACAGTTTGCGGTAAAGAAGCTGGCCAAAACCCACCAAAACCAAGATGGCCACTAGAGGGTCCTGGGGTCGTCTTCACTGCTACACTCCCCCCAGCACCGATGACAATTTACAAATGCCATGGCAACGTGAGGAAGTTACCCTATATGGTCTAAAAAGGAGAGACGTGAATAATCTACCCCTTGTTTGGCATATAATCAATAAATAACCATAAAAATGGGCAACCAGCAACCCTGAGGGCTGCTCTGTTTATGGAGCAGCCATTCTTTATTCCTTTATTTTCCTAATCAACTGGCTTTTACTTTACTCTATGGACTCACCCTGAATTCTTTCTTGCATGAGATCCAAGAACCCTCTCTTGGGATCTTGATCCAGACCCCTTTCCTGTAACAGTATCAAGTCCCCTAGCAAGGGCCCTCATGGATGGGACCCAAACGACTTTGGTTGGCTGTTGTGGGCCAGCCCAAACTTGCAGGCAGCAAAATCCAGGAGACCGTGTGGGCTGTGGGAGGGAGGAAATGGCACTTACCAGTACAGCCTTCTGGTGGATTCTGCACGTCTTTAATCATAAGCCTAGTTAGGTCCTTCCCTTTCCTTCTTGTCTGTGTTCTTACCTATCTGTTCTCTGATCCCCATTTACCACCAGGCAACAGGGGCGGGGATAATAATAGTTACCACTTATTACAGCACCTACGCAGGCTGCCGCACTTCACATACATCGTTTCATTGACTTCTCACACCAACCCTCGGAGGAAGGTATCATTAGTCTCATTTTATAGGTGGAAAAATCTGAGACACCGGGAATTAAAGTAGTTCAAAGTCACTCAACTGCAGAACCAGGATTTAAACCTAGTTCTGTCTGACTCCCAGTCCTGTGGCCTAACCTCTATTCAGGGTTTCAAGAAGCAGAGATGTTAGCAAACACCTCACTTTTGTTTTACTACCCCGCCCCCCACCTGAGAGTAATATCCTGACTTAAAACACCACGGAGTGGATTTGCCTGTTTTTAAACTTTATGAAACGGAATCATCTGATATGCATTCTTTGGTGTCCGAGTTCTTTCATTTACCGTTACGTTTGGAAGATGTATTCCTTGGTTGTGTGTGGATTCAGTCTCATTGCTGTATGGTATCCCACTGTATAAAGAACACCTTATTTTTAAAAACTTCTTGACCTGTGGTTAAACAGGTTTAGGTTCTACCTTTGAATTGCTACATTGAGCGACTTTCATGGTTTATCCGGCTTATCTGTGTCTCTGAGAGGTTTAATCTTTCCAAACAAAACGTACTTCCTTTTTTTTTTTTTTTTTTTTTTTTTTTTTTTTTTTTTCAGGTGGAGTCTCGCTCTGTCGCCCAGGCTGGAGTGCACTGGCGCAATCTCGGCTCACTGCAAGCTCCGCCTCCCGGGTTACGTCATTCTCCTGCCTCAGCCTCCCGAATAGCTGGGACTACAGGCGCCCACCACCACGCCCGGCTAATTTTTTGTATTTTTAGTAGAGACGGGGTTTCACCGTGTTAGCCAGGATGGTCTCCATCTCCTGACCTCGTGATCTGCCCGCCTCGGCCTCCCAAAGTGCTGGGATTACAGGCATGAGCCACTGCGCCCGGCCGTACTTCCTTTTTTAAACTAGACTTTTGCTAACCCAAATGATTCTTTTTTTTTCTTTTTTGAGATGGAGTCTCACTCTGTTGCCCAGGCTGAAGTGCAGTGGAATGATCTCGGCTCACTGCAACCTCTGCCTCCCAGGTTCAAGCGATTCTCCTGCTTCAGCCTCCTGAGTAGCTGGGATTACAGGTACCTGCCACCATGCCCGGCTAATTTTTGTATTTTTAGTAGAGACGGGGTTTCACCATGTTGGCCAGGCTGGTCTCAAACTCCTGATCTCAAGTAATCTGCCCGTCTTGGCCTCCCAAAGTGCTGAAATTACAGGAGTGAGCCATGACACCCAGCCTCCTAACAACTTTTTAATTGATTAAAAGTATGCAGAGGCGGTCTGTAAGCAGTGCCACAGGTCCCAATTATACACCCTCCCCCTTAAACCCTGCATGTCCTCCCTTCTTCCAGTCAGTTTGCTAAGAGGAAGACACCCGATACTGTTTAGGAATCTGTCTTCTTGCTAGAAATAGAACTGTTTTGAGATAGAGGCGGTTGGAAGTTTTCTCTGAAGTGTCAAAAGCAAAGTTATATTTTAGAAGATTTTAATATTGTCACTTCATAGCCAAGTGATCTTGGGCAAATCACCTAGCTGTTTTGAGACTCCGCTTCCTCATCTGCAAAATGGGGGAAATGATGATAATGTTGTTGGTCATAGTATATGAGAAAAGTACAAATATGAGAAAGTGTACAAGCAAAAGCTTCTGGTGGCACCATGCAATTTAAGGATACATGTTTTTTATTTTTGTGTCCTCCTGTACAGGTTTATTTGCAAGATGGGTTTGAGGGAATTAAGGATAAAGTCTGCTGAAAGTAGCACCAGCCTCTGGATTAAAAGGGATGTTTGGATGAAGCTTCAATCTCAAGAAGAGGCAAGAGAAAACTAAAGAAAAAGGTAAGAGAGCCGGGTGTGGTGGCGGGCGCCTATAATCCCAGCTACTCAGGAGGCTGAGGCAGGAGAATTGCTTGAACCCAGGAGGCGGAGGTTGCAGTGAGCTGAGATTGTGCCACTGCACTCCAGCCTGGGCAACGAGCAAAACTCCATCTCAAAAAAAAAAAAAAAAGATGCTAAGAGAGATCACTTTCGACCCATTTACATTATGATGCAATATGAAAATAAAATAAATACCACTCTAACATTTTCAGGACATATGGCAATTCTCCCTGTGCTGATTTTTTTTAAATGTATCTCTGCAGTATTAACATCCTCTAAATCATTCTCTTTGTTTTAGAGACAAGAAGGTAGTTGACAAGCTGTGAACCTGCATTGCATTCTAGTGATGGGACACGTGGAAGGGGAAGCTGAAGTTGAAGGGTGGATGGTAGCAGCCACAGGGAGTGAGATGGGCTCGTTTCTGGAGCTGTTGGGAGAGAAAAAGGGAGTCAAACGGGAATTCACACAGGGTTGTGCATTATATCCAAGTGTGTATTCAGATACAAGCCTTTATCTCAATACCTTCCTTACCCCCATTCCGCACATATCTCATACCAAAGTACAAATAAAACCATTCCCAATTGTTCTAATATTTCATTTGATTTCTTGAGTCATGAAATGAAAATGTGGAGGGGTTAGTCATGTGAAGTGGCTGTGACTCAAATATCTTACGATGATATTTGTGCGCGTCTCATGAGAAATCATTGTGTTTCCACCTGAACTTGTTTGCTTGACTGCCTGAGAAGATAGTGTTGCTAACCTGAGAAGTTAATACGCTGCCTTAATGCTTGGGCTGGTAGAAGTGAGGGAGGGAAAGGAAGAGAACAAATGTGTCTCAGTGAACTGGGGCATGACAGAAATTTAATAAGAACAGGTTGAGACAAGTGTTAAATACTGGAATCCCCCGGGAGCACAGCGATAGCTTGGTCCTTGTCAAAAAGTGTACTGGTTGGAGCTCAGGAGGGAAAGAGAAAGTGATAAATCAGCCATGTCTTGAAGTCCATTTTAATTTAGCTAGCCTGCGAGAAGAGAGGGCTGAAATAAACTATCAGCTCTGTCTTCTGCATTAAGCAAGCATAATTTATTTGAAAAACATTCAGTTTTATTTCTAGCTAGGCTAGGAGTTCTTGTAACTTCTACAGAGGGTTGGGAAGAAGATCGGCATAACCCATGCTTACTATTTGAAGTTACTGGTTCTGTTGTCAGGAGGTAATATTATATTGTTGTCTTGTAAAAGAAGTATTTGATAAGTATGGGACCTCTTAATTGGGCACAGATTGGATTTCTTTTACATTTTGCTTTGAAGAAGTTATTTATAAAGGGATCGTAATAGGGTAATTTATATCTTTTTCTAACAAGTTCTAGTTTGAAAGTATTATAAATCTACTTACCCAGACACAGACACATTTGAACATATAGATAACAACCACCTCTGTTAAGAAATTAATGTACACATTTCCAAATCTATCCCTGAGTTTAGGCGATCCAGGCCATGGGTCATAAACTATGAGAGCCACCTAGTGGGAAAATTTGGTAATTGCACCTATATCTTCAAATTCTGGGTGTGAGAGCCACAGATAATTTCTGTTTATAAAATCTTAGAATACCATGGGAATATTTATCAACATGATATGAAAGTGACAGCGATTTTTATATATTCCTACTATTATAAAGATGGTAGGCCCTTAGGCTAGGAAGTAGCTTTCTTAACTTGACCTAGTCATCACAGTAATGATAGACTTTTGACCAGGTGAGGAAGGGAGGGTGGGGTGTGCCACCATGTTGCCTCACTTTTGGGCTTTCTGCTTTGGATACATATGAAAAAACCAGAAACCAAGTCACCTAGGAGGCGCTGGCTGGGAAAAAAATGGTGCCCACTGTTTGTAGTGTGTCTGTTAGGTTGTAAGCTAGAGAGAGATGCTTACACTCTAACTTTTTTTTTTCTGAAGAGATGAGCTCTCACTATGTTGGCAGACTGGTCTTGAACTCCTGGCTTTAAGCAATCCTTTTTTTTTTTTTTTTTTGAGACGGAGTTTCACTCTTGTTGCCCAGGCTGAAGTGCAATGGCACCGTCTCGGCTCACCGAAACCTCCGCCTCCCAGGTTCAAGCAATTCTCCTGCCTCAGCCTCCCAAGTAGCTGGGATTACAGGCATGTGCCACCATGCCTGGCTACCTTTTTGTATTTTTAGTAGAGACAGGGTTTCTCTATGTTGGTCAGGCTGGTCTGGTCAGGCTGGTCTATGAACTGCCGACCTCAGGTGATCCGCCCGCCTCGGCCTCCCAAAGTGCTGGGATTACAGGTGTGAGCCACCGCACCTGGCTCTGATTAAGTCTTCTTACACTGAAGCTGCTGTGTTGTCTGAACAGAGCCTCAATTAAGAAGTGACTGAAGCTTTTCCCCTCCCTCCCTCTCTTCCTTTCTTCCTTCCTTTCTTCTTTGTTTCAACAGTTCTGGGGAAGTACTAAATATTAGACCAAAATTAAAACCTGATACCCACCGTACTGAGTGTTTGCTTAGAAAGTTCTTGTTTGTTTTTGAGAAGCACTAGGAGTTAATGGAATGGGTATTTAGTGGCCTTTGGATTCTGTAGACTCCTAGCTCTCTGCCTCCTATGTGTAAGGCCTTGGACATTTCTCTTAACCTCTCTGAGACTGAGCTTCTTCACATGCAAATGGACTCATTTACCTTCCAGGAGCACCTCTGTGGGAGGGGGATGCACCATGTGAAAGAGGTAAGCCCTAAGGTGGAGGCAGAAGCAAGTGGCCAAGGGAATACAGGAGGCTAATTTTGACAGGAACTGTATGGGAAAAGGTGGCCTTTGTGTTGAGCCTAGTAGAATGACTTCAATAGGCAGTTTTTATTCATTCATTCAACAAAAATTTATTGAGATCTTATTATGAGTCAGGCACTGTTCTAAGTGCTGGGGATATACCAGCAAACAACAAAATAGAAAAAAAAAAAAAAAACCCAAACCCCACCCTCCCTGAGTGTACATTCTAGGGGGAGGAGCCAGACAGTACATAAAAAAATAACAAAATGCATTCTTCAGATGGTGAGACACACTGGGAGAAAAATTAAAACAGGGTTAGGGGAATAGGAATCACATAAGGAGGGCTCTATTATACAGATATGGTAACTTTTGAGCAAAGAATTGAAGGAGGAAAAGAATGCGCTACAAAAGTCATCAGAGGGAAGAGCAATCCAGACCAAGGAAACAGCCCTAAAGTCCAGGGCAGGCATGCATGGGGTTCATGGAAGGACAGGGAGGCCAGAGCTTTAGGAGGGAGATGGTCATAGGGGTTGGATGGGGAGCAGCACACCTAAGGCCTCCCAGGCTATTTCACAGATTTTTGCTTTGACTTTGAGTGAGATGGAAGCCATTAGAGGGAGTCCAGTGAAAGGAGATGCATATTCTCTGACTTACCTTTGAAGAGATCAACCTGCCCAGCGTGCAGAACACAGATGGGGCAAGGCAGGGGAGGGCTGAGGGCAGAAGCATGGGTAGGTTAGGAGGCTGTTGTCTTGGTCTAAATAAGAGATGAGAGGGCTTGAAGCGGGGTTTCCAGGACTGTGCAGGGGCTGGGGAGAGTCAGCTGTGTGACAAATGTTTCAGGCCCACACAAGCATCAGCAGCTCGATGCCTGTACGAAATGGGAAAATGGCTTTTGTCCAAGGAATGGCGTGCAGGGTGGTGTGACTGGCTGAGTTGGGCTAAAGAGGGGGAACTGGGAGATGGGCTAAGGCTGGAGTCAGCCTCGGTGACCAACTACACTGAACTTTCTTTCTTTCTTTTTTTTTTTTTTTGAACTTTCTTCCCTATCTAACCTGGAACCAGTAAAATTTTGAATATGGGAGACACGTGCTCAGAGGAGCATTTTGGGCTCTGGTGGCTGAATGGGGGAAGAGCTGGAAGAGGCAGCGACTGGAATCAGAGAGATAATGATCCAGGGAAGAAACAGTAAGAGCTCAAACTTGGGCAATGAGTGGATAGAGGGAGGCGATGAGTGACATTTCACTTGTAGTATGACAGGGTATGTTGGCTGCTTAGATATAGAGGTGAGGGAAATTAACCAATAACCATATTCAGATTGGTAGTTATATTTTTGGTTCAAAAAAACCTTACCTCAGTGTGAAAGTAGGGGTGCTGGAAATAAATTTCTGACCTCTGGGAAAATGCTTTAGAGACAATGGTGACGAATTAGGATTTTGTTTGGCCGATGGGAGACTTTGAGTGATGGGGTTGGCAATGGAGACTGACAGGCAGGGAACCAGAAAAGCCTGGATGAGGATTGTTGAGAAAAGGTCAGGAAGCAGGCAGAGTCATTCAGATGCTCGGGAGGACAGCATTGGTTAAAAACGGCCAAGATACGGAAGGGGCATTTATGAAGATTTGCAGTGGGCTGTGGGATGGAATGCATCCTCCATCTCTGTCCCCCAGCAATGCCTTCTGTAAAAACGATATCATCATGTGGTGCTTTTGGATTTAGAGTCTTGATTTTCTTGGAAGGATGGGATACCAAAGACTAAGGACAGTTACCCATGACTAAGGCAGTCTTTTTGTTTTCCTCTGCTGCTTGTCACCTGGTAGAACAAAATGAATGAAAATTTTAGTTAAGTCCTGATATTTTTCTTTCCTTTCCTCTGTTTGATATGTTCTCTTCCTGCTGTCTGCTCTTCTAAATCCTCCTATTTTGCTCTATGTTTCTGCTCTGTGACATGAATTTCACTTTGTATCTCCTAATAGTCTAGCGGGATTAAAAATAAAAGTCACTTTCTGATGGTGCCTTTGCTCTCCAGTTCTCTCCAGCAGCACCGACACCTTCCGCCGTCCTCCCTGAAGGTCTGGCCTTCTGCCAAAAGGTTGTATTTGTTCAGAAGGTGCTCTGAAGTTCACTCAGTTCTTTACTCAGTTATTTACTGGTCTTTTATTTCCTCATGAGGATTTGTTCTGTTTTTCTTCATCACTCTTCTTTCAGCTTGAAATGCATCCCTCACTGCCTTTTTGCAACTTTCAGAACTAAAATACATAAATAAAACAAACAATAGGATAATAGAAAGATAGCCCCTTATTATCGTAATGTTACCTTTATCACCAAGTCTTTATGAAGCACCTAATTGTAAGTGGCTGGTGAGGACAGCAATGGACAAACATAACTACTTTAAGAAACTCTCATGGCACTTAAGGAGTTAAGAGTCTGTCACCAAGAACCATGGACACTCACATGCAATGGAAATGACAAAATGTCCCGATTTTCTTGGGTAAATCAAAGCCTTTTGGCTTTGATCCCTCAGCTTTTACTAGCCATGCAATCTTAGGCAATTCTGTTGATTTCGTTTGGCTTTGAGTGGGGATAATAAGATCTTATCTAAAGTCAAGGGCAGGACTACATAATCTCCCAAGTGCCCTTTAGCATTAAGATCTAAAATTTTGTGAATGCTATTGTATTAGTCTCTTTTCACGCTGCTGATAAAGACATACCCAAGACTGGGTAATTTACAAAAGAAAGAGGTTTATTGGACTTACAATTCCACGTGGCTGGGGAGGCCTCACAATCATGGCAGAAGGTGAAAGGCAAGAAGGAGCAGGTCACATCTTACATGGATGGCAGCAGGCACAGAGAGCTTGTGCAGGGAAACTCCCCCTTATAATACCATCAGATCTTGTGAGACTTATTTGCTATCATGAGAACACTATGGGAAAGACCTGCCCCCATGATTCAATTACCTCCCACTGGGTGTCTCCCACAACACGTGGAAATTCAAGATGAGATTTGGGTGGGGACACAGCCAAACCATATCAGCTATTTACTTGAAGTTCTCAGAAACAAAGTCACAATTGATCCAATATAATTTTTTTTTCTTTCTTTTTTTTTTGAGATGGAGTTTCACTCTTGTTGCCCAGGCTGGAGTGCAATGGCACAATCTTGGCTCACCACAACTTCTGCCTCCTGGGTTCAAGTGATTCTCCTGCCTCAGCCTCCTGAGTAGCTGGGATTACAGGCATGCACCACCACACCTGGCTAATTTTATATTTTTAGTAGAGACAGGGTTTCTCCATGTTGGTCAGGCTGGTCTCGAACTCCCGACCTCAGGTGATCCACCCGCTTTGGCCTCCCAAAGTGGTGGGATTACAGGCATGAGCCACTGAGCCTGGCCAGATCCAATATAATTTTAGAATTCTTACTCTGAAGAAGAGTTCAGAGATAAGAAGGCAATACTAAAATGAAGCCATATATAAGGCATAATACAGCCTTTAAGATGCACATTGCTGTGTGGAAAAGTTAGAACAGGGCCTTTATCTGCATGCCTCTCTAGGCGCCTCTGGGACAGAACATTGATAGCTGTTTTGCAGTTCTTATATGAACCAGCACCGTGTCAAGCCCTTCACATACATTGCCATTCAGTCTTATAAGAACTCATGTGGTTTGCTCATTTTGCTGATAAATAAACTGAAATCAAGGTTATTCAGCTAGGAATAGTCAAGGTGACCTTCAAACCCAGAAGTTCTGACACCAGAACTCACATTCAGTTGCTGCATTTAACTCTCATCACTCTGTGTAGACACAAGGAATCTTATTTATGCAAAGGCTTTGGTAGCAATGGCTAGGTTCTGAAGACTCTGGGGTTTAGATGGTGCACAAAGTAAAGAAGCATTAAAGAATGTTGCCTCATTGGATGCCTGGAAGGCAGGGAACTTGCATCCAGAGTTGGAGAGAATGCAGATGTGTGAACTAAAAATGGGACACAGGTCTTGCCATCCAGGAAGTTTTCTCAGGGTGTCTGCTTTCTGAGATACCCATTGAAAGTGTGTCATCTATGGGGAAAAAAAGATCTGTGTGATCCCTTAAAGACTTGACTACCTAAAGCTGATGGAAAGAGCACAGTTCTTAGAGGTAAGACCTCTCCTCTATGGCTGGGAGCTGCAGGAGGCTGGTGGCAGGTCATGGGCAGGCTGAGCAGCGGTGGAGATGGACAGCAACAGCAGGCAGCAGAGCTGCTGTGGGAGCAGAGTCCGGGACAGCTGTGCAGGGGCTGGATGCCCATGAGAGGGCTAGGTCTGGAGACCCACAGACCAAGCTGGCAGGGCGCACAGGGCCTAGTGCCATTGCAATGTGTCATTTGTCCCCCAGGCTGGGGGGACCTGGGGAAATGACTGTACAAATTCATCTTTTATGTATAAAACCTCTTCCTCCAAACTGGGCTTGAGAAATGTGCTGGTCTGTTGCTGTAGCTGCCTTACCAAAAGGTGAGTTCTAATTTTTCTGTTATACTTGATATTGACAATGAGCCCCATGAGCTTCTGTAAGGGGGTGTTTTTTGCTGACCATACCCGAGATGGCTATGATGTAGTCACATAGGATGAGGTGCCTCCTTCTTCCTCAGAGTGCATCAAGCCCTCCACCTTACAGTGATGACAGGAGACCCAGGAGTTCACTCTAACCCTCATCTGGTACTCCCACCCCCATCCTGTTATGTCTCTGGGTCTCCTAATGCTTATTAGAGTCTAGGTCTGGAAGAGGGTGGGAGCCCAGTTTGACGGCTGCAAAGTAATTGCCTTAAAACCCAAAAGCTGGGTGAAGCTTCATGCCTCCTTTACGGCTAATGATGACAATGCATGCTGCTCACTGGCCTGGCTAACCTCAGCACTGGACTACTCTCTTTCCCCAAGGTCATACTCAGTGGAGGGCGCCACGTGGACTAGGCTGGGTTTTAAGTCAAAGTGCAGTGTGCAGAAGGATGCAGGGGTCTGATATGGCTGCCCAGGGTTGTGGGGCATCAGGGTGCTGTGGGCTGGGCTCAGCTCAGAGAGGCTCAAGAATGCCAAACTCCGTGAGCTCCCTCCAGTAACCAGGAGATGCTGAGACCAGCATCTCCTGGTGGACACTATGCCAAGAGCCTGTTTCTATAGAAAGCTACTCTGCAGTGGAAGTGTTTCCGTCACCCAGGAATACTGGGTGACAACCACGAAAGCTTGTGTGTCCAGAATTGTTGGGTTCTTGGTCTCCCTGACTTCAAGAATGAAGCTGCGGACCCTCACGGTGAGTGTTACAGCTCTTAAGGTAGCGCGTCTGGAGTTTGTTCCTTCTGATGTTCGGATGTGTTGAGAGTTTCTTCTTTCTGGTGGGTTCGTGGTCTCGCGGGTTTCAGGAGTGAAGCTGCAGACGTTCGCGGTGCGTGTTATAGCTCTTAAGGCAGCACGTCTGGAGTTGTTCGTTCTTCCCAGTGGGCTCGTGGTCTCGTTGGCTTCAGGAATGAAGCTGCAGACTTTCGCGGTGAGTGTTACAGCTCATAAAAGCAGTGTGGACCCAAAGAGTGAGCAGCAGCAAGATTTATTGCAAGAAGCGAAAGAACAAAGCTCCCACATTGTGAAAGGGGACCCCAGCGGGTTGCCACTGCTGGCTCCGGCAGCCTGCTTTTATTCTCTTATCTGGCCCCACCCACATTCTGCTGATTGGTAGAGCCAAGTGGTCTGTTTTGACAGGGTGCTGATTGGTGCGTTTACAATCCCTGAGCTAGATATAAAGGTTCTCCACGTCCCCATCAGATTAGTTAGATACAGAGTATCCACACAAAGGTTTTCCAAGGCCCCACCAAAGCGGCTAGATACAGAGTGTCGATTGGTGCATTCACAAACCTTGAGCTAAACACAGGGTGCTGATTGGTGTGTTTACAAACCTTGAGCTAGATACAGAGTGCTGATTGGTGTGTTTACAATCCTTGAGCTAGACACAAAGTTCTCCAAGGCCCCACCAGAGCAGCTAGATACAGAGTGTTGATTGGTGTATTTACAATCCCTGAGCTAGACATAAAGGTTCTCCAAGGCCCCACCAGAGCAGCTAGATACAGAGTGTTGATTGGTGCACTCACAAACCCTGAGCTAGACACAGGGTGCTGATTGGTGTGTTTGCAATCCCTAAGCTAGACATAAACGTTCTCCAAGGCCCCACCAGAGCAGCTAGATACAGAGTGTCCATTGGTGCACTCACAAACCCTGAGCTAGACACAGGGTGCTGATTGGTGTGTTTACAATCCCTGAGCTAGACATAAAGACTCTCCACGTCCCCACCAGACTCAGGAGCCCAGCTGGCTTCACCCAGTGGATCCCGCACCAGGGCTGTAGGTGGAGCTGCCTGCCAGTTCCGCGCCATGCGCTCGCACTCCTCAGCCCTTGGGCGGTCGATGGGACTGGGCACCCTGGAGCAGGGGGCGGCATTCGTCGGGGAGGCTTGGGCTGCACAGGAACCCACGGAGGCGGGGGAAGGCTCAGGCATGGTGGGCTGCAGTCCCGAGGCCTGCCCCGCGGGAAGGCAGCTAAGGCCCGGCGAGAAATCGAGCACAGCGCCGGTGGGCTGGCACTGCTGGGGGACCCCGTACACGCTCTGCAGCCGCTGGCGCGGGTGCTAAGCCCCTCACTGCCTGGGGCCGGCAGGGCCGGCCGGCCGCTCCGAGTGCGGGGCCCGCCAAGCCCACGCCCACCCGGAACTCCAGCTGGCCCGCAAGCGCTGCGCACAGCCCCGGTTCCCACTCGCGCCTCTCCCTCCACACCTCCCTGCAAGCTAAGGGAGCCGGCTCTGGCCTTGGCCAGCCCAGAAGGGGGCTCCCACAGTGCAGCGGCGGGCCGAAGGGCTCAAGTGCCACCAAAGTGGGAACCCAGGCAGAGGAGGCGCCGAAAGCAAGCGAGGGCTCTGAGGACTGCCAGCATGCTGTCACCTGTCACTTGGGCACAGCTTTTTTTCCTGGCAATTCTTTTCAACATTTCTGTTTTACCAGTATTTTTTTCAATTATGTAATGAATACCTGCATATGTTCTCTTTGTACACATTCCAGCATTACATATAAAGCAGAAATGCACCTTGACTACCATTCCTGATTCAGTCCCCTGGGTATCAGTTTATTTTTAAACTTTCAGACTTTCCCCCATGCTTTTTCTTTCTCTCTCTCTCTCTATAATTACACGTAGCATGTTTTTATATGTATAGATTTTTATATAGTTGATATCAGCTGTACACGCTATATACATTTTTCTGAAACAACTTTCTTCACTCAGCTGTCTTGGAGCTTTCTCCATATCTAGATTTAGCTAATCCTTGTAACTGTGGCGGGGTATTCCACAGTATAATATATCATATTTTATGTAATTAAACATAATGTGTCTGGGCTGGGTGTGGTGGCTCACACCTGTAATCCTAGCACTTTGGGAGGCGGAGGTGGGTGGATGGTTTGAGGTCAGGAGTTCGAGACCAGCCTGGCCAACATGGCGAAACCCGATCTCTACTAAAAATACAAAAAATAGCCGGGCATGGTGGTGGGCACCTGTAGTCCCAGCTACTCAGGAGGTGGAGGCTTGAGAATTGCTTGAACCTGGGAGGCAGAGGTTGCAGTGAGCCGAGACGGTGCCACTGCACTCTAGCCTGGGTGACAAAGCAAGACTCCATCTCAAAAAAAAAAAAAGATACTGTGTCTGGACCAATGCCTCCTTTTACAAAAATATTGGGGGAATGACCCCCATAATATGGTGAACTGAAATTCATAAACTATATTAATTTACCTAAAATGATTAAAAATCAATATGATGTCCTAATTGAATATAAGAATATAAAGGAAAGCAATTTATAATAAAAATAATTTGCATTTTGATATATAAATCATTCACATTTGATAGGTATGTGGTACACTGTAGTAGATAACATAATGACATAGACAGGTGCTTGCCCCTATATGGAGACACAAGGGAATGTGACAGATCCAAATCCAGACAGATTTAGGTGTGTTTTGTTACTGATTTAAATAATGTGTGTGATGTTGCCATCAACTTCATGATTTTTCTGAGATGATAAATAACTCATGGTAAAGATTCAAATTAAACAAAATTCCAGAGTCTTTCAATTTATTTGATGGTTTCATTTTTAGAAAAGTCACTGTATATTAAAAGTGTGCAAAAATTACTTTATATATAGTGTAGTTAAATTCTTGGCTCAGATGTTTTTCGCCCACATGAATGCCTGGCAGGACACCCAAAGTCCTTGCTGGATGGGGGAAAATTCTTCATTTTTTGGGGTCCATCCTGGCTGAAACCAATAAATGTCAATAGTAATCCCGAAGACGGTGACCACCAAAAACACTCACATAAATTTCCTAAGTACCTTTTAGAGGGGGGCACTATTCACATTAAGAACCAATGATTTAATGATAATGCTTATGCTTTCTCCCCCCTCTAGATGTTTTCACAAGGAGCACTTTTCTCTAAGCCTTTTTGTGCGCATGTTGCAACAATTCCTCAGGGAAGAATATTGTTTCAACTTAGGTGCTCTCACTAGGTGGGGGCATGAAGTGTGACTTCTCCAGAGGATGGCTGTTTCATTTTCTGTTTCTCTTCTCTATGTGACCTCCAGACCTGGGTTGGAGCAAATTCCAGTTCACTCAGAAAACCCAGAGCTATGACCTTTCTTTTATCTATGGGAATCCAGCCTTCCTTAGGGGAGGTAACCCTTACTGGGCCTTCTCAGAACAGTGTTTCACTCATGATTTCAAAGAGCTCACCCTACTCTTCCAAGAAGGCCCTCCTCAGCTAGTCTGACTTGTTTGTAAACTAAACACATTGTGAGGTTTAATCTCTGGTAAGACAGCCCTTTGGTGGGGATGCCACCACTTAGACAAAGATCAGATTCAGAATAAGAACAAAATAAGCAGAAGCTATTATTATTAGATTCATTGATTAGCAAGGTATCTTAATTTAAAATTGTCAGTAGCTTGAAGGCATTTCTTGAAGAGATGGTAAAGTTGGACTTCGTCCCAGAGAGACTGATGAAAAGGAAAGAGGTAAGTACTGAGAAAGAGAGAGAAAGTCAGAATCCTGGAATCTTAGGCTGGCAGGAACTTTGAAGATATCTAGTTTAAGGTCTTTGATGCCCATTGCAGGATTCAAAATATTAAGACGATGCTGTTATGAGATTTGAGATATGTTTGTTAGTAAGAAATAAAAATACCTCCTTCTTTATTTATTATTTTTATTTTTATTTGAGATGGAATCTTGCTCTGTCACTTAGGCTGGAGTGCAGTGGCGCGATCTCAGCTCATGCAACCTCTTCTTAAAGGGTTCAAGCGATTCTTCTCAGTCTCCCGAGTAGTTGGGACTCGAGGCATACACCGCCATGCCTGGCTAATTTTTTATTTTTATTTTTTTATTTTTAGTAAGGTCAGCGTTTTGCCACGTTGGCCAGGCTGGCCTCGAACTCCTCCTGACTTCAAGTTATCCCCCAGCCTTGGCCTCCCAAAGTGCTGGGATTACAGGCGTGAGCCACCGCGCCCGGGCCCTCTTTTTTTTTTTTATTATTTTTATTATTTATTTATTTATTTATTTATTTATTTATTTATTTATTTATTTATTTTTTGAGGCGGATTCTCACTCTGTTATCCAGGCTGGAGTGCAGTGGCGCAATCTCGGCTCGCTGGAACCTTCGCCTCCTGGGTTCAAGTGATTCTCCAGCCTCAGCCTCCCGAGTAGCTGGGATTACAAGCACATGCCACCACGCCTGGCTACCTTTTTCTTTTTTTTTTGAGACGAAGTCTCGCTCTCTCGCCCAGGCTGGAGTGCAGTGGCGCGACCTTGGCTCACTGCAAGCTCCGCCTGCCGGGTTCACGCCATTCTCCTACCTCAGCCTCCCGAGTAGCTGGGACTACAAGCGCCCGCCACCGCGCCCGGCTAATTTTTTGTATTTTTATTAGAGACGGGGTTTCACCGTGGTCTCGATCTCCTGACCTCGTGATCCGCCCGCCTCAGCCTCCCAAAGTGCTGGGATTACAGGCATGAGCCACCGCGCCCGGTTCCTGGCTACTTTTTGTATTTTTAGTAGAGATAGGGTTTCACCACGTTGGCCAGGTCTTGAACTCCTGACCTCAGGTGATCCACCCGCCTCGGCCTCCCAAAGGGCTGGGATTGCAGACATGAGCCACCGTGCCTGGCTACACACATATCTTTATATACCTTGCCTTATCAAATGTTCCTGACGTTGCCAAGTACTTCATATTACATTTGTACACATCAAATTTGAAAAAGAGGGAGCGATTTATCCTAGGTTACATATTGAGAAAGTGACAAAAGTATAACTGAAGCCCAATTCTTCTGAATCTAAATTATATGCACTTTGTAACAGACCAATGCTAAATTAATTTAAAATGGTAGAATGTCATGATAAATATTTTATTTTTATAACTTTCCTTGGAATGTCACCCTATTTTCTGATTCTTTTTACTTATTTATTTTATTTTATTTTTTATTTTTATTTTTTTTGAGACGGAATCTCACTCTGTCGCCCAGGGTGGAGTGCAGTGGCGCCATCTCAGCTCACTGCAAACTCTGCCTCCTGGGTTTGCGCCATTCTCCTGCCTCAGCCTCCCAAGTAGCTGGGACTACAGGCGCCCGCCACCGCACCCGGCTAATTTTTTGTATTTTCAGTAGAGACAAGGTTTCACCGTGGTAGCCAGGATGGTTTCAATCTCCTGACATCGTGATCCGCCCGCCTCGGCCTCCCAAAGTGCTGGGATTACAGGCGTGAGCCACCGCGCCCGGCCTCTGATTCTTTTTAATATTTGCCTGCATGGGCGTATTTACTCATTGTCACCTGGTGATATAAATATGAAATATTATGGGAAAAAGGAGAAACAGGGAAGGTGAGAAAACACTTGTTAGTTATTCAAAACAGCAATCTTGGTTTTGAAGTTTGAAGTTTAATCACTGAGAAATGGCACAGAAATAAAGCTGGTTTCTTTGGGTTCCATCAGGCAATGTGAAATATCGTGAAGCGAGGTGGTATCACGGAGTTCCATCCGGGGCAAATGTAGAATGGCAGCAGCTTCACTACATTTTTCTGAGAAAAACAGAGGCATAGACAGTGCATCTCATAAAAAAGAGCAAAACCTGGAGTGCTTACGACATCCTTAAACAGGATTACAGGAAAAAATGATGGATGTGAATGTGTTTAGCACAATGTCAGCTTCATATTAGATTTTTAATTAATGTTGGTTTAATTTGAGGTTGTATCTCTCTTCTGGAACTACTTAATATCTTGTGGTTTTTTTTTTTTTTTTTTTTTTCCTTCCTTCCTTCCTTCCTTCCTTCCTTCCTTCCTTCCTTCCTTCCTTCCTTCCTTCCCTCCCTCCCTCCCTCCCTCCCTCCCTCTTTCTTTTCTTTTCTTTTCCTTTTTTTTGGAGACAGAGCCTTGCTCTGTTGTTCAGGCTGGAGTGCAATGGTGCAATCTCTGCTCACTGCAACCTCCACCTCCTGAGTTCCAGCAATTCTCCTGCCTTAGCCTCCCAAGTAGCTGGGATTACAGGCGCCTGCCACCACACCCGGCTAATTTTTTTTGTATTTTTAGTAGAGACGGGGTTTCACCATGTTGGCCAGGGTGGTCTCGAACTCCTGACCTCAGGTGATCCACCCGCCTCACCTCCCAAACTTCTGGGATTACAGGCTTGAGTCACCGTGCTTGGCCTTGTGATTTTTTAAAATACATTTTTTTCTTACTTTTGTTCCCATTATCTGATGGAGGAAAAAAATGAACAAATCTATCAACCAACTTACCTGGGAGCCTGGTGCTCATTTCCTATTGGTTCCACATTCACTCCCTAGTCCTCCTGCAACCACTCTGAAATCCCTTCCTAGTTTTACCCAGCTGGAAATGCCACCACTTTAGCCATACTGAAGTTCTTCTACATTCTTCATTTCTGCATGTGCAGGCAAGTAAAATGATAGGGATTTCTGTGGGCGTTGTCAGGAGCTGAAAGATTGGGAATGCTTTTGAAAACTCCTTCTCCATTGAGTTTAAGAGGAAACGGGTGAGTTTTCCCATTATTTCGGTAGGATAGCAGATGCCTCTTCATTTACCCCTTTATTTTACCCTCCCATGCCCAGTTCTGTCCTACCACTAAGAGTGAGTACGTCGGTTGCCGCATTCTGGCCTTGTCCTAAGAAGTGTTTCACAATCTAACACCACCAATACTCCCCTCACCCCCGGTGCCTTAAGTAAGGAAGGACTGGGCTGCTGAGTGGCAGGTGGGGGCTGTCTGAGGATGGGAGGGGGAAATAAGATGGAACGGGGTGGACAGAAAAAAAATCAGGAGAAAAATTATTATTTGAGAAATGGAAATCTTGGATTAGGATTTTTTTTGCAAGATGATTAAGCCATTTTAGAAACATGACTCATATTGTCTTCTGCCCTTTCTTCCTCTAAGTAATTATGAAGAACACATACTTGGAAGATTTTAATAAAATTATGAGTAATATTAGATCACTTTAATTCCTGTTTACGGAGGACAGCAGTCAAGTACCTAACTGTGAGAGGAAAATGAATCTTTGCTTCTAGGAGGCACCATGATTTACGAAAACCAAAGAGGGCCAATTTGACTGTTTTTACTTGTACCCCTCTCCTTCTTGACTTTTCTCATTTTTTCTTAAGATTTTGTCAAAGTGATATATGCATCTAGACCAAAGAGCCAGGTATTTCTGCTTAAAGGGACATTTCTTTGTTTGTTTTTTTAAAAATAGAGGCTTTCGTTTCCATCCTCTTCCAATTCCTGTTTCCCAAGGCAACTACTTTCAACTCTTTTACCTGGTGTGTGTGTGTGTGTGTGTGTGTGTGTGTGTATGTGTGTGTGCATGTGCACGTGTATGTGCATGTGTGTGTGTGTGTGTGTGCTTTCCGCTATGGAATATGAACCTTTAGTTCTTCCTCACCCTCATTCCCCTGGCAAACACCTTCTGTCTCCCACTTTTCAATATAGTTTTATTGTAATGGTAAAATCAATATTTAGTGTTTAAAATATTATGCCAATGCAAATGCTATTCATGGTGAAACCATGTATTAAACTGCAATTAATTTTTCTTTCCTGTACACATTTTTGTTTCCATTGATTTAACAATTACCTTGTTTTGTTTGCTTTTTGTTCTCAATTCCATCATCAAGTATCCTCAAATTTTATTTGCCTGAGAAAATTTCTCCTGGGGCTTCATATCCTGCTCCAGTCTGGACTTATGCTCAGGCCTGATGTACCTCCCTCCATCCTGGGTCTGCCTTTACAGTCCTCCTGGTGGCCTCCTCCGCCTGTCTCTCACCTTTCACCTCATGTTGCCTGGACTCATGTCTTCCTTTATCATGCCTACTCTCCCGCTTTGGAGGGACACATTTTCCAGTATCCTCCAGAAAAAGAGAACATAAAAAATTAACTTTATTTGGAGACTTTGCTTGCCTGAAAAGCCTTTATTTTGTCCTTGTACTTGAGTATCCAGATAGAGAATTCCAAGGTAGAGATAATTTTCCTTCTGTATATTGAAGACATTGCTCTGTTGCCTTCTAGCTTCCAAAATTACTATGGAAAAGTCTAAAATAAAATTCCTAATATTATATTTTGAATTTAGTATTTTTCCTCTCCTTTTCCTCTCTAAAAGCTTGTAGGAACTTCTCTTTGTGCTCAGTTTTCTAAAAGTGTATGAAATGAGACAGATACTTGGTGAGTCTTTCTAATATGAAGAGTCGCGTCCTTTAGCTTTGGGAACTTTGCATCTATTTTGTTGATTTTTTTCCCACCATTTATGACATCTCTCTGTTTAGAACTCCTATTTCTTGGTTATTAGACATCCCAGATTGGCATTCTGTTTTGTTTTTAACCTATGGGTTTATTTGCTCTCTTTTCTGAGATATTTAATAAATTTTAGCTTTCAGCTCTTCTATTGACATTTAATCTCAGATATTGTCATTTTAATTCCAAGAACTTTCTTTTAAAAAATTTTGAGTATTTCTTTTAAACAGTAACCTGTTGTTTTGTATGTTATTATTATATTCTCATAACTCTGAGAATACTGATATCATTTTGGCAAAGCTTTCTTCTCCTTGCATTGTTTTCTTCCTCCAAATACCTGTTTTGTTTTGGTCTTATTTTCCATGCTAGGTGCCATTCTCAGATGTCCCAAGCTCCTCGTTGTCTGCTCCTGTGCAAAAGAGATGGAAAGGCTGATTGGAAACTCTGAACTCATGAATGGGACTTGTTAATTATGGGCTTCACTGTAAAGTGATTGGCTGGACTAATTATTTGAGGAATATCTGATATTGTCTTTATGTCTTCCTTTTAGAATGTTTGAGTTCTTGGAAAAGACGATACTCATCTGCCTGTAGGGTAAAAGCCTGGGTTCCGGAGTTCTAAAAACCATGTGAGAGGAGAGCATTTGCTCACCTAATGTCCCTGTCTCAGTATAGTACCCTTGTCTCAACTGTGCTATAGATACATCCAGCTCAGTGATCCCATTTTATCCTTTCCAGACAATACTAGGGTGAGAGAGTGGTGGTTGCCCAGGTATACAAAGTGATTTGGGAATCTGAATCTTAAACTGACTTTTAACTAGTTTTTCTCTAGAGGAACCTGGTATGGCAAATCTTGGGTAAAAGTCGGTTCATTCTTGACTTTTCCTTCTGCTTGGATAGAATTCTGTTTTCTTAGGGCTGTTGTATCTTTGATCACTCTTCTATCTATTTTATTTGGATTTATGCCTTAATTTCAATTTTTTTTTTTTTTTTTTTTTTTTTTTTTTTTTTTGAGATGGAGTCTCTCTGTAGGCCAGGCTGGAATGCAGTGGCGTGATCTCGGCTCACTGCAACCTCCACCTCCCGGGTTCCGGTTCAAGCAATTCTCCTGCCTCAGCCTCCCGAGTAGCTAGGATTACAGGCACATGCCATCATGCCCAGCTGATTTTTTTTTGTATTTTTAGTAGAGACGGGATTTCACTATGTTGGCCAGGCTGGTCTTGAACACCTGACCTTGTGATCTGCCCGCCTTGCCCTCCCAAAGTGTTGGGATTACAGGGGTGAGCCACTGCACTTGGCCTCAAAAATCTTTCACAGTTAATTTAGAAGAGTTTTGGGGAGCAAAGGAAAGAAGGTGGGTTGATGCAATCTGTCCTTACCCCTCTTGTTGACTTTGGATCTATCTATGGTAGCGGTTTAAAATTTGTTTCTTGCAATGGAGTTCTTTCTTTGAAATAGTATGTAGAAGCTCAGTATATAAAATACATATAAGCAGGACTGCTGTGTTTGAAAAGGAAATGAGGGTTTATGGTTCTACTTTCTCAGTTCTCCTCTTACCCTTTCCCTACCATGAGAACTCCCTGGAAAGCATAATTTGTAAACCACTGATTTAGAAATTATCGAACATAACTTATCCCTCCAGTAGATGTTAGACATTGAGTGAAGTTCATGGCATTATGGGAAGAACGTTTGATTTATTCCTTTAGAGATTAATTTTATTGCTTCTAAATGCTCGAATGGAGCAAGGCAAAGAGAAAGATTCATTCTAAAGATCTTTTAGTTGAAATAGAATTGGACTCAACTTCCTTGCAGGCTAACTTTATAATTACAAAAATAACTATCAAATGCTATTTTTTATTTGAGAGGAAAGTCTGTAGATTTACCTGAATATTAAACGATATTCAACTGTACATTCACATTTTGATAATGGAAGATGTTAGAAATTCCCAAATTTACTTTCAGAAAGCTAAAATTCTCTATTATGCCGGATTGCTATTACAGCCAATGTTTATTCTAAATTACTTACTTAAATATAAGAGTCAGAGGAAGTCTTCAGGGTGAGAAAAAATATTTAGGGCTTATCTTGCAGGGAAATCATTATTAAATTTGTGCATAGTTTAGCTTAACATTTATGTGCAGTCTAGCCATTAAAAACATTGTTATTTCCTTTTTCCTCCACCTTTCCCTGGAGTGGGCCATCAGTTACCCGATAAAGCCATGGAAATACGTGGAAGTATTTATGCAATGCACGTCACTCAAAGGTTCAGTTGGGAATGGGCACCAAGATTGAGAAACCTGTCAAATGAAATGTATTTTTGTATGTCTCTAAGATGAACCAAGAATTCATTCTCTAAGAATTCAAGAATGTATTCTTGAATGTGATAAGAAAAAGAAAATAAAAACAAAAAACAAACGAATCAACAGAAACCAAAAAGCACTTTACTGGTGTAGAGGACTAACGTGAGGGAAGTGCCAGTAGCTCTTTGCAGAATCTTCCATTTTAATCCAGTCTTCTGCTGTTACCTGTTTACCATTACTACCATTTCACAGAAGACTCAGACTTCATCCTAAAAAACTATCTCCAGTCATGCTGCAGAAAATAATTCGTTAGCTTCAGCTGCAGGAATGAGACACCTTTAAAAAAGAGAAATGTGACCCAAACTTTTGTGAGAAACACCTTGTATTTTGATTGCTATTTCACATTCGAAGGACTCTTGAAAAACAGAAAAAACCTAAAACATCATCTTGCTTATGGTATCTTTTGGTGGCAGACTATGAATGGGACATGGGACCCCCATAAGATATATCTAGTGAAGCACTGAGAGATGGATAAACAGGTGCCTGCGGGAAAGGTACTCTTTCAGCCTTCTTATAGAAGAGTATTGAAACAGGAGAAAATGTTTACTTTCTAGAGCTATCAACTGTAGAAAGGAAAAGTCCTGGGGAAGACTTGTTCTGGCAAAGTGCACGCTTTGGCACCTCTGCAGAGAACATGAAGTTTGCCCGCAAACATTAGATGTCTACTTGGTTACACGTGACCGCAACAGGGCGTGTGTACCATGGCCTCAGCTCGCTTCTTGATGACATCATGAATCTGGGCTCCGGCCAAAGGATTTTGAGACGAGCCAAAATGCTGTGGAGCATGCAGAAGCCACTCATTGCTGTTGTCTTCAAGAAGCCAGAGGAAGACATGCAAAGAATTAAAGAAAGACGCTGAAGCTGTGTTACAAAACAGTTGATCAGGTTGAATTATCCGCTCTCTAACAATCTTTTGAGAGTTCAATAAAAACTAGCAGCTCTTCAATTAGCCGGGCGTGGTGGCGGGCGCCTGTAGTCCCAGCTACTCCGGAGGCTGAGGCAGGAGAATGGCGTGAACCCGGGAGGTGGAGCTTGCAGTGAGCCAAGATCAAACCACTGCACTCCAGCCTGGGCGACAGAGCGAGACTCCGTCTCAAAACAAACAAACAAACAAACAAACAAGCAGCTCTTCAAGCAATTGCTATATTCGAGAGCTGAACCTCTTTTTCTTGAAGTCGCCACCACAAGTGTTTGTCCTTGTTTTTATTTCTCTTTAATCTTTCACACACAGGCCTCTCTCACCTGTAGAATCTTGAGTGAGACCATGGGAAGTAGGCAAGGCTATTTTCTGTGACTCATCTTGGTGGAGAGCCCTGACTCCAAGATCTGAGACATTTGCCAGGGGATTCCCTTCCCTGTTTTTCTATCCACACCTCTGCTTTCTTCTACCCTCCTTCTCTCTCTTCCCTCTTAACCCTTTTGTTTTTACTTTTTCCACATTCATAGGCATTCTTTCCTCAGTTGAACCTGTCCTCATGGCTCCCTGAGCCTGGGTTGGCTGATCTGAACCAGTGTCATTTTGTGTGGTTGGCGGTAAAGGCCAAATGTAAGATGTGTGAAATCACTTTAAAAATGACAAGGTGGGGCCCTATGCAGTGGCTCACACCTGTAATCCAAGCACTTTGGGAGGCCAAGGCGGGCAGATCACAAGGTCAAGAGATCAAGATCATCCTGGCCAACATGATGAAACCCCTTCTCTACTAAAAATCCAAAAATTAGCGGGGCATGGTGGCACATGCCTGTAGTCCCAGCTACTTGGGAGGCTGAGGCAGGAGAGTTGCTTGAACCCGGGAGGCAGAGGTTGCAGTGAGCCGAGATCACATCACCGCACTCCAGCCTGGCGACAGAGTGAGACTGTCAAAAAAAAAAAAAAAAAAAAAGACAAGGTGTTTCAGCAGGGTGGTTTTTACTATTATATATTCAG
Source organism: Homo sapiens (assembly GCF_000001405.40). Classification (NCBI taxonomy): domain Eukaryota; kingdom Metazoa; phylum Chordata; class Mammalia; order Primates; family Hominidae; genus Homo; species Homo sapiens. The sequence goes on from NW_018654714.1 coordinate 55,461, forward strand.
TATTGTTATAGGACAGGGCTCACTCCACATAAAGCAAAACTTCCCTGTGGCCCAGCTTTGCCCTGAGCTCCTCTTGTCATTCCACCAACTCTTGCTTCCCCCAGCTCCTATGGTGATGTCCCCTCTGGGTCAGTTTCCCTTCTCTGTCTTTCTCGTCTTCTCATTATGATTTATCTACTCTCTCTCATTTCCTCAGAGGCTTCTTAGGAACTGATTACTTTTGGTTGATCAAGCACTCTGGAGCCAAGGGGATAACAGTTAACAGATGATGGTAACATATCAGAGAAATCCACATTTTAACTGGAGATTCCATGAACTCCAATATGGAGCTTGACAGTGAAATTTTAGGCAGCATGAGAGGCCAGTGGTTAGGGGGCCTTTTCTTGGTAATGTGAAGCCTTGTGCATGCGAATGATTTTTCTGTTCCACCCATTCGGGAAGTGAGCTAAGGCAGTGTATAGAGGCTACTGAATAAAATATTAAGGCAGGACGTGAAGGGAAGGTTTTTGGTTTGGGGAGGGCAATAAGAGTAACAATGTCTTTTAAAGAAGAGTTAGGAAAGAAATAGTACAGTTAAGACATCATGTACAAAATGTGGGTATTTTCAGTCACCCCAGCAGCCTCTATTCTGTTAATGTTTCTCTGCATCTGGCTCTGAGAAAGGACAGGCAAATACAGGTTATGCAAATAGAGATGGTGTCATTGAGCTGGGAGTGATTTGCATGCCAAAGGAGATTGCAGAAATTATCTTTTCAAATTCTGGGGACTGGGGGTGTTTGCTGGTGGCTGGGATTTTCTATGAATCCAGGGACAAGGGCTTCTGAGTCTCTGGTGTCAACAAGGTGGCTTGACTCAGCCAGAGAGGCTGTTTTTCCCTGAAGATGTGTCCCAGCCCTCTGCAGTAGGAGCTGAGACTTAGCAGAACCTCCCTGGAGAAGATGCCCTCCTTGCCCACGTTGATCTTCATAGCCATCTTTTGCCTGGAGTCATTGGCTGCAATGCTGCAGAATGGATTCTTGGTCACAATGCTGGGCAGGGAGTGGGTAAGGTGCCGGATGCTGTCCACAAGTGACATGATTGTGGCCTGTCTCGCTGCCTCCCGTTTCTGCCTGCATGGGGTAGCCATGGTGAACAACCTCCTGGCCTCCTTAGATTTTTCGCGTGCAGTTCCCTATATGAACATCTTCTGGGACCTTTTCAATGCCCTCACTTTGTGGTTTACTGCCTTGCTTGCTGCTTTCTACTGTGTGAAGATCTCATCTTTCTCCCACCCCACCTTCGCCTGGCTGAAGTGGAGGAACTCTCGGTTAGTGCCCAAGCTGATCAAGGGCTCCCTGATCATCTGTGGCCTGGAAGTCATCTCATCAGCCACTGGGAACATCCTGTTTGGTCAGAGGAAGGTCTCCCTGAGTTCCTACAGAAACGAAACTCTAGTTTATAGAGTGCAGGCTTCATTTCAGCTCTACTTTTTCCTTTATGAAGGGTTTGTGTGGTCGATTCTGTTCCTCCTGTTCCTAGTGTCCACTGTCTTGCTCATAGTCTCACTGTGCTGGCAGTTGGGGTAGATGAGGGACCTCAGGCCCGGCCCCTGTGATCCCAGCACCCAGGCTTACACTATGGCTTTAAAGTCACTCACCTTTTCCCTCATCTTCTGTACATTGTACTTCCTGTCCTTGTTTGCTTCTGCTTTGAAAATCATAAACTTTCAGAATCACTGGCACTGGGCCTGGTAAGTGCTAATCTATGCCAACATCTGTCTGCACTCTACCGTCCTGGTGCTGAGGAGCCCCAAACTGAAAAAGGGCCTGAAGACATGGCCTCAGCTCCAGTGCCCACGTGCTGCTGGCTCACAGGGCTTTGGAAGGTGCTGGCCATAGGGTGGTTCTGCTCCTGAGTTATCTGTGTCAGTAACCAGTCCTGGGATGAATGATCCTGGTAGGAATGTATAAGGTTTGGGTACTGTCTTTCTCTTTCCAGTTTCTTCTTTCTCTCCCCCTCTGTCCATGCCTCAGAATCCCTTTTCCATCTTGCTGTCTGTGTTCTTACCATCCCCTCCACTGCTGTGAGTCTCTAGTCCTAGCCGTCAATCACCTTGACTTTTGCTGGTGGCCTCATTTCCTCATGGGGCCCCAAGAATCTATAGGTAAGCAACCCTAATATTTGCCAAGCATCATTTTGGTCTGTATGCCCTTTATAGAGAACTGTAGCTGTCGTCAGTTGTCTCTGTGGGCAAACTGAAGCTTATTTTTTATATATTTTATTTTAATTTTAAGATGGAGTCTTGCTCTGTTGCCCAGGCTGGAGTGCAGTGGCGTGATCTCGGTTCACTGCAGCCTCCACCTCCCGTGTTCAAGCAATTCTCCTGCCTCAGCCTCCCGAGTAGCTGGGACTACAGGCGTGTGCCACCATGCCTGGCTAATTTTTGTATTTTTAGTAGAGATGGGGTTTCACCGTGTTGGCCAGGCTGGTCTCAAATCTCCTCACCTCAAGTGATCCACCCACCTGTGGGATTACAGGTGTGAGCCACCGCACCCCACCTTGAAGCTTATTTTTTTATAGTGACATAGGTTGTCCAGCACCATCCACTTGACATCGCCTGCCCTTCTGCTCCACACCTGTTCTCTTGGCCTCGTCTCTCCACTTCAGCCCAATAAATCTTCTTCCCCTCTTCCCCCAAGTCCTTTTCTTCTTCATGTGCTTCTTGGGCCCACCCAATACTTCCTTCTTTCCTTTCTCTGCCAATCTCCGTCATTTTCTTCCTTTGTGCTCTGCTTAAGACTGATTCCACTCAGGGAGTTTTTCCAGCCTGATCTCACAGAAGGCTAAAGACACATAGGAGTTTGGTGCCACTGTATGTCACATCCATAACTTCATGTGCTCATGTCGAATGAATAGGAATTGTCTGATGTGAAAATGCTTTTAGGTTTTGGCCAACAGAAGATAGATGGAAAACAAAGGAAATGTCCTACACTTCTTAATTTTGATGATCCTACTCTTCCTGTCTGCTCACCCAGGAGGTGGATCCCAGATGCTGCTGCTGAGGATGGGAATCTCCAGATTGGGATGTCTGCATCCCAGAGCTTGTGCAAGATGATCCACTAGGCCTGTAGCAATTTCAGTTTCCATTTATTTTTATCTTTTTCTTTTAATCCCCTTTTTTTGGGTATTTTATGATGCATATGACGTATTAGTAAAATGTACATGCATATAATTAAAAATAAATATGCATATGGTAATATCTTAGTCAGCCTAGGCTGCTGTGACAGAATACCATAAACTGGGTGTTTATGCAGCAGATATTTATTTCTCACAGTTCTGGAGCCTGAAACTGAGGGTGCCAGCATGGTTGGGTTCTGGTGAGGGCCCTCTTCTGAGTTGCAGACAGATACCTTCTTCTTGTGTCCTCACGTGGCAGAGAGATTTATCTTTCTTGTGTTTCTTCTTATAAGGACACTAATCCCATTCATGAGGGCTTCACCCTTATGAACTAATTACCTCCTGAAAGCGTTATCTCTAAATGTTATCACATTGAGGGTTAAGGTTTCAGTGTATGAATTTTGGGAGGACACAAATATTCAATTCATAGCTGGTGGGTTGCATGTTCATATATATATATTTTACTGATGGAATTCATGATAAAGTATGGAGACCGATAGACTAAAAGAGATTGGGAAAAACACTGCACACAGTTAAGAGAGATTCATATGTTTGAACTAGTCAAAATAGAAGCAGTAAATAACAGGACAGAACAGAGGTTACAAAGAATTTTCAAATAGATAAATGCGTGTAAGGTCAAATGTCCAATAATACCAGGAAGCTGAGGCCCCAAAACATTATGCTACAATGCTAGCTGGAGGCCAGGATATGGCAAGAGAAGAGAGAGGGATGACTAGAGGCAAGATAACAAGATCAGGAATTTTCTCTTGCAAGAGGATGATTAAAGGTTTAAAAGAGGAGATTCTCAAGTTGCTGTTGAGGAACCCAGGGGGATTTCCCCAGGGGGTAGAGCAAGGGTGAGGCAGGATGGAGGAACCTGTGGGGAGCTGGCACTGTGGCCAGGCTTTAAATTAAATAGACACCTAAAGTCTGTGAATTATCCCACCTAGAGAACATGTATTATCCTCATCATCAATCACGAAGAATTTTTCTTTTTCTTTGTAGCAACATGAGTGAGCTAATGACTTCCTACAGGTAGATTAATAATAAATTATGAGACTGAGCCTTGCGGCTCAAGCCACAAGTTGGTTGGAGGCAGGAAAGACAGGAGCATGGCGGGAGCGGGGAGATCTTTCTCCTCTATCCCTTCTACTCAACTGTGAGCACCTGGAAGACTCTTCCCTTGGGCGGAGCTCCAGAAGTTTACTGAAGGTGTTTGGGTGGGGAGTGGGTGGTGATTCAACTCTCATGTTCTGCTCCATCTTCACAGCCCTTCGAGTGATACCAGGTTAAGTGGACTTGTCTCAGGAGTTCCTAATTGATGTTCTCAATCTCCTTTTTAAAACTCTAGCTCATAAAAGCCCCAAAACACTTGGTGGCTCTGTCTTGACTAAAGATACAATCTAATATCTCATCAAGGCTTCCAAAATTTTCTGTGATCTCTCTCCAGCCTACCTTTTTGGCTTGATATGCCATCTTCTCTATGTAAGTCCTCTGTTGTAGCTAAATGTATCTAATTGTTCTGGATATAATCATGTATCCCCCTCCTTTACTGATGCCTCATCTTTTTCCTTCCAACATGCAAGACAGCATCTTTATTGTCTCACAATTATGGGGCTGTTACTTCTCAACTCTTCTGAGAGATCTTGGGATGGGAATAGCAAGATCCCTAACACATAGAGCCACAGACTGGGAGTCACTTGTTGAGAGTACTGAGTTGAAGGTTTTCCATATAGAGAGCTAACTCAGGATCCCTATCCTACTACCCTCATGATTACATTTATAAAGACTGGTTATGAAAAGTTAAAAACTCTCAGACTTGACTTTTACCTAAGAAGATAAATCTAGACATGAGAAAGCCAAATGCAACAAACAAACAAACAAACAACAAACAACAAAAGAATCACCACGAAACACATTGCATATTTAAATTCAAATGATTATTCCCTCTTTTGGATTAACTTACTCTGCACATAGTATATGTCCAGTAAATGTTTGTGGTTTATGTTTAGCCCATAAAAGTGCTTTGAAGGCAGATATCTAATTCACTGTTGTAGCCCAATGTCTTTCAAAGGGTTATCATGGCATATAGGATATGCTTAATAAATTATTATTAAATGAATTGAAGGTTAAATGCACATCTTTATCATTGAAGGTGTGGGAGGTGGATGAAAAAGATTCAAGTTTTCCATATTGGGCGGTTTGTAGGTGGCCATACTCCAGAGCTATAAGCCCGAAGTTTGCCCCATTTCTCCAAGTTCCAGTAGAAAACAGCCAAATGTCAGCCAGAAGAACAAGGGCAAGGAAGAGAGCAGTTGGGAACTCTATCTCCTGGAAATTTGCATCTTCACAGAAAGGCAGAGTGAATTACCTTAGTTCATCTTATTTCCTTTACTCCGAAGACCTATGTCCACTATGGTTGGCGTATGTGTTAAAGAAACAATTCCACCTGGAAGTGGACTACTGGGAAGTAGACTGGGAACTGGGAAGAGATGCTGACATGCGTTCTATTCCCTTTTTGTGGGGGTCCTATATATGGAACTGGTAGGTTGTGGTGTCAGCAGATGTGTATTCATTACAAATCCCCTTACTGTCATGTTACTTGATCCTGAGCCTTCAATATTGCTGTATTTGACCCAGAACAATTCCTGCTTTCCTATCTCCCTGTGACACGTTAACCTACTTACACTCACCTGGGTGTTGATTGCTGATTTTTTTGACTCTTTGAAGCTGATTTCTATAAAGAATGTGGTCTTTTTTTTACTCTGTCCTTCTCTGGTTGATATCAGTGGTCTGACATTTGGTGCCCTGAACTTCTGTTGCATCCCTGATGCTCTCCTGAATTCTCCTTATGCTACTTATTATGCCACAGGATGGATGGAATAGAAGATAGCCATTCTAATAAAGTAATTGTCATCATCATCATTGCTCCTTGTCCATATGCAGAGGTTTATAATTTCCAATATATTTACCATATTTATGGTCATATTTATTTGTGACCCATATTTTTTATAGGTGAAGAAAGGGGGGTGTTCAGAGAGGTTAACTGCTTGAGGATCCGTAGTGATTGTGACAAGACTCAAAACTTGGGCTTCTGAGTTCAGCTAGGGATGAAGAAGATGGAGGTGTAACATGTATTGCTAACCATGGCAGAGATTCCTGGTCCTGGAATCAGTTTGGATCTTGGTCTTTCCTCTGTGTAACTGTGACTTTAGGTGGGAGTTGTAATATATAATTTGGGGTCTTATTTCTTTTATCTGTAAGATTATCTTTCATGTCTTCTTTCATTCTAAGCCGAGATTCTAAGACATCTTTGTGAATTAGAACATAGGATACTTTTCATATTTTACAGATGGACAAAATGAGGCGCAGAGGGGCTGACATATCCAGCAACTCACAGTAAGGGGTAAAGTTTGGACTAAAGGCTGTCTCGACTCCTAGCACAGGGCTCATTCTGCCATATCCCATTGGCTTATCGCTACTGGGGGTTCCTCTGTGAAGTGCTATTTTAGAGGCCACCAGTTATCAAATATATATTTTTAAATTTTGAAAAAAGTTGCCTGCCTCATTATGTATAATTGTCTCCAGTGTTCTTTTTTTATGATGATGGTCACTGTGAGTAATAAGACTTGAATTAATCCTTCTCTGTAAAGGTTTGCTCAGTTTTCTCTCTGTCTCAGTTAAAGGGGTCTTGCCATACTACTCCCCGCATAGAGTTGTTGTGAGAACTAAGGAGAGCACTCAGAACAATGCCTGCAACATAACAATCACCCCCCCCCCGTGGATGTGAGCGCTGTCTCAGTAGCGGGTGTGCCCCACGGATGATACTACTGAGCTGGCAGGTGCATGGTCCTGTCATAGGTGTCCGCTTAGAGAAGTATAACCTCCTGTGTAAGGACACTAAATGCCAGGGCCTGATATATTATCCACTTTGATGTTGACATGGGCAGAGAATAGGCAGAAGAGCAGGCAAATTTTTGGGCAGGTATGGGGACTTTGAAAATTGAGCCTTGACAATATTTGCATCTACTCTGAGAAGAAAAAACCTCTCACCCTCCTCTGATAGCCTGCGTCCTCTACTCTGGCCTAGCTTCTGCGCTTGGGGCAGCTGGAGGGACAAACATATCCTACAGGACCTTCCAGAGCAACCCAACAGAGATAGCCCTTGAAGTTTTGGGACCCATCTTGTCCACCAGAGAGATGAATGGAGACCACATGGTTCTAGGATCTTCGGTGACTGACAAGAAGGCCATCATCTTGGTTACCATTTTACTCCTTTTACGCCTGGTAGCAATAGCAGGCAATGGCTTCATCACTGCTGCTCTGGGCGTGGAGTGGGTGCTACGGAGAATGTTGTTGCCTTGTGATAAGTTATTGGTTAGCCTAGGGGCCTCTCGCTTCTGTCTGCAGTCAGTGGTAATGGGTAAGACCATTTATGTTTTCTTGCATCCGATGGCCTTCCCATACAACCCTGTACTGCAGTTTCTAGCTTTCCAGTGGGACTTCCTGAATGCTGCCACCTTATGGTCCTCTACCTGGCTCAGTGTCTTCTATTGTGTGAAAATTGCTACCTTCACCCACCCTGTCTTCTTCTGGCTAAAGCACAAGTTGTCTGGGTGGCTACCATGGATGCTCTTCAGCTCTGTAGGGCTCTCCAGCTTCACCACCATTCTATTTTTCATAGGCAACCACAGAATGTATCAGAACTATTTAAGGAACCATCTACAACCTTGGAATGTCACTGGCGATAGCATACGGAGCTACTGTGAGAAATTCTATCTCTTCCCTCTAAAAATGATTACTTGGACAATGCCCACTGCTGTCTTTTTCATTTGCATGATTTTGCTCATCACATCTCTGGGAAGACACAGGAAGAAGGCTCTCCTTACAACCTCAGGATTCCGAGAGCCCAGTGTGCAGGCACACATAAAGGCTCTGCTGGCTCTCCTCTCTTTTGCCATGCTCTTCATCTCATATTTCCTGTCACTGGTGTTCAGTGCTGCAGGTATTTTTCCACCTCTGGACTTTAAATTCTGGGTGTGGGAGTCAGTGATTTATCTGTGTGCAGCAGTTCACCCCATCATTCTGCTCTTCAGCAACTGCAGGCTGAGAGCTGTGCTGAAGAGTCGTCGTTCCTCAAGGTGTGGGACACCTTGAGCCACAGCTGATGAAAAACTTCAAGGAGATTCTTGTGGAGAAGGCATGGACTCAAAGGGACATAGCTTCTCTCTTTGCCACATTGAATGTTTTCTCTCTGTTGCTACAGTTAATGATTAGAAAAATAACTTCAATGAAATAGGATACAAGGTGAGAGTAAAGGTCCTGAAATATGGGCTAGTGTCATGTTATGTACTCACCAAGTGCATAGTTCATGTGGCCATGGTTCCTGTGGGACCTGATGTGGTCAAAGAATCCAGAAGCCTTTATTTTTCCTGTGATCGATCTCTTCGTATTTAAAATAATCATTCTGGGAACTGGATGCAAAGATCCTCAAACTTCATGCAATATTTTATCTGTTCAATCGAACTGGGGCATGTTTTTGGAACTGCAGTTTTCTCAGGCTTTGTCCTGTGAACCACCTTTCCCTTCTCATCAATTCAAAGTTTTCTGGCCATCTAATGTGGTGCCTCTCTCCTTCTTTCCATGGAAGAGTTTCTGGTGTCTAAACCTTCTACACAGAGCATAGTGTAATTGGTGCATGTGTGTGGCAGTGTGTGTTGCCAGGGATGTGTGTATTCTCCGATGACCTTTGGAGATCCCTCTGAGTGCCAGGGGTCTATGATTTGTATGTGGTTCATGTTCTCTATAATAGCCCAGCCTGTTAGTCTCCTCTGTATTTGTTAAGGTCTGTGGGTTCAGATGTAACTTCTTTTGATTGATATTGGGACCTATTGTAATTCCCCTACTGACATGGGGAAGTTTATCTGTATCTGTCTAAGACCTAAGATTTAAGAAGAAAAAGCCTTTGTGTTTGGTGAACCATGTTCAGACTGCCTTTCTGCTTTTCCCAGCTCCTCTCAAACGTTCTTTAAGTTCAGTTACTCCCTGAATCATTCAAACGAGACAACCCTCAAGTTTCCTCCATTCACTTTAAAATCTCTCCGCCTCCTTTCCTGGTTTTTACCTCCACCACACTCTACATTAGAGGACTGGTCTCTGTTTTTGGCTTTTCAAGGCTGACATCTGTGATCCTAGCCCTGCTCCTGCCTGTTTTCTCTCTGCTGCTAGGTCAAGGATTTCTACTTCTACACAAATCTTCCAACTTTCCCTCTTTATTGTCCTTCCCTTCTTCAACAAATGTGCCTCTAAACTTTTTTCCTGAAAACAATCCCCTTATCTGTCTCGCTCCTCCCCCTCCCTGTACCCCTGTGCTGCCAATGAGTCACTTGCAGGGTCTTCCCGTGTGCCTTCCAATCCTCTCCTGCTTCCCTGTTCTGCTGAAACATGTTTGTTTCTACAGGGACACACACGATCTCTTTGTCACTAAATGTGATATTGTCCCCAGCCCTTATCCTCCCATGTCTCTGTTGTATTTGCCTCTGTTGATAACAAATGATTTCCTTAAAATAAACTGATGAAAAATATTTTTACAAAAGTACTGCTGATCTTGGTGAAAGATTTTTTTAAAAGGGAAACTAAACCTCACCCATAATTGCCCATCTGCGCATCTTTCTAAAAGTTGTTCTCTTGGCGACGGATGCTAGGATCTTCTTCCAGTTCCCATCGCTTCTTTTTGTGTCCCCTTCACTAACCACTCATCCTCCTGCCTCTTGGTTCTGTCCTTAGCCAGCCCTCTTCTTCCTTTGAGATGATATCTGATCTCTTTCCTTTGTGTTTAAATCTACTCACATAGCTTCAATTATGCCCTTCATGTTGATAATTACCAAAGCCTTGACCTTTCTCTAAACTCCAATCCTATATTTTCTTCCACTAATTGGACATTACCACCTGATAGTACCATGAGCAAATTTAGCAAGTTCAAAGTATTTCCTTCTTCTTTATTTCCTCCTCCTCCTCCTCTACTTTTCCCTCCCTCCTCTTCCCACCAGCCCGTCCCCTGCTCAGATGAATCCATTCATCTATTACAGCTATTCAATAAATCAGGCTATCAACTTCTGAGTTAATTTTCACCCCCTTCTCTCTACTGAGCCCTTGTACCTAATAGGTAACCATTTTCAAATTTTACCCCTGTGATGTCCCCATCATCTGTCTCCTTCTTCCCATTCCTGATCCTTGTTGAGATTAGACTATCTTCCTCTCCCACCTGCACTGCTGAGATTTCTTCTTCACTACTTGCTTCATTTCATGGTTCACTACCACCGCAGTCAGAACTATCATTTCCAGATTAATCTCCTGAAGGTATATCACCCGAATCATCTCTCAGTGCCTTTTTTTTTTTTTTTTTAAGACAGAGTCTTGCTCTGTCACCCAAGCTGGAGTGCAGTGGCGTGATCTTGGCTCACTGCAACCTGATTTTGGTTCACTGCAAGCTCCACCTCCCGGGTTCAAGTGATTCTCTTGCCTCAGCCTCCTGAATAGCTGGAATTACGGTGCATACCACCATGTCCAACTAATTTTTGTATTTTTAGTAGAGACAGGGTTTTGCCATGTTGGTCAGGCTGGGCTTGAACTCCTGACCTCAAGTGACCTGCCTGCCTCAGCCTCTCAAAGTGCTGGGATTACGGGCATGAGCCACCACACCCAGCCTCTCAGTGCCTATTAAATGAAGCACAGGCCCCCTAAATGTGGCATTCAAGAACCTCCACAGTCTGGCAACAACTTTATCTTTCACTGCCATTCTAGTAGATCCTATTTTGCAGCAAATTTGGATTATTGTTCTGGGCATGCCTAAAACTTCCTCCCTGATATCCTGAGAAGCACTCCCTATTCCCCCATGTACCTGTCAAAAACCCTACTTAACATTTTTTTTCTGTTTAACTTTTATTAATTCAAATGGTGTCTCTTCAGTGAAGCTTTTCTGGATGCCCCCCAAGTCTTAAATCTCTTCCTCAGTTGTGACATTAGTCCTGCCTTTGACGCTGTTGTTTGCATAGTTGTCTCTTCCACCCTAGAAGATCTTAAACTTCTTAACGGCATGGGCTGCCTCATACTCTTCCATGCATCCTCTGAAGCACTTAACAAGTACTTGCGCTGAGCAGAATGGTTCTATAAGCTGGAATCCAGCTAGAATCACATGTACTTTTATCTGTACATTTATCTCTGGGGTACCTACTACATTTTTATGCCTATGTTTGAGCTTTCCCTTTACTGTCTGGCTGGCTTATCTTTTGGAAGTCACACTTTGACTTATGCACAATGTAGAAATAATAAATGGGTGAGTGAGAGAGTAAAATTTGCCTGATTTTATGATGTCTTTGACTTCTTTCTTGTACATTTGCCTGTTGCTAAGCAACTGAACAGCAGGCTTTCAGTCCTTCCTATGGGAAACTTAGTGGAGTGCCAGCTCTCCTCTTTGTTACTGACCCGATCTCCCTTTCCATAGCGTCCTACATAAGCTACTCTTTGTTCCTTCCACCGTTCACACCATTAGCCTAGGAGAACAGAGCATATTCCAGAATCTGAATGATCTCCCCACAGGGACAAGTTCCCTTGGAGCTTGAACACACAGGGAGAAGTAAAAGAGAAGCAAGGGTAGTTGTATTTTTAAAATATTTGGTAACTTATTATCATAAATTTTTGTCCATAGTCTAATCTCATCGTCAATTATGAGTTGTAATAAAAATTATGAATTATAATATAACTCATTATTACCTTCATTATATAATTATGAATTATAACATAATTCATTACTACCTTCATTATATAATTGTGAATTATAATAACAATTACTTATTGAACGTCTATTTTGTGTGAGGAACAGGACTAGAGCACTAATTTACTTAGTCTTTTATGTATTGTTTCTTAAAACAACAATGTAAAAAAAATGAGACTTAGAGAGGTTTACTGAGGTCTCATGGTCAGTGAGTGGTAGAATTTGGGATACTTTAGTGCTGTAGTATTTAAAACCGTGTGGTACTGATGTAGACAATAAGGTAATAGAATATAATAAAAGAAATGAATAGACAAACACATCAACAGACAGCCCAGACAATAGTTACATGAAAAATTACATATATGATAACTAAAGCATTTTAAATCAGTGAGGAAAAGATGGCCATTTAGTGTTGTGGTATACTGGTACTCCAATTGGAAAACCATAAATTTAGAGCTAACATTTAATCATAAATTCCAGATAGACATTCTTTTTTAAAAATTTTATTTACTTATTTTTAAATGTTTTTGAGACAGGGTCTTGCTCTGTCTCCCAGCTGGAGGAGGTGAGAAAATAAACGTTCATTCTCATATATTGCTGACATCAGCATAAACTGGACCAACATCTTTTCAGAGGACAATTTGGTAGTACCCCCAAAAGTTAACATGTACACCTTCCTACACCCAGCAATAAAAAAAAAAAAAAAAAAAAGGCCGGGAGCAGCTCACGCCTGTAATCCCCGCAGTTTGGGAGGCCAAGGTGGGCGGATCTCTTGAGCCCAGGAGTTTGAGCAACATGGTGAAACCCTGTCACCTGGGCAACATGGTGAAACCCCTTCTCTACAGAAAACTCAAAAATTAGCCAGGCGTGGTGGCACCCACCTGTAGTCCCAGCTACTCCAGAGGCTGAGGCAGGAGAATCACTTGCACCGGAGCACCCAGAGAACACCCGCGCAGACATTAGGAGAACTTGCAAACCCTACAACTGGTGGCCCCGCCGGGGATCAATATTTTTTTTTTATCATCAATGTTATAACAAAACGACATTATTCAAGGACCTGCTGTATAGACAAATAAGTTAGCTCTTATTGATAGTTATTAAACTCTGCACATGCCCAGAAAATACAACTTCTTTGCAAATATCAATGAAATAGTCATGAAAACTGAGAAAAAGAAAATTGCATAAAAGGGAAAACTACAACCGAATCTCACTTATGCATAGAAAATCCTAAATAAAATATTAGAAAACACAGTCCAACAGTGCATTACATATTATATCATTTCCAAGTAGAATTTAATCTAGGAATTTAATGATGATTCAATATTAGAAAAGTCATTAACATAACACATTGATACTTGTAAAAGAAATGTAATATAATCACCTCCAAATATGCTAAAAGGCAATTAAAAAATTTAATACTGTTTTGATAAAGTGCTCAATAATATAAATATTTAATAACATGAAAAAATATATCCACCTTACCCAAAAACTTGCAGCCTATATAATGTATCCAGAGACATTCTTATACAACTCAAAAATATGAAAGGAATGAGCATTATCATCACAATTTGTATCTTAATGGTGAAAACATTTGATTTAATTAAGAGAAACAAATTATAGTTATTGACATTGGAAAGGGGAGCTATATATATTCTTGTATAGTCGGAAAATCCAAACAATTAACATCAACATAAAAGCTACTACAGACCGATATGAACTTAGCAAGGTGGTGGGATGCAAAACAAAGATACAGAAATGAATATTTTCTAATATGCAAAAGAAACCACCAGTTAGAATAGAATGAAAGAAAAGATTTTATTGCAATAAGAACAAAAAAGATAAAATACTGGAATTAAATTTTACAAGAAGTGTATAAGACCGACCTGAAGGAAACTTAAAAATACTCAGAAAGACATGAAAGTCGACATGAACTAATGGAATCCTACATTGTCTTCTTAGATAAGAAGATTTGCTACCATAAAGATGTTAAGTATTCTTTCCTCTCTTCCTTTCTTCCTTTTTTTCTCTCTTTCTCTCTTTCCTTCCTTCCTTCCTTTCTCTCCCTTTCCTTTCCTCCTTTCCCTTCCCTTCCCTTCCCTTCCCTTCCCTCCCCTCCCCTCCCCTCCCCTCCCCTCCCCTCCCTTCCTTTCCTTCGTCTTTCCCTGTTGCCTAGGCTGGAGTGCAGTGGCGTGATCTTGGCTCACTGCAACTTCTGCCTCCCAGGTTCAAGTGATTCTTATGTCTCAGCGTCCCAAGTAGCTGGGACTACAGGCATGGACCACCATGCCCGGCTAATTTTTGTATTTTTAGTAGAGACAAGGTTTCACCATGTTGGCCAGGCTGGTCTTGAACACCTGGCCTCAAGTGACCCCTCTGCCTCGGCCTCCCAAAGTGCTGGGATTACAGATGTGAGCCATGGTGCCCGGCAAGATGTTAATTATTCTTAAGTTAATTTGTTAATTTAGTATAAGACCTACAAAGTACTCTTTTCCTCTTTTTAAACCTATAAAAATAAGACTAACATAGTTTAAGCTTATAGAAATTGAAAGAAGTCAAAAAAGGTAGGCAGGCTCTATTATGTCTTAAAATATAGCATGAGCCTCAAAATTTAAATATGTTTGTGAATATATACTGTAGAATAGATAGTCCAGAAAATGAATTCATATACATATGGTAATTTAATATAAATTCACTATAGATAAAAGTAATATTTCATATCAGAGAAAAATTCAGTAACTGATGTTGAGATAACAATAGTCATCTAAAAAAATGTTGCCATATCTCAAATCCTATGCCAGGATAAAGTCCAAATATATCAACGTTAAATGTTAAAATGAAACAACACAATTGCTAGGAATAAATGGGAGGAGAGGGATTCTTTTAATATCTTGGGATGTGGAAAGTCTTTTAAACTCATAAAGAAAAAGATTAATTTTAATTTTAAAAATTCTGCATGGCAAGAATTTATAAGAAAATTACAAAAAACAAACAAACTGGGAAAATAAATACTTGCAACCCATATTATAATAAAAATGTAATTTCCAATATATAAAGAGCTCTTAGAAATGATAGGTAAAGGATCAACAATTCAAAAGAAAAAGAGAAAAGGCAATAAATATGAATATGAACTTCACAGAAAAGGAAATACAAATGGCTCCTTAAACACAGAAAAGATACTCAACTTGATTTATAATAAGAGAAATACAAATTAAAACTATATTGGTCTACAATGTTTAAACTATCCACTTGGCAAAACTTTGAAAACATGCTCTTTTGCCAAGTTATTGGAGACACATGCTCTTTTCCACATTGCTGATGGAAGCATAAATTAGTATACTCTCTTTGGAGGGAAATTTAGCAATATACATCAAATTTACTAATGCATGCACCCTTGGATCCAGCCACCCTCCTTGGGATTTTGGTGCATTGAACACCCTCCATATGGGTCACAGTTTGGCCTCACTCTCTTGGACCAGCTGGGACATGAGACTGGTCATAGGTCTAGAAACAATGTGGGGTGGGAGTGTGATCATTTCAGGATCCGCAGTGCCTTGCAAAGAAACTACTTGAAGTAAGTCCCTTACAGGCCTTCTGGAGGAAAGAAGTCATCTATCTCCTCAGATAAAGTAGGAAGGGCTGCTTCTATTGGTAAAGAAGATTTGGCAGAACTTAGGAGTTCATGTTTCTAGTTTTACTGGAATCTGGCCATTTCTCTCCATCCCAGTTTTCTGGGCCAGACCCCTAGCTGATGAATATCCTAACTTTTTCAAGAGACCCAGCAAGGTTGGAAGTTCATGTGACATTGTAATTCATCCACCCACAGAACAGATTTTAGGTTTGTTTTTCAGAAATCTCAACTCCACAATAAGAAGTGAAAAGGGATTTTTTGTCACAGTCATAGAAATTTTCTGGTTGTTTGCTGGATCTTGAGCTGGGAATTCCAAGCCCTGCACCACCATTTTCTCTCTGTCACATTCTCTAGCATACTTGCAGGCACCAGCCATACCAGCTGGAAACTGCCTGTTCTGAAAGAGCTGGAATGACCTTTGGAATGTGCAGCTGAGGTACCAACTTCGAGATGACATTTTTTGTGGAGGTGAGTTGTTGTCCTTAAAATGTGGAATATACTGTAAACGAATGACCATTATTTTGTGCTGTGTCTCCAACACACAGACCACATGGGTCTAGGACTCAAGGAGTGGAAGTAGAAGTGGCCTTGCTCACCATATCTTCTGGAGACCCTCTTGGAGGATTCCTGCTTCCCGTGCTTTTAGCTTTATGCTTTGTATGCATAGAGGTTGGTTCCCAGAGTAGGGAGCATTTCCAAAAGGGGACACAAGAAAAGTCCTAATAAAATTATAGCTGCCACCTGGTCATTTTGAGCTCCTGATCCCAGAAGACCAGGAGGCTAGGAAAAGAGTTACCAACTCGCAGGAATAATTGACTGTGATCATAATGTGGAAATAGGGGCTGGAAAGAGTATGTGAAGAACTCATGTGACCATTGGGTCATCTCTTAGCACTTCTGTGGCCAATTCTACTACAAATAGGCGGGTACAGCAAGCACTGCTGATAAGGACATGGCAGTCAGGACTTAGATCTCTCAGGGATGAGGGTTTGGGACTTCTCATCAGGACAGCCACCTACACTGCATTACGTGCTAGCCAAGAGTAAAAGATATTTGGAGTGGGTAGTAGATGAAGACAGTGATGTGTATTAGTCATGGCCTCATGATCAGCTGCAGCAGTTGGGGCTGTATATAGTTTGCATCACTAAATCTCTCTCTGTCAGTTTCTCCAGAAATTTCAACTGGCCAGAATCCTGGAGAAGCTTTGACCAGGTGGAGTGAACCTAATGTGAGAGCAGGTTAGGTTAGTTAACATTACGTTAACTGGTGTATGCTAAAACTGAGTGGTACAAGGGGTAGATTACAACAGCTGCTCTTGGTGCACCCTCCCTCTAACCGAATCCACCGAATTTACAGGGTTGATATACCCATTGTCGCCTGCCAGATGTTGGCTGCTAATGACTGCTAATGGTTCCCAAGGATTGCCTTTGATTGATGGAAGCCACTCCACCCAAAGAAGTCTGATTGTCCATTCCCCTCTTTCTGCAGTTCTTGGCTAATGACTGTGTAATGCAGGCTTATAACAGTTCCACTTCCTTGCCTTCAAATGGGGCAAACTTTGGGGTCAAACTACACTCCAAATCTCCCCATGGGATCAAAGTGACTGTATATTGATCTAGAAACTACTTAAAAAATTTAGTTTCTTCTCTTCTTCTATCCTGTGTATCTTATTTTCCTATAGTTTTTTTTTTTTTTTCCTGAAAGGAACAACTCAAAATGTAACTTGCACAAGAATCTCCATCTCAGACTCTGCTTTTGAAAAGTGTGATCTCAGACATAAAGATGAGAACAATAGACACTAGGGACTTCAAAAGGAGGGAAGGAGTGGGGGCAAGGGCTGAAAAACTTCCTGTTGGGTACTATGTTCACTCTCTGGGTGACAGGATCAACAGGAGCCCAAACCTCAGCATCATACATTATACCCTCATAACAAACCTGCACATTTACTCCCTGAATCTAAAATAAAAATTGAAATTAAAATAAGAGACACATACAGAGCTTTACATAGTCTCACTTGAACCCCTGCTGGAGGCTAACAGGCGTGCAAAGCAAAAGACCACTCACACACACAAAAATTAAAATTAAAAATTAAATTAAAAAATAAATAAAAAGTGTAATCTAAGTGGTCTGATTTTCAGGCTATATCTCTGTGATTCACCCTTGTAGATCCCTTCTTTACATGTGTACATACATGTCTGATTTAAAACTTATATCTAAAACTGAACTCCTGATATTCTCTGACCTCCCACTCCAACATGCTTCTCTCACTATTTTTTCTGTTTCTGCCACTCCGTTCTTCTAGTTTCTCTGGGCAAAACCTTTTGCATTCCATGAAGAATCATTCAGCAACCCTGATGCTAGACCATTTAACCTAGAGCTAAAGCATTGGTAGATGACCTGCTTCTGGGTTGTGGTTTCATATGGAGAAAGCTGTCCTTTCACTCCAGTCTTTTGAAAGCCAGACCTTGACACAAGGGTTTGAAAAAGTCAGGGTTAGAGTTGAGGTTGTTAACTCAACCTTCAAAATGAATCTGTAACTCTACTGCTTATCACCACCTCCATTGCTACTGCTCTGGTGCAAGCCACTATAACTCTAGCTTGGATTATTGCAATGGCTTCCTAACTGGTTTTGCAGCTTCTGCTCTTGTTTGCCTTTGGTCTATTTCCAATACAACAAGCCAGCAGGATCCCTGAAAAATATAAATCATATCATGTCACATCTCTTTCATAATTCTGGATTTGCTTTTCATCCTAGAGTAAAAGCTTAAGTCTTCATAATGAACTAAAATGCCCTCTATAATCCATGTGCCCTATCTCATGTTTCTGAAGTCATCTGTTGCTGTTTTACCCTCCTCTCACACTGAGCTCATCCCTTTGGCTTTCTCGATGTTCCTTGAATTTGTCCAAAGTCTTTGCATTCTCTGTGCTTGGAATGCTATTCCCAGATATTAGCATGGCTCACTCCCTCACTTATTTCAGGAATTGTCATTGCTACTCTATCTAAATTGCAATACCCTGTACTACTATTCCCTGTCCTGTTTTTTTCTCCTTAGTATTACCACTATCTCTTTTACTTATTTATATTTTTTATGGTTTATTTCCCCCACTCTAATGTAAGCTTCTCGAAGACAGGGATTTGTGTCTGTTTTGTTTTTACTGGCAAATTGTAGGCACTCAATAAATATTTGCTGAACACATGCATACATTATTTTATTATAATTAACTAGACTACTATTATTATGCAACAGGTCATCATTTCTATGCTTGTAGAAATGGGCGTGGCTGCTAGAAGCTGGATCATCAATTGATATTCTCTTACACATTCAGAAACTGGTGATTTTGCTGGTTCACTGATACAACACTGAGCCTCCACATTTTTCACAGTTGTTGTTAGAGACGAGTAATTGCTTCCATGTTCATATACATCTTAACAAGCATTTATTGATCACTTTGATATGGAGGTCTAGGTGTACATCCCTGCTAAGTGCAATGGGGTTATAAAAGTAGGATCTTAACATTCAAGAAATTTACCATGCAACATATATACACCAGTTAAAGGAGTACGAAGCAGTGAAGAGCTGAAGTGACCACTAATGAAGTATAATATAATAGTTCATATTTGACCCTAGTACTGAGAGAATTATAAAATGGAAACTAATCGGATACAGTCCATTATTTAGTATTACTTATTTGTAATATTTTGCTGCAAATTTTGTACTTTTCAAATACTTGATATTGGGGTTTCTGTTTATCTTTGATAGTAATCTATTAGGTTCGACATTTCTTAAAGTCATGCATGGCCTCCTTTTCTGAACTCTTGTATACTTAGGCCCATATCGCTGGCCACTCTATTGTGATTCACTCAAGTGAATGGGGGTAATCTTGAGATTAAAAAAGTCACAAGAACAAGACCTCAGATAGGAGGAGGGTTGTGAGGGAAACTGGATCTTTGAAGTGAAATCAGAATTGTGAGGCAGAGAGGGAGCTTCTGCTCATGGGGTTGGCCTCTGTCACAGGCTTGTAATGATTCTGAGTTTCAATGGTGTGGATGGCTGGCCTTGGTGACAGATAAAAGCTTTCGAAACTGGGCTTCAGCAGTAGGCAGCTGAATGCATTTGGAACTTTAGTTAGCTGAGCTGACTGATGCATCTTTTAACTATAAATAATACTTGTTCTGGACTATAGTGATGGAAATCGAAGGCTAGTTGGGGGTAGGGGACTGTGTGTGGGGACAGTTCTTTTTGAAAACTTTTATTTTTCTTTCAGTAAGCCAAACAATTTTTAAAAAGAGGTTGAATAAACTATTTAAAATACACTATTTACATGATACTTTCATTATCTATTTTGCTCAAGGTGATTTTTTTAAAATATGAAACTGCTCCTATGTACTCAGATTGTTATACCTTTTACATCAAAACTAAATTGCAATAGTTTGTTTGTTTGGTTTTGAGATAAGTTCTCACTCTGTTCCCCAGGCTGAGCATAGTGGTGCAATCGTGGCTTACTGCAGCTTCAAACTCCTGGGCTCAAAGGATCCTCCCACCTCAGCCTCCTTGAATAGCTGAGACTATAAGCGCATACCACCATGCCCTACTAATTATTTTTCATTTTTTGTAGAGATGTAGTTTTGCCCTGTTGCGCAGGCTGTCTCAAACTCCTGGTCTGAAGTGATGCGCCTGCCTCAATCTCTCAAAGTACTGAGATTATAGGCATGAACCAC
This sequence comes from Homo sapiens, assembly GCF_000001405.40. Classification (NCBI taxonomy): domain Eukaryota; kingdom Metazoa; phylum Chordata; class Mammalia; order Primates; family Hominidae; genus Homo; species Homo sapiens. The sequence continues at coordinate 75,737 of NW_018654714.1, forward strand.
CGTGCCCAACCAAGTGCAATGTTTTTGAGGACAAGATAGATTTCTGCCTCCAGTGGCAGTATAATTTTCATAAAATAAGGGATTAGGACTTTACTTTTAAAAGTTGGTGGCTTCCAAATCTGCTGACAAACTCCTTGAGGGGCTATGATTTGGGTCCACACCAAAAGCAGCATCTGTTTAATTCTGTAGGGATCAAGTACAAGAAGACTGTTGTCTTTATTGTTGGAAAGTTTCAAATGGAGAAGAAAAGTAGCTGATCCAAATTGGTCCACATTGGACCAGCTACTTTAGAGTTGGGAAGCATTTAAATTTTAACTCCTCTGTACTATAATTGAGGAATCTGTAAGAAAGTTGGGGGAAAAGCTGTATTTCTCAAGTTAAAGCCAATGGCTTATATTTATCCGAGTCAATAACATTACATTTTCCATTATCTGTGTTTGGGAATTTTTATTACAGGTATTCTTATGGTGAAGTTTTACTGATCCATTATTTTTTAATTTTAGTTTTGAAAAATGTCACCACCAACCTGTGGTGATGGGACCAGATATATTCAGGGGTTCCAACAAGTAAGAGTGAAAATGTCTTTGTATGTACAACATACTCTGCAGACATTCCAGTAGCCCACGGCTTTAGGTGAGGAGGATCATGAAGATGAAAATGTATACATGTTTCTTCTCAACATTTCCAAGCTAAATGCAAGCTTTACTGCTTCTATCATAGCATCTATTTAAAGTTTTGCCAACTCAGTCTCCTTGAATAACCAAATATTGAAAGCATCTGTACCAAAATATGTAGTGACACATCAAGATTATTTTAAAAAGGAAAAGCAACTAACCTCATTCATTCAACAAATATTTCCTTTGTGCCACTATGTGGGGGATGCAGGGGTTGAAGAAGATCCTTGTCCATTGAGAGAACAACGTGTGTCTCCCTATAAAACAAAGAGAAGTGTCTGAAATTAAAGCATGTATTTAAGTGATTAAGACCTTATACTGTGTTCAGCAAACATTCTTTGAGCAAATCCTTTTGAGAATCAGAAGATGAATGATCATGAACACTTTGTGAGGAAGAATCAATGAGTCACAGGTGCTGATGAATGAAAGAATCATAAACTTTAGAAATTCTTAAACATTTTTACTAGAGCAGTGAAAGAGAGAAATATTGCATAGTCTTGGCTATAAAGAATGTATAGTCCTTCAGATACAATGAGCAGCTCAGTAGTTGCTTGTGGAACATTTTACAACTACAGAATGACCCAGAGGCAGAGCCACGTGCCTTGCTGCAGTTGCAGGTACATGCACTCAACAGCATGTCCATGAACCCTGTTCTCTTCTGGAGGGTCTACGTGGCAGAAGCTCTGGCTCTTTCACATCAAGAAGGATCTTAAATTCTGGAGCAATGGCTCATACCTATAATCCCAGCACTTTGAGAGGCTGATGCAGGCAGATCGCTTGAGTCCAGGAGTTCCAGGCTAGTCTGGGCAACATAGCAAAATCCCATCTCTACAAAAAGTACAATTAGCCAGGTGTGGTCGCATGCGCCTGTGGTCCCAGCTACTCAGGAGGCTGAGAAGGGAGGATTGCTTGAGCCCGGGGAGGTCAAGGCTGCAGTGAGCTGTGATCACACCACTGCACTCCAGTCTGGGTGACAGAGTGCAGTCCCTGTCCTAAAATCAACAGCATTCTCATTCGAGTAAAAAATAATTAAACCTTGAGATATTTTCCTCTGCTTTCCTATGCTCTCCATTCACATTTCTTTGCTGAGTTTAAACCTTGGATTCTAAATTCTGCTTAAGTTCTACTGTCTTATAGATAATCGGAAAAGTTAAGTGGTTTCCCAAGGAGGACTCTGCTCCTGGCCTGTTTGCTCCAGCTTGGTCTAGCCCTATGATTGTTGTCTTTGACTCCCTCCTTGACTTGCAGTATTGATCTACATTGGTCTGTGCTTGTTTCTGACATCATCATACTTTATGAACTAGCATGGTTTCGATTCCAGTTTCCCTGGACCAGCCCAGTCCTGCAGCAACCGGTAGTAACCCAGCTCTGAGAAGTAAAATTGCAAAAGCCTCAAAGAAACTTCCTTTCTTTTGCCGTGACTTGAAATTTGTAAATGGCTTTCCTGAACTTAGAGAATCCTGAGTCAGAACCCAGAAATTTGGAATAAGTTAGTCAAGTGCCCTAATCACAGCCAGATGCCCTTCTAATCACTAATTCCCAAGACCAAATGAGGGTCAAACACTTTCTTGCACCACCCCTGGCATTCTACTGTAGGCATCCTCCTCCTTGTCTTACACTAGCAGAGATTTGGGAAGGGGAGGCTATCAGGGTTCTAATTTTGGCCTTTATCTTCGAAATTAAAAGGCTTCCAAGGCATGAAATTGGTGATGAAAAGAGCTAAACCAGATGACACAACGACTCTTAAAGAATGTGTTAGTGTCTTGGAGTCAAGACCTAAGTTTAAGTGTTCATTCTCTTCTGCCTCTTATTTTGTGGCTTTGAGAAGTCATTACCCTTACAGGCCCTCATTTTTTATGTCTGTAGGATGGGAATGGGGGCTGAATTCCTCAGGTTATGATGGTGGTGGCAAGATGGTCCTGCTGGTACTAGTAGTGGCAACATGTGTTTGCAGGAAAAGGCAGGGCAGACATGCTGAAAGGTTTAATTGGATCAATTAGTCCAACACTCAATATTTATATAGACGATTTTCCAGAAGACAGCAGTAATTACGTCTTTAGAAGATTAATATACAACTCTGTGTAATGGTGAGACTTTAAATACTGTGACCGGTTCTGTCTTGCTCTGCCCTTCCTCCATCCAGATATCCTCCAAGCCAGATAAATCAGTTCTTAATAGCCTCAAATCTAGTCTTGCAGGTTAAGGCTAATGTGGAGATAGAGTTATTTAGAGTTCCTTAACAACATCTGTCTTAGTCTGTTCTTGCTGTTATGACAAAATACCTGAGACTGAGTTACTTATAAACAATAGTAATTTATATTTTCATAGTTCTGAGGCTGGGAAGTCTAGGATCAAGGCACTGGCAGATTCAGTGTCTGGTGAGGAACTGCTCTATCGATGGCATCCTCTCTTGGTGCCATTCTCACCTGGCAAAAGTGATGGAAGAGCAAAAAGGCAAAAGGCAAAAGGGCAAAAGGCATGTGGGCACTCCCTTCAATTTCTTTTGTAAGTGCACTGATCTGTTCATGAGGCTCCACCCTCAAGAATGGATTAGTGCTCTTATAAAATAGACTTAATCACTTCCCCAAAGGCCCAGTCTCTTAATGTGGTTGCATTGGCAATTAGGTTTCAACATGTGAATTTTGAGGGACACATTTAAACCACAGCAATATCACAAAGAATTCATTAGTTTTAAAACTTAAATATTATTTTTGATAATACATGATTATTGCAGAAAATATGGAAAACAGACTATTATTAAAAAGTTAAAAATCCCTCATGTTCACTATACGGAGATAATCATAGTTGGCACTCATGACTCCTTCCAGATGTATCTTCTCACCCTGAATTATGCTCATTGTACAAAAACATACAATGCCAATATATCAACCATAAAAACATACTTTTACAAAATTAGAATACTAAATTTATATTGTTTTTTTCATATATTGTGACTATTTCCTTTATCTATAATGACAGACACAAGGCCTTTCCAAAGTATAAAAGGATACTTTGAAATATAAAAATAGATGAAAAAGCATGAACAATATAAAATGATGAATAAGCAAAGGAATTCTTACCATTTCACATGAGGAATCATTAGTTTTCACCGATTGCAAACTTCTAGAATACCCAAATATAGAAAAGTATGAAACAGAACAAAAAATAAACCTTAGGAGTAAAATATGTGATTAAATTAGTTACTAAGCAGAATTTTATTCTAGGTCCTTCACAGCAATTTTAAATGGACCAGGATAAAATAGATTTGGTAATGTTGTTTCAGAATTATTCTACCTTAGTGATGTTTCCCTCTCCTAGGTCCAGCAGGATAGTCTGGACAGGGATAGAATCTGAATATTTTATTTCTGGCAAAATCTTTATGTCTTTGCTCGTTGTTTTCCTATCTATGTCATGACAACTCTTGTAAACATTCCATTTTTTTCTGTTCAAGGCAGAAATCATAGGCCAGTCCTATCAAAGGTTCTCAGTCAATACTATTCTGCATTATAGCATTATCTTCCAAGGAGCATGCTTTCAATATATTGACTTTTTACATTTACTATTTTTAACTACTATGGACAAATTTTATATTATGTAAGACTGTCTCAGGCATGATATTCGTTGATTCTTAGTCACTTTGGGGAAATTTATTATAACCATTTTATTTTGCATAGTTTTGCATAGTTTCAGTGGTTTCTCTCTCACACACACACACACACACACACACTCACTGTGGTGGCAGATTACATTGAGATTGAAATGGCATCATTCATCTGGGGTAATATCTGAGGTTTGTTGTCTCACAGCCACGGAAAACTAGGACGTGGACACACAAAGAGTAAGGTTCAGAGTGGAAATTTAATAGGCCAAAGAAAGAGAAGTGCTCTCTGCTGCAGAGATGGGTCCCAAAAAATGGGTTGTCAGTCCCACAGTGAAATGTAGGGGGTTTTATAGATGAGCTTGAGGAGGTGGTGTCTGATTTATATAGGGCACAAAAGATTGGTCAGACCTGGTGTGCCATTTTCACAGGGCACAAAAAACTGGTTGAGGCTGCCTGGCTGGTGTCATGTCGCCTGTTTCTTTATTGTACACGTGGTAACAAAGAAAAGGGAAGATAGAGCCTCCATGTTGGACAGGCCTGGCCCCCAGGTAGCCCTTTTCTCTGGGCATAGCTGTTGGCATTCCCCCATGCAAGCTTCCAGCTTGCTTGTCTATATTTGTAGTTTGATTTTTCAGGTTGCCCTTTGTTGGAAAAAAATAATTTCTTGGGCTGCTTTTTGTTAAAGGGGAAGCTCTGCTGAGGACTCTTTTACCCTCACTATCTGCTTAAATAATTTCTTTCTACCTCCTGTATCAATATTGATGTGTAGAGGACAGAACACAGGACTCAGAATAACATCTTATTCCGAAAATCTTCCTCAAGCAATCTTGAATAAGTCACTTAAACTCTGAGCATACATTTTCTATTATATAATTATGATAATTCTTATTTTGCTCTTGGTTGTGAGAATAAAATGTGCTGATGGAGATGAGATGCTTAGCATAGTGCTTGATTGATATGATAAGCACTTTATGAATTATTAGAATCTAGAGGATGAGATTTCCAAATTAAGGTATACCTGTGTCAATACCCTACCAAAGCATCTAAATAAAAATATTTGCAAAATTTACTTAAATTTTAATCTAAATATTGGGGGCAACAGACAGGCAACCAATATACTCTATTTTTTTTTTGTACATTCTTAGAACCAATCAGGGATAAAATTGAGGACTGTAGTGTAATTCTGCAATGGGTTAATCTTGCCCACTTCCCAGAAAAGCCAGTGCATTGAGAACAGCAGATTTTTTTCAGTAGAGGAAGTTTAATTAACATAGAGCTAGCCAAATGAAAGGACAGGAGTTTGTTACTCAAATCAGCCTCCCTGAGAACTCAGAGGCTGGGGATTTATGAATAATCTGGTGGGCAGGGGGCTAGGGAATGGGTGCTGCTGATTGGTTAGAGATGAAATCATAGAGGTGTGGAAAACAGTCCTCATGTCTTGAGCCCCTCTGGATAGGGGCCACAGGACCAGTTGAGTCATGAGTCATTCCTAGAGGTGTCAGTCAGTTGCCAGAATGCAAAAGTCTGAAAAAATAAAACATCTCAAAAGGCCAATTTTAGGCTTTACAGTAGCGATGCTATCTACAGCAGCAATTGGGCAAGTCACAAATCTTGTGACCTCTGGCCACGTGACTCCCGAGCTGTGAGGGATTATAAAAACTATGCCTATATCTTAACAGAACTCAGGTCCCCTCCTGTAGTTCTAATCTCATGGCCTTTAATTAGTTTTACAAATGTTGTTTTGGTCCCTGAGCAAGAAGGGGACCACTTTTTAGGGAGGGACAATTATCATCCTTACTTCAAAGTTAAACAGTAAACAAAATTCCTGCCATGGTTAGCTTGGCCCACACTCAGGAATGAGCCAGGACAGCCAGCTTGTGAGGCTAGAAGCAAGATGGAGTCAGCCATGCTAGATTTCTGTCTCTGTCATAATCTTTGCAAGAGTGGTTTCAACTGGCTTCAGAGAACCTGGTGAGGAGACTGTATTAGTCTTTTACTGCTGTATAAAAAATTTCTACAAATTTAATGGCTTAAATAGCACTCATATTATTAGCTCATATTTCTGTCGGTCAGAAATTCAGGTCCTGCTTTACTGGAAGCCCTGCTGTAGGGTCTCTCTGGGTTGAAATTAAAGTGTTGGCTGGAATTATGTTTTTGGTTTTTTTTTCCAAGGAATTTTATTTTATTTTTCATCTTTTATTTTAGTTTCCGGGGGCACATGTGTAAGTTTGCTACATGGATAAATTGTGTGTTGCTGAGGTTTGGTGTACAATTGATTTTGTCGCTCAGGTAATGAGCATAGTACCCAATAGGTAGTTTTTCAATCCTTACCCACCTTCCACCCTCAAGTAAGCCCCAGGATCTATTGTTCCCCTCTTTGTGTCTACTCAATATTTACCTCCCACTTATAAGTGAGAACATGTAGTATTTGGTTTTCTGTTCCTGTGTTAATTTGCTTAGGATAATGGCCTCCAGCTGCATCCATGTTGCAGCAAAGAACATAATTGCATTCTGTTTTTATGGCTGCATAGTATCCCATGGTGTATATGTACCATATTTTCTTTATCCAGTCCACCGTTGGTGGGCATCTAGGTTGATCTCATATATTTGCTATTGTGAAAAGTGCTGTGATGAACATATGTGTGCATGTGTCTTTATGGTAGAACGATTTTTATTCCTTTGGTTATATACCTAGCAACGGGATTTCTAAGCTGAATGGTAGTCTGTCGTAAGTTCTTTGAGAAATCTCTAAACTGCTCCCATGGCAGCTGAACTAATTTATATTCCCACTAGCAGTGCATGAGTGTTCCCTTTGCTTCACAACCTTGCCAATATCTGCTATTTTTTTTTTCACTTATTAGTAATATTGGCTGGGAATTTGATTCTTATTTGGGACTTGTGGTCCTCTTCCAATCTCACTGATTATTGGAAGAATTTATTTCCTGAGTTGTGAGACCAAGGTCCCCATTTTTTGATAGCTGTTGGACAGAAATTGCTCTGAGCTTTTAGAAGCCACCCTCAATTCCCTGTAACTTGGCTCTCATGGGCAAGTTACAGCATAAATACTTGCTTTATTCCAGGCCAGACTGAGTGTTTCTTTCTTACTTCCTCTTCTGCCACCAGCTGGAGAAGTTTCTCTGCTTTTAAAAGGCAAGTGTGATTAAGCCATGCCACATTGATAATCCTATTTTAAGGTCAATTGATTTGGACATTTGACTACATCTGCAAAATTCCTTCACAGCAGTACCTAGATTTGTGCTTGACTGAATAACTGAGAGAAGGTGTCTGCAAACCAGGAGCCAGAAATCTTGGGGTCATCTTAGAATTCTGTTTACTGTAGAAGCATAATCTTAGTCTTTTTTTTTTTCATGTGTTCTACTGTTTATCTCTGGGTAAATTTAGAGAAATTATTTTTTTCCTTGGGTATTAGTCAGGGCTCTTTTAGATACAAGTGGCAAAAGAATTTTACCTCAAGAAAGCAAGGGAATTTTTGGACATTCATAGATTGGAAATCTAGACATGTCATTCTGTTATGAACATGACAGTATCCAGTGGTTCACACAGTGTCTTCAGGGCTTTGCTCTTGCCTTTTCTTTGCATTTGGCTTTTGTCAAACGCATCTTGCAGATGCATTCTTCCATGGGGCTAGGGAAGATGGTAGCTGGCAGCTAGAATTCACATTCCCAAAGGGAGAGAAACCTTCTCTCTCAGCAGGACTAATATAGCAAATTATAGGGAAGCTCTAGATTGGCCCAGTATGGAATAGATGCCCATTCCTGATCCAGTATCTCTGCCCTGGGGCTAAAATACTCTGATTGGCCAGCCTGGGTCATTGCATAGCCAGAGTTATGATTGGAGAGTGGGGCATAGTGGTAGAATTCTCAAAACCAGATGGAGGGGTGGTGAGTTTCCCAAAGGCAAAGCAGAATGCTGTAATCTTGGAACTCAAATTGGGTACTTGTTGTGAGGAGATTATCAGGGTGAGAACCATCAATATGATAGTGGCCTTTCTGAAGTAGAAATTATTACCATTCCTACAAATGATGGATCCATCGTGGTTGGAATAGTCTTGGAAATTATAAACATAACTGGTAGGTCTAGAGTTGGCAAATGTATGACTATAAAATAAACTGTCATTAACTATTAATGCCCAAATTATAATGGCTAATGCAGCCATCCTTAATTTCTGCTCCTCAGTGCTCCTGCCCTCTCTCCTCTGTAAACTATTTCCCCAGTTACTTTTGTAATGGTGGTGGGTAGAAGTGGTTCCAATCATCTATATTTCATGTTTTCATGCAAAGGGTACCTTATGGCATATTCTTCCTCTCCACGTCTGTCTCTCTGGTTGATATCCATGTCCATGAGCTCCCTAAAGGGGAGCTGTCCCTATGGGACATCCGCTTGTGAGACCACCAGCATCCATATCACAGGGGCTGTGTCGCAATGTACCTGTATCACCAGTTCCCAGGATACTAGAGCAATGCTGGCTCTGTGCAGCTGTAGCAAAATGACCCTGTTCAACTGGACCCCAAACCACCCTTCCCTTGACTGTGCTGAGAGAGTTACAAGTGCAAAGAGTTGGCTTCAAATCAAAATTTTCTTCCTTTGATTGATCATGTTTCCAAAAATGATTTTCTGTAAACTTCAAATATGTGATAACAGCATGCCAGGAGTTTTGCGATCTGGCCCCTGTCTACCTCTCTGGCATCACCCCTTGACATCTGCTCCCTTCTTCTCCGTTTTCATATAATTCACCTCCTGTCATTCTGAACTACCTTGATATCTCTCCCTCTCTGCGCTTTTTCCTATCGTGATCCTTTTCCCTTAGCTTACCTCCTCTCCTTTCCATCCTCAGTTGCCTTGCTAAATATGCGAAATTCAAGATTCACGTCAAGCATTATACGTTCCTGCAAGACCTCACCAACATCCACCTTCTCTTACCCTTTCCCCTCCACATCCTACCAGATTTTGTGCATTTTTTAAAATGCTTTCAGAGGTAAGACAGGATATTGCAATGGTGGAAAAATACAGGCTTTGTAGCTAGACTGCCTGAATTGAAATCCTAGTTCTGCCATTTATTATAGGTATGACTATGAAAAGTTACTTCTTACTTACCTGTGTTTCCTTATTTGTAAAATGAGGACAGGAACAGTACCTACCCCACTTGATTTCTTTTATATGCATTATTTTACATTTTGTTGCTCAATTTTCCCCAAATTTGAGCAGTAGGCAGGCTCCCTGTGTCTTTGAAATATGCCCATCAGCTTTTTAAAACAGTTTTATTGAGATATAACTTACATGTAATGCAATGTATCCATCAGCATTTCATTTCTTTTTATTGCCAAATAATATTCTATTACATGAATGTACCACCTTTTGTTTGTCTGTTCATCAGTTGATGAACATGTACATTGTTTCCACTTTGGGGATATTGTGAATAATGCTTCTGTGAACATCAATGCACAAGTTTCTTTTTTTCTTTTTTTTTTTTTTGAGACGGAGTCTCGCTCTGTCTCCCAGGCTGGAGTGCAGTGGCACAATCTCGGCTCACTGCAAGCTCTGCCTCCCGGGTTCACGCCATTCTCCTGCCTCAGCTTCCTGAGTAGCTGGGACTGCAGGCACCCGCCACCATGCCCGGCTAATTTTTTTTTTGTATGTTTTAGTAGAGATGGGATTTCACCGTGTTAGCCAGTAGGGTCTCCATCTCTTGACCTCATGATCCGCCCGCCTTGGCCTCCCAAAGTGCTGGGATTACAGGTGTGAGCCACCGCGCCAGGCCCAATGTACAAGTTTCTATGTGGGCATATGTTTTCATTTTTCTTATGTGTATATCTACAAATGGAATTTTTGAATCATGTGGTAACCGTTTGACATTTGAAGGAGCTGCACCCAAACAGCTTTCCAGAGCAGCAGCACCATTCCGTAATCCCACCAACAGTCTGTTAGGGATCTGATTTCTCCCATCCTTGCCAACTCTTGTAAGTATCTGTCTTTTTGGTTTTAACTATGATAGTGGGTGTGAAATGGTATCTTGTGGTTTTTATTTGCATTTTCCTAATGATAAATAATGTGGAACATTTTTTCAGGTGCTTATTGGGTGTTTTCTATAGCATCTTTGGAGAAATGTCTATTCAAATCCTTTGCCTATTTCTTAATTGGGTTACTGTCCTTTTTGTTTTGAATTGTAAGTGTTCTTTATATTTTTGGATGCAAATTCCTTATCAGATATGTAATTTGTAAATATTTTCTCTCACGATGTGGTTTTCACTTTATTAATAGTGCCCTTGGATGCACATTTTTAATTTTTATGAAGTCCAATTTGTCTATTTTTTTCCTTTAGTAACTTGTACTTTTGGTATCATATCTAGGAAGGCTTTGTCTAATCCAAGATTATGAAGATTTATTACTAAGATTTATTCTAAGAGTTTTAGAATTTTAGCTCTTACATTTAGATTTATGATCCACTGTAATTTTTATGTATGTTGTGAGGAAACAACTTCATTATTTTGTATGTGGATATCTAATTGTCCCAGAATCACCTTTGAAATTCATTTTTTTTGTGAGAATAACAATATTAACACATTTAAAGCACTTAGAATAACACATGAGGATGCATAGCAACACTGCGTATATATTAGTTATTATTTTATCATTTATTACACTAAGTTGTCATTATATGTCTACTTGTCTTTCTTCCTCAAGAACTATTTTAATCTTTGTACCTATGTGCTTGGTCTAATGTCTGTCAGATAGTGTTATATATGGTAAGTGGGTTTTGTTGAATGAATGGGTGATGAATAGGCCTTCTTTGCTGAGGCAAGGAGAAGTAAGCATAGGAAAGATGCCAATCTTAATGCTGATATGCTACTGTGCTAAATTTGGGTTGCAACCCAAGGATCTCTCAAACATTAGAACATGTTAATGGTGTCTAATTTCCCCAGTGAGCATAGCACACAACTCCTGGGTGCAGATCATCCTGGAGATATAGAATTTTTTCAGTGTGTTTTTCATTCCAGTGTTTCCATGCTTACCTTTTTATTTCCTCTTCCCCTTGTCCCTGAGTATGAGCTCAGGGAATGGAATTACTCTCTAATATCAGTCTCAGCCAAATCTCCTTTGCAGGGAGGGTCTCTTGGCTTTCAACCCCCCCAAAAGTTGAAGGTGCAAGACTTGCTCTCAGCCTTTTTGCAGTCTCCATCTATATTCTTTCCCTAGATGATCTCATCTAGTTTAATGGCTTTAAATACCATGTAAGTATAGATGACTCCCAAACCTGTTCCTCCAGCTTTAACTCTTCACCGGAATCCAGATTTACATTTCAGTTGTCTACTTCATGTCTCAACTTAGAAATCTGATAGACATCTCAAACTTAATATGACCAAAACAGATTTCCCCCTATCAATATATTCCTCTCTCAGTCTTCCTCACCTCAGTAAATGGCTCCATAAAATTCTTCAGTTTACTGAAATTAAAAAGGTAGAATCTGTCCTTGATTCCTCTTTCTCTCACCTCTCTTTATCATGCAAATTCTATTGAATTCACTTTCAAAATATGTCAGCATCTTATCACTTTTTACAACCTCTAGTGTTTCCACCTGAGGACAAGCTACCATCTACTTGTACATGGTCTAATGCAGGAGACTCTACTGTTCTCTTTCACCTTTACCTCTCCCCGGTTCTATTCTCTATATAGACAATAGAAGATCTGTTTAAAACCATAAATTAGATCCTGTTACTCCCTTGTAGTGGCTCATGCGTGTAATCCCAGCACTTTGGGAGACTGAGGTGAGCGGATCATGAAGTCAGGAGTTCGAGACCAGTCTGGCCAACATAGTGAAACCCCATCTCTACTAAAAATACAAAAAAATTAGCCGGGTGTGGTGGTGTGTACCTGTAATCCCAGCTACTTGGGAGGCTGAGGCAGGAGAATTGCGTGAACCTGGGAGGTGGAGGTTGCAGTGAGCCGAGATCATGCCATTACACTCCAGCCCGGGTGACAGTGTGAAACTCTGTTTCAAACAAAATAAAACTAAACAAAACACCCCAAAAACAACAACAAAAAACCCTCCAGTACTTTCCATTACACTAGAATAATATCCAAGTTTCTTTCTTTTTTTTTTCTTTTTTTTGAGACAGAGTGTTACTCTGTCACCCATGCCAGAGTGCAGCAGTGCGATCTCGGCTCACTGCAACCTCCACCTCCCAGGTTCAAGCAATTAATTCTCTGCTTCAGCCTCCCGAGTAGCTGGGCCCGCCACCACGCCCGGCTAATTTTTTTTTTATTTTTTTTTAATTTTTTTTATTTTTAGTAGAGATGGGGTTTCACCATCTTGGCCAGGCTAGTTTTGAACTCCTGACCTCGTGATCCACCTGCCTTGGCCTCCCAAAGTGCTGGGATTACAGGCGTGAGCCACCATGCCCAGCTCAGAATATCCAAATTTCTTACCATGACCAACATGACTTTGTTGATCTTTCCCTTTAAGTAACAGGTGGTAAAAGTTGAGATTTTTTTTAACTAGGTACAGCTATTTAATGATACGAGATTTCCAAGTGAGCTGCCAGTTCACTATATTCAGATTTTCAAAGGAAATGGACATAAACCTGTTATATAACTTTTGAAACTCTTTGATAAAATGAAAGAGTTTAGACAGTTGAGGAAAGAGAATTTTATGAGAGTAAATATTTAGAAAAATTCATGCTGTGAGTCCCATCTGATATTCCATTGAGAAGGATGAGAAATTTCTTTACCCTCACCTCAGGAGCTTCCATGAGGCCACTCACAAAGCTCACCATGCTATTTCTTTAGTTGAGAGGCATAGTAAACTGGGGTCTTGCTTCTTCCTGGCAGATGTAGAGGATGAAAGGCAGACTGACTAGCTAACTTTTGGGAAGAGGCAAAAGAATGTGGCTACATCAGGACTGTTGGAGCAAGGCTAGGAGACCAGCTGTGGGCCATCAGAGGGTGCTATGATCTGAGTATCCACCCAAATTCATGTACTGAAACTTAATCATCAATGTGATAGTACTAAGAGATGGGGCATTTAGGAGTTGATTAGGTCACAAGGGCTCCACCTTGTTAGGTGACATTAATCATGTATAAAAGGGCTGGAGAAAACTAGATAGAACCCTTTTTGCCCTTCTGCCTTCTACAATGTAAGTCTGCAGCAAAGAGCATCATCTTTGAAGCAGAGAGTAGCCCTCAACAGAAGCCAAATCTGTTGGCACCATAATCTTGGATTCCCCAGCCTCCAGAACTGTGAGAAAAATACATTTCTGTTCCTTATAAATTACCCAGTCTCAGATATTTTGTCATAGAAGCACAAATAGACAAAGGCAGGGAGACAGCATGTGTGTGAGGCTGTCTTGAGACTTGACTGATAGAAACGCCCAGTGAACTGTGAAAGCTCCAGCAGCCAAAATTTTGTGGCATATGCCTAGGGGCTGAGAAAGGAGTCACAAAGGATCACCCCAAATAGAGATGCTTTCTCTCTAATGAATAGAACTGCAGGAGAGAGTGCCCAGTAGGAAACATCCAGAGCTGTGAAAATTTCACATGAGGGAGAAAGTCAGCACTAAATAATTACCAGGCCCAGAAAGCACAAAGCCAGATTCTTTTTGTACTAGTCCAAGTGAGACCTTTCCTGCCCCTTTTCCAATCTCCTTATGCATCAGCCAATCTCAGAGTGGTTGAAGCTACTGTTATCTTGTTATTTTGTATTCATAAACTGGACCGGAATCTCTAATTTCTGATTTGAGGCTGTTTTGTTACTTGAAGTGATCTTGTGGCTTGAAGTAATCTTGTAACAATCTACTTGATAAGAGTGAAAAAAGGTCACCCATCCTGCTGGAATTCTTATTCTTTAGCCTGAGCAGTTTCCCCTGTGAATAAAGTTTGAAGGAATGGTGGAAGAGAATGAATAAAATTATGATTTGATAATATTTTCAGGGAAATACATACAAGGCAAAGGATCTAATTGCTTGGGCTCCTCAACCCACATGTCACCTCCTGAGAAAGCTGCTTTCAGCCCTCAGGTGTATGGGGGCAACATTTTCTTCTCCAGCCAGTCTCCAGAAATCTAACCCTTCTATTGTCTTCATAGAATTGATTATTATCTGAAAGTATCTTGCTTTTGTTGTTGCTTATTGTCACTTACCTTCTATCGGACTGCAAGTTCCATGAAAGCTGGGATCCTGTCTGCCTAGTAACTAGAATAGAGTCCAGCAAATATAAATGCTCAATAAATATTTTATGAATGAATGAATGAGTGAATGAATGAAAACAGTAAAAGAAACATACACCTGAAGTGAGAAAAATGCATATACACTCAACGTCAATGAGATCTCTCTTTTTTATTTTTACTATGTATTATTAATTTTAATACGACTATACGTTTCTGCTGTGGTAGTAACAACTTTCACATTATTTGTATGACTAGTTTTCTCAGTTGACTCTTATAACAAAGGCACAGTTCAAAAGGATACACTAACCTTAAAATAGTTTTAAACAAATATGGAGAAAGAATATATTTGAAGTATTAAATAGAAAACATTTAAATATGGATCAACTTGAATGTATTTTTATTCAAGAAAATATTTTTAGAGCAAGATGGTCAACCGGGAGTCCCAACTTTTGTCTCCCCATGAAACGACAATTTAACAACTATCCACTGATGAAAATAGGAGGGCTCTGGAATACTATGAAGAAAATGCAGCAACCCAATGGAGCATAAAAGACTAGGATGGCTACATAGAAAAGCACAGGAATCATTTTACCTTGTCAGTCCTTCCCACTGTTTGGCACGGCTCAGTGCCAAAAGGGATACATTTAGCTGCAATCTTTCCCCATTGGGGTAAAGGAGGGAAGGAGGATCTCAACAACCTTCAACACTGAGGACTCCAGCAGCCTTTGTTGTAACCACAGACACCTGCAGCTTTTCCCACTAAGGACCGTTGCAGTTTTTGCCAATGATGATTCCAGCTGATGGAGCTATCCGGAGTCCATACCATGTGATACTCCTCTCTCACACTGGGCCCAAATTTACCATACTACCTTGAAGTTGGAGCTACCATTTCTTCTACCCCAATGTGGGAGCCGCTGCATGCCACCCTGCCAGCACCCTCAAACCCACCCATATATAAAGTTCTTTCTCCACCAAAGCCAGTTTTTAGAGTTTAGAAAAGGTTACTGCTCCTTCAAGTGTGCAGTCATCAACCTGAGGCTAAAAGGAACATAAAAAACCAAGGAAACATGACATCACAAAAGAAACACAATAAATTTCCAGTAACCAACCTCAAATAATTGGATATATACAACCTACCTGACAGAGAATTCAAAATAATTATTTGAAAGAAGCTCAGTGAGCCACAAGATAACACAGACAATGCAACAATATCAGGAAAATAACACATAAACAAGTTCAAAAAAGATCCAGGAATCATAAAAAAGAACCATACAAGAATTCTAGAGCTGAAGAATATAATTAATGAAATGAAAAATGCAATGGACAGCCTCAACAGCAGACGTAATTGTGGGAAAGAGAGTTTCTGGGGTGCCAGTTGAATTGGTCTCCCCTGTGTGAGACACCCATGGGCTGCCCGAGAAAAGTCTCCTTATTGCCTTCATGTCTTTATGCCCCGAGAGCATAACGCTCAGCGGCATTCCACAGGTTGCTCAGGGAGATAACACTCCCTTGAAGCAGTGGAGTATAATCAAACAGCTTGGCTCCTCCTGAAACCTGCTCCCACCAGTTTCAGTCCTGATAAGTTAAAGATCTTAAGTAGTTTAGACACACACCTTTGCTCAAGGAAATTCACAGAAGCCGCCACTGCTATACATCTTATCGAATGACTCACAAGTTCTCCTTCACTGATTCATCCTTTTCCTCATCCCTTCCTCCCCCTCCCATCTACCCTAAGAACAAAGAGCTTGTAAACCAATAAATTGGGTGGAGCCCGAGAGCTCTGGGCCGTGAGCAAGCCTCCAACGCTCCAGTCCCCTGGACCCACCTTTAAAACGCTTATTCTGTCTCTTTCTAACTCCTTTGTCTCTGCCGGACTCGGAGTACCCGCTGGGTAGTGTGGGGCTGGTTTCCCCAACACTTAATCAAGCAGAAATCTGCAAACTGGAAGACAGATCATTTGAAATTATCCAATCATAGAAGAAAATAGAAAAAAGGAATGAAAAAGAGTAAAGAAAACCTATGAGATTTATGGAACACCATCAGGTAAACAAATATATACACAATGGTAGTCTTGGTAGGAAAATAGAGAGAAAGAGAGAGGTGACAGAAAACATATTTAAGTAAATAATGGCTGAAAACACCCCAAATCTTGGGAGGGAAATAGACATCTGGATTCACAAAACTTGAAGAACACTAAAAAATTTCCACCCAGAGAAGACTACATGAAGACAAATTATAATCAAATTGTTAAAAGTCAAGGACAAAGAGAATTTTGAAAGAAGCAAGAGAAAAGCTATCATACTTAACAGTACACCCATAAAACTATCAACAATTTTCTTAGCAAAGGTCTTGCAAGCCAGAAGAGAGTTGGATGATATGTTCCATATATTGGAGAAAAATTCCAACTAAGAGTACTACATCCCACAAGACTATTTTGTTTTTTTTAAATGCAGAAGAGGTAAAGTCTTTCTCAGACAAATACAAACTGCGAAGGTTCATCACCACCAGATCTGCCTTACAATAAATGCTTAAAGGAGTTCTTCAAATTGAAATAAAAACCTGCTACACAGCAATGAAAAAATATATGAAAGCATAGATACCACCACTAAGGGCAAATATGTAGACAAATACAGAATAATGTAACACTGTAATAATGGTATAGAAATTACTTTTAATTCTAATATAATAGTTAAAAGATAAAAATTTGATAATGGATACACAATATAAAAAGAAGCAAACTGACTACAAAAGCACAAAGTGTGGGTGGGGGAAAGTAAAAATGTAGAATTTTAATATGCAATTGAAGTTAAGTTGTTAACATAAAATAGACAATTATATCTACAAGGTATTTTATGTAAACCTCGAGTTACCCACAAAGAAAAAAACCTATAAAAGATACACAAATATAAAGGGAACATAAAAATTGAAGAGTTAAAGGAAATCACTACAAAAATCATCAAATGACAAAGCAAGACAGCAAAAGAGGAAGAGAGGAACAAAACAACTGCAAAACAAATAACAATTATTGCTATATTTGATATTATTGCAAAAGGGTCCTCAGCTACCAATAATTACTTTAAATAAAAATGGATTAAACTACCCAATCGAAAGGCAAAGAGTGGCAAATAAATTAAAAACAACAAGATCCAGAGATATGCTGTCTGTAAGAGATCACTTTAAGACACACGTAAGATGAAACTGAAGGGATAGAAAAGATTTTCATGCAAATAGTAAACAAAAGAAATCAGGAGTAGTTATACCCAACAAAATAGAATTTAACTAAAAAACTGTCTCTAGAGACAAATAAGTCATTACATAATAATAAAAGGGCCAACTCAACAGGAAGATAAGACAATGATAAAAATATATGTGCCCAACTTGAGAATATATAAATATACAAAACAAATATTGACAGTTCAGACAATATTGACAGCAATATAATAATAGTAGGAGACTTCAATAACTGACTTAACATAATGAATAGAACATTCAGACAAAAATGAATAAGCAGTTTACCCGAACAACACTGCAGACTAAGTGGACCTTTTCACCCAATAGCAGCAGAACACCCATTCTTCTCAAGGGCACATGCAACATTCTCCAGGATAGATCCCGTCCTAGGTCACAAAATAAGCCTTAACACATTTAAGGAGATTGAAATTATTCCAACTATCTGGTCTGACCACAAAAATTAAACTAGAAGTCATTAACAGTAAGACAACAAAAACATTCAGAAATACATGGAAACTAAACACATTTTGAATAATCATTGAATCAAAGAATCAAAAGGTAATTTGAGAAGGATTTCAAGACAAATGAAAACAAAAACACTACATACCAGCACTTATAGGAATGCAGTACTAGAGGGAAATTTGTAGTGATAAATACATTAAAAGAAGAAAGATCTCAAATAAACAACCTAATTTTACACCTCAAGGAAGTAGGAAAAGAGCATAAAACATAAAACACTGATGAAAGAAATTGAAGAGGACACAAATAAATGGAAAGATATCTTATGTTCATGGAATGGAAAAATAAATATTGTCAAAATATCCAAATTATCCAAATCTACAGATTTCATGTAACTTCTATAAAAATTCCAATGTCACTCTTCACAGAAATAGAAAGAAAATCCTAAAATTCATGTGGAATCACAAAGGACCCTGAATAACTAAAGCCATCTTGACCAAAAAGAACACAGCTGTATGTATCACACTACTGTATTTCAAAATATATTACAAAATGATAGCAATCAAAACAGCATGGTTCTGGCAAAAAAACAGACACATTGACCAATGGAGTAGGATTGAAAGCCCGTGTATAAAACTACACTTCTGTGGTCAATTGATTTTTGACAAAGTGCCAAGAATACACAATGGGGAAAAGATAGTCTCCTCAATAAATGAGGTTGGGAAAACTGGGTATCCACATGCAGAAGAATGAAATTTCATCCTCTTCTTACACTACATGCAAAGTTAAATCAAAATAGATTAAATATTTAAATGCAAGACCTGAAATCATAAAACTCTTAGAAGGACACATAGGAAAAGAGCTTCTTGACACTGGTTTGGGTAATGACTTATAGAAAACTACACCTAAAGCACAGGCAAAAATTCAGCTAAATAAACATAGACAAATGGGATTGCATCAAAATAAAAAGCTGCAAAGCCAAGAAAACAACCAGCAGAATGGAAATTGGGAGAAAATATTTGTAAACAACATATCTAATAGGTGTTAATTTCCAAAATATATAAGGAACTTTGGCTGGGTGCCCTGGCTCACGCCTGTAATCTTGACATTTTGGGAGGCCAAGGCAGAAAGATTGCATGAGCCCAGTAGTTTGAGACTAGCCTGAGCAACATAGTGAGACTCTGTCTGTACAAAAAATAAAAAAAATTAACCGGGTGTGGCAGTGCATGCCTTTAGTCCCAGATACCTGGAAGGCTGAGGTGGGGAAGATTGGATCATCCTTCCTACCTTGAGGCTCCAGTGAGCTGTAATGGTGCCACTGCGCTCCAGCCTGGGTGGCAGAGTGAGACCCCGTCTGAAATAAATAAATACAAATAATAAAAATACAAGGAACTTATTCAACTGTAGTGCAGAAATAAACAAAAAACATAAATAACCTGATTTTAAAATGGGCAAAGGACCTGAATAACATCTCTCAAAAGAAGACAAAAATCGTTCATGAAAATATGTTTAATATCACAAATCACCTGAGAAATGCAAATCAAAACCACAATGAGGTATCATCTTACATGTGTTAGAATGGCTGTTACCAAAAAGATGAAGGATAACAAGTGTTGGCAAAAATACAGAGAAAAGCAGCTCTTTCAGTCTGTTGACAGGAATATAAATTATGGAAAACACTATAAAGATTTCTCAGAAAATTAAAAACAGACCTACCTTATCCAGTAATTCCACTTTTAGGTGTATATGCAAAGGAAATGAAACTAGTATTTTGAAGAGATATCTGCACTCCCATGTTCATTGAAAATTATTCACAATAGCCAAGACATGGAAACAATCTAAAAGCCCATTAACAGATGAATGAACAAAGAAAATGTGGTGTGCATACACAATGGAATATGATTCAGTCTTAGAAAAGGCGATTCTGCCATTTGCAACAACGTAGATGGAACTGGAGGACATTATGCTATGTGAAATGCTCCAGAGACAGAAATACATATATTGTACGATCTCACTTACATGTGGAATCTGAAAAAACAAACCCACAGAAGTAGAGAGTAGATTGGTGGTTGCCAGGGTTCTGGAAGGGGAAATGGGGAGATATTGGTCAAGGGGTATGAAGTTTCAGTTATGCTAAGTGAACATGCTTTGGAAACCTAAGGTATGGTAGTATGAGTATAGTAAACAATACTGCACTGTATACTTGAACTTTCATGAGAGGGTAGATCTTAAGTGTTCTCACTACACATGAAGAAATTGAAAACAGGAATTATGTGAGGTGATAGATATATTTTAAAAGAAAATATTTTTACTTTCAACATGGTCTCATAGGGACTTCTTTTTGATGTTGGTGTTAGACAGGACTCACATATGCCTCGGGTATCTCAGGGTGGCAGACAGACTGTAAAGTGGCCCTGCCTGTCCCTCAACCCTGGTGTTGGGCCTTTGTGTAACCTCCTTCTTTTGAGTGTTGTTGGTGACAGTGACTTGCTTCTAGCCAATAGACTATGGCAAAGGTGATAGGCTGTCACTCCAATGATTGTGTTATGTTATTTAAGACCCCATCTTGTTAGCAGACTCCCTTTAGAGACTGCTGACTTGACGTGAGTGGCCATGCTGAAACAGCTTACCTGGCAGAGACTGTGAGAGGCCTCTAGGACCAGAGAGCAGTCTCCCACCAACACCCAGGAAGAAACAGGGGCTCTCAGTCCTGCTTCGGAAGGCCCCTCAACCACATGATAATGAATTCTCTCACTGGAAATACAAAACCCGTTTACACCATTATCATTTACATCTCAGGATTCATGGAGGATCTAAGTAGAGATCTGGATGGAGAGGTAGACGAAGTGTTTGATTTTGAAGCGATTTGTGGGCAAAGGCAGTAAGGTAAGCATGGATGTGTAACAGGGAAGTACTGAGACAGAATTCTTTGATGTCACTATTTTTCCTGTGTATCTCCTATACTTGTCTCTATATTTAAAGTCTTAAGAATGTTCTGATGGGAAGAGGAGTGTTCATACGGCCTGAGGATGGAACTCAGTCACAGAGACCCAGAAAAATCATAGACATTGATACTAACCATGGCAGCATGCAGGAAAACTGGACAAGGCAAATTAGGGTAATTTGCAGGCCTAGTGGTAACTGACACTAGGATAAATTTGCATCCTGTCTGAGCCAAGAGCACACCTCTCCTCTTTAGCCTGAGCATCCTCCTCTCTAAGTGAGCTCTGGTTCAGATGCAGAGCCTGACCACTCTTTAGCACTCCTAGGAAAGATTAAAAACAGGACTGTGGCTAGGGGCAGGGAGGAGGCCAGGGACCAAGGCACTCAAGTGGGGACTGCAGGAGGGGTCAGAATGCAAGCAGCACTGACGGCCTTCTTCGTGTTGCTCTTTAGCCTGCTGAGTCTTCTGGGGATTGCAGCGAATGGCTTCATTGTGCTGGTGCTGGGCAGGGAGTGGCTGCGATATGGCAGGTTGCTGCCCTTGGATATGATCCTCATTAGCTTGGGTGCCTCCCGCTTCTGCCTGCAGTTGGTTGGGACGGTGCACAACTTCTACTACTCTGCCCAGAAGGTCGAGTACTCTGGGGGTCTCGGCCGACAGTTCTTCCATCTACACTGGCACTTCCTGAACTCAGCCACCTTCTGGTTTTGCAGCTGGCTCAGTGTCCTGTTCTGTGTGAAGATTGCTAACATCACACACTCCACCTTCCTGTGGCTGAAGTGGAGGTTCCCAGGGTGGGTGCCCTGGCTCCTGTTGGGCTCTGTCCTGATCTCCTTCATCATAACCCTGCTGTTTTTTTGGGTGAACTACCCTGTATATCAAGAATTTTTAATTAGAAAATTTTCTGGGAACATGACCTACAAGTG
This sequence comes from Homo sapiens, assembly GCF_000001405.40. Taxonomy (NCBI): domain Eukaryota; kingdom Metazoa; phylum Chordata; class Mammalia; order Primates; family Hominidae; genus Homo; species Homo sapiens. The sequence continues at coordinate 97,752 of NW_018654714.1, forward strand.
GAATACAAGGATAGAAACATACTATTTCCCATCCCTGAAACTGGTCATCTGGTCAATTCCTTTTTCTGTTTTTCTGGTCTCAATTATGCTGTTAATTAATTCTCTGAGGAGGCATACTCAGAGAATGCAGCACAACGGGCACAGCCTGCAGGACCCCAGCACCCAGGCTCACACCAGAGCTCTGAAGTCCCTCATCTCCTTCCTCATTCTTTATGCTCTGTCCTTTCTGTCCCTGATCATTGATGCCGCAAAATTTATCTCCATGCAGAACGACTTTTACTGGCCATGGCAAATTGCAGTCTACCTGTGCATATCTGTCCATCCCTTCATCCTCATCTTCAGCAACCTCAAGCTTCGAAGCGTGTTCTCGCAGCTCCTGTTGTTGGCAAGGGGCTTCTGGGTGGCCTAGATGGCATGGTTTCCTTATCTAGACCCCCGGAAAAGAAAGGTGAGGATGGCAGAGCTGTGGCCCACTGACATGGAGGTGTTTTCATAGGTAGATGAATACTGGGTACTGTTATGGGGCTCCTCCTCTGGGAAGCGGAGGAGACAAGGAAATCTGGGAACTCTCTGAGCATGCTTCCCTTCTTTGGAATGTTATAAAGATGCAGTCCCATGGATCCCAGAGAGCCAGTATTGCCCAGAAGTTCAGAATATGTTAATATGATGTCGTGCTACTCCTTACGTTTGTACCCCTTTGTTATCTGGAAGGCTTCGATTAAAAGTGTTGATTAACTGTGCCATCGCATCTCCACTGCCTTTCAGAAAGTTAAGAGCAAATATTTGCCTCTATGGCTGAACTGAGATGTGGATAGTGAAGCGACAGCCTTCTTGAGGACAAATGTCATGGTTACTACGAGAGCCCCAAGGGACAGGCAGTTGTGGCAGGCAGTGGCCTGGGCTGTGAGTTCTGATTGCCCTTTACTGCATGAAGATACTTTGTCTCCACACAAACTTGGATAATCTGGTTTTAATTTTATTAAGTTTACTGGAAGGTTTCTTTACACCACCCAGTTTCTTTTCTCATTAACATTTCTGACTTCAATTTTCTCTTCTCTGAAGTCTGAGTAGTAGCCAGACTTTTTTCTTGTTTATCATTCCTTTAGAAAAAGACACATTGTGACTTTCTTGTCTTCCTCAAGCATATGTCACAGAGTCACATCTGCATTGAATAAACATGTACTTTTCAATCTGAAAAACAGACTCAGGAATTTCACTGGACTGGGAGTGGTGACGTCCGTAATCCCAACACTTTGGGAAGCTGAGTCAGGCAGACTGCTCGAGCTCAGGAGTTCAAGAGCAGCCTGGGCAAGATAGCGAGACCTCCTCTCCACTAAAAATTCAAAAAAATCAGCCAGGTGTGGTGGTGTGCACCTGTGGTCCCAGCTACTCGTGAGTCTGAGGTGGGAGGATCACTTGAGCTCAGGAGATAGAGGCTGCGGTGAGCTGTGATCACTGTACTCCAGCCTGGGCAACAGAGTGAGACCGTCTTAAAAAAAATTCATTAGTTTGTATCTAAAAACTACTTAAATATTGTTTTAAAAAGAACCACCCTGTTCAAAATTTTACGTTTAAATACTGTTTTAAAAATAACTTGCTCCAATTACTATGCAAATGATTTTAGAAATACTTTTGGAAAACATTTTATTTAGAGATGAGTGCCTCTAAGATAGCTTAAACGTTTTTGCTAAAGGGCATCAATGTGCAAATTTCAGAGACAAGCTTGCAGCTGAATCCCTGATAGGGAGAAATTGTAATTTCCTCTAAGAGTGAAGACTTTGATTAGGGGATGTACTGATGAGTGGATGAACACTCATGAACAATAATCTTTGGGCACCTGGCTCTACATTTTTAATTTAAGCATTTATTTTTAAAAATACCTAATATATTTTCATGGCTGAAAATTCAAAACCTATTGAAGAGTATGTATAGAAAATCTCCCTCTTATCTGTTCCGTCCTGAGGCATTCTTACCAGTTTTATGTCTATCCTTGTAGAGATATTTTATTCTATCAGAAAGCCACTAATACCTAATGAACCAGTCAACTAACTTATGCACTGGTATATTCTATACTAGTACCTAACTAGCTACCAATCAAATAACTTATAATGTCTCCATCTTTCCATACAATGGTTGCAGAATACACACATTGTCCTGCCCCTTGCTCTTTTCACCTTATAACATATCTTGGAGAGCTATGTAAGTGGATATGCATAGTATTTCCTCACTTGTAAAATTTTTTGCACTGATGTGCCACAATTTCTTTAACTAGCCATGTGTTTGTGGTCATTTAGGTTACTTCCTGTTTTTTGTTGTTATAATAATGCTATAATGAATAATCTTCTGCATATGTAATTTTCCACATGTGCAAACTAACTATGGGAAAAGTCTCATGAAATGGAATTACTGAGTTGAATGGAATGTGCATTTCTAATTCTGACAGATATCACCCTTTATTGGTTTGCATCAATTTACTTTCCCACCAGCAATTTATTAGAGAACTTTTTTCACACTTTCTGTTTTTGCCAACCTGTTAGGTTAAAAAACATTAGCTGTCATTTGCATGACTCTTACTATGAGTGAGTGTTTATAATTATTTTATATGTTTAGAGCCATTTATGTTTATTTACTGTGGACAGTCTATCTTTTTTGGGTTTGGCTTTTGGCCTTTTTCTTATTGGTTTTGAGGAACTCTTTATATCTTAGAGGAATTAGCTCTTTATTTGTGATATAAGCAGCAAAGCAATTCCCTACTCCCAGTGTTTTTTATTTTATTTTTTCTGAATTCTAATGTTAGTTTTAAAAACTCTTTTATTTTGAAATAACGATAGACTCACATGAAGTTGTAAAAATAGCATAAATCTTCATCCAGCTTCCCCCAGTGGTGACATTTTATATAGCTGTAGTATGATAACAAAACTAGAAAACTGACATTGCTACATTACTGTTAGTCTACAGAACTTATTCAATTTTTACTATTTTAAAAACTTACATTTGTGTGTTTGTGTGTGTAGTTCTATTCAATTTTATCCTAGTTAGAGATTTGTGTAATTATAATCAAGATACAGAACTATTCCATCAACATAAAAGAACTCTTTCATGCTACCTCTTTACATTTGTACCTACTTCCTTTACCATATGATGTGGTTTGGCTCTGTGTCTTCACCCAAATTTCGTCTCAAATTGTAATCCCCATGCATTAAGAGAGGGACCTTATGGAAGGTCCTCAAGAAATGAGGAAACTGAGGCTCAGAGAGCAAGGGTGATTGACTCAGGGTTATTGGCTAGTTAGGGGCAGGACTGGAACTGATCTGGAATCTGAGGATCACAAGACCCATTTTCTTCCTGCGACATCCCACTGGGTGATCACTCATGGGCATGGGGAATGTGTCACAGTGGCTAGTGAGGGTAGCACAGGACAGGTTTAACTTATGGGTGGGGAGGAGGATGTCAACAAAGGCTTAGTGTTTGGGACGTCATTCCAGGGGGTCCAGTGGGAGGCCTTGGACTGACACCAGACTTTGTGGGAAACCAGGTTGAAGAGTGCTTGGCAATGTCCAGTGGCCTGGAGGTCCAGTTCACCAAATCAGTTTTCCTCTTTTAGTTTTATCTGCAAAAGGGAAACACCCACCCCATAGTTTTAGTAAGGGTATGAATCTCACACACCTGGACTTTCTACTTTTTCTGCAGCCAGGAGCTAGAGCTGGAAAAAAATCTCTACCAAGTCAGACTCCTTTGCTTCTCTTTTCTCACTTCTAACTAACTGAAAGGTAGAGAGGGCGTTTTCTCTTTTTATTGTATGTTTTTCTAGTTTCTAAACTGAGCCTGATATCTAGAGTTGGGGGACTAACTGACTGACTGAACATCACACTGAGTAGTGGCTTCTTAAAATTCATCCTCTCATCTAGGTGGTGGAGGAAGCCAAAGAACTATAATTTGTGAGGGAAACAGGGGTGGGAATCCTCAGAAAATCATTTCCCTTATTGGCCCCCACCTTATCTGTTCCCAGGGCTTGTATTCCTTTGTGCTGAGATCTCATTCTGAAAGAAGTGTCAGCCAGCACATTCTATAGAACATATATTTTAAAAGTTTATTCTTATTTTTATGAAAGTAGTAGAATCTTATTTTAAAAAATTATAAACAGTACACAAAAATTTAAGGAAAATAAAATGCCTCCATCCTTCTTCATTCTTCTCTCCATTATATATTTTACCAGAAGTAATCAATGTTAATATTAGGTCGGTAATATATAGTACAATCATCCATATATTGAAATATACTTTATGGGATTGTATACAATTTTTTTCATTTATGGTTCATGATTTTATGTGTACCTCAAGAAATCTTTGCCATCCTAAGATCACAAAGATTTTCTTGTTTTTCTAGAAGCTTTATGGTTTTACCTCTTACATTTAGGTTTCTTATCCATTTCATGTTAATTTTGTATATGAAGTGAGGTAAGGATTGAGGTTCATTTTCCCCCTTTATGAATATACAAATGTTTTAGCACTGTTTGTTGAAAAGACATACCACAAATTTTGACAGACAGTATTGTGTTTTAATTTTTATTTAGTTCAAAAGATTTTCCAATTTCCCTTTTCATTTTTGCTTTGGCCAATGGGTTAACCAAACAAGTAGTGTTTAATATCTAAATATTTGTGAGATCTTCCAGTTATCTTTCTGGCATTAATTTCAAATTTAATTCTATTGTGATTAGAGGACATAGTCTGCATGATTTCAGTCTTTTAAAATTTCTTGAGATTTGCTTCATGGCCCACTGGATTATCAGTCCTGATGAATGCTCCATGTGCACTTGAAATGGATGTGTATTCTGCTGACGTTGGATGGAGTGTTCTATAAATGTCAGCTAGGTCCTGTTGGTTGATAGCATTGTTCAAGTCTTCTATATCCTCTGTATCCTTACGGATTTTCTGTCTACTTGTTCATTTACTGAGAGGCAAGTGTTGAATTATTCTACTCGAATTGTGTATTTTTTTATTTTTAATTTTAGACAGAATCTGGCTCTGACATGTAGGCTATGGTGCGTGGCACAATCACAGCTCACTGCAACCTCTGCCCCCCAGGCTCAAGCAATCCTCCCACCTCAGCCTTTGGAGTAGCTGGGACCACAGGCACGCACCACCATGCTGGGCTAATTTTTTAATATTTTGTAGAGGCAGTGTCTCACTATGTTGCCCAGGCTGGTTTCGAACTCTTAAGCTCAAGAGATACACCTGCTTTGGCCTCCGAAAGTGCTGGGATCACAGGCATGAGCCATGGGGCCTGGCCTGATACCTTTTTAAATTTTTGTCCTTTTTTTGCTGCATATATTTTGAAGCTCTGCTGTTAGATGCTTATACATTCAGGAGGTCAAGCTTACTATTATTTTATTTTACAGTGCCTAAACTATTGTTAATTCCATCTAGTGAAATTTAAATTTTACGTATTTTATTTTTCATCTTTACAAGTCTTGTTTAGTTTCTTCTGTTTCTAGGCCTGTGTTTGTTGACCAATCTGTTCCAGGTTATGAATCTTATTTTCCTGATTTTTTAAGGTCTAGTAATTTTTTACTGAATGTTGTAAATTAGAAATCTTAAGTTATTTAATACTTGGTTTTGTTGTTTTCTATTGAAGCATTTTAGACTTTTTCTGACAGTTACTTGTAAATTAGTTTGATGCTTTTGATTTTTTTAAAAGCAAATTTAGGGTAGGTCTATGGTAGTCTTTTTCTAGGGCTACTAATTTTGCTCAACTTCTAAGACATAGCATCTTTGCAACTCATATGGAGTGCTTTGTATATTCAGTAATGTTTCTTCACTCTGGCCAAAGAGTGCTAAAATGAATCCTGGCCCCGTAGGAGTTCTGGGAATTGTTTGTTTTATAGCACTCCAGCATTTTTTCTTTCTTTGGAGATTGTTTTTTTCTCAGTCTTACAGGGTTTCACACTACTCACATACGGATTGGTGTTTAGCCAAGGACTCAAAGACTGATTTCTGGAACCATTTTCCTGTGTAGCTTATTTTTCCCTCTAATCTCCGCATCCTTCACTGAGCAAGATTTCCAGGTCTGTTTAAATTCTCTCTTTGTGCTACAATCTGGATATTGCCTCCTGGCAGAAAATCTGGGTGATTGTAAGAATCACCTCATTATTTTTCCTTCTCACAGTAATCACAGTTTTGTGCTGTTTTTTTCATATCTGAAAACAATGTTTTTAAACTGTTTTCCAGTCTTCTAGTTGCTTGTGGTAGCTGGGTAATTCTGTCCTGTTACTTCTTCACGTCTGGGAGTAGAAGGCCTGTATTATTTTTCAAAATCGATTATTCTATATTCTTAGAGAGTTCTTTTACTTTATCTTTCAACCATCTTACTGATTTTTTAAAAAAGATTTCAGCAATAAGAACGTCCTGTTTAGCCGGGCGCGGTAGCTCATGCCTGTAATCCCAGCGCTTTGGGAGGCTGAGGTGGGTGGATCACGAGGTCAGGAGATCGAGACCATCCTGGCCAACACGGTGAAACCCTGTCTCTACTAAAAATACAAAAAATTAGCCGGGTGCAGTGGCGGGCGCCTGTAGTCCCAGCTACTCAGGAGGCTGAGGCAGGAGAATGGCGTGAACTCGGGAGGCGGAGCTTGCAGTGAGCTGAGATCTAGCCACTGCACTCTAGCCTGGGTGACAGAGTGAGAGTCTGTCTCAAAAAAAAAAAAAAAAAAAAGTAAAAGAAATACCCAAGACCAACTCTTGCCTCTTCTACCTTCTGGTAGTATGGTCTTTCTCAGAATAATTAAAAGCACCATGTTATAGTATCACCCCTCTTCTCTTATTCTTGACTGCTCTTTTAGTCTCTTGAGAATTGCTTTCTCCAGTTGTTTATGGGATACAGTCTGCAGAGCAATGTCTCAGCTGCCTCAAAAAGCAGAAGTCCAAAGCAGAAGGACAAGTGTTATGTTCTTTGATTAGTAATATCCTTGGGTTTCTGTGAATTATTTGGATATTAGGAAAAAGTCCTCTCAGGATATAGTAATTCACTGGATGATTATATTTTAAACATTTTTACAAGTGTTTATCTTTCTTGGTGTTATCACATAGGTTGTATTAGAGTTAAGATCTTTCTGGGGGATCAGATGCCATTTTAACTAAAAGTCAGAGCATGAATTTTTTTTAAGATTATTTTTGAGTCAGGGTCTAGCTATGCAGCCCTGGCTCAAGCTCAGTGGCATGACCGCAGCTGACTGTAGTTTGAACTCCCGAGTCAGGCAGTCCCCCTTCTCAGTCTCCTGAGTAGCTGGGACTGCAAGTGCACTACCACACCCGGCTAATTTTTTTTTTTTAACTAAGTCTCGCTCTGTCGTCAGGCTGGAGTGCAATGGCGCAATCTCAGGTCACTGCAATCTCTGCCTCCTGGGTTCAAGTCATTCTCATGCCTCAGCCTCTTGAGGAGCTGGGACCACAGGCATGTGCCACCACACCCAGCTAATTTTTGTATTTTTAGTAAAGACAGGGTTTCACCATGTTGGCCAGGATGGTCTCGATCTCTTGACCTCATAATCCATCCACCATAGCCACCCAGCAGGCTAATTTTAAAAATTTTTATTTTTAGAGACAGGGTCTTGCTATGGCGCTATGGTGTTCAAGCTAGTCTAAGGCTTTTGATAAGTATAATTAAAGTATCCACTGTCAATATTTTCTTTGTGAATTAAATAGCTTAATATAGTTTATTATTTTAGTTTGTATTTCTTTGTTGCTGAGACTAAATATTTTTTCATATGCTAAATGTTATAGAACAAGTTCTACCTTTGTATTTATTTTACTTCTCCATTTTTCTGTTTGCATGTTCTCCATTTTCCTATTGATTGGTAAGTGCCCTTTAAATTAACGTATAGTGAAATTGACTTTTTGGGGTGTATTAGTTCATTTTCATGCTGCTGATAAAGACATACCCGAGACTGGGAAGAAAAAGAGGTTTAATTGGACCTACAGTTCCACATGGCTGGGGAAGCCTCAGAATCATGGCAGGAGGCGAAAGGCACTTCTTACATGGCAGCAGCAAAAAATGAGGAAGAAGTAAAAGCAGAAACCCCTGATAAACCCATCAGATCTTGTGAGACTTATTAACTACCATGAGAATAGCATGAGAAAGACCAGCCACAATCAACAGAACTGAAATAGTAAGTATTGGTGAGGCTGTGAAGAAATTGGAATCCTTGTTCATTGCTGGTTCTTCGCTGGTGGGAATGTAAAATGGTTCAGCTGTGGTGGAGAACAGTTTGGCAGTTTCTTAAAAAAGTTGAACTTACAATTATCATATGACCCAGTGCTTCCACTCCTGGGTAAATATTCAAAAGAATTGAAAACAGGTATTCAAACAAAAATTTGTACATGAATGTTCATAGTAGCACTATTCACAATAGCAAAAAGGTAGAAACAATTCAAATGTCCGCTATCTGATGATCGAATAAACAAATGTGTTATATCCACACAATGGAATATTATTCAACTATAAAAAGAAGCGAAGCACTACTACATACTACAATATGGAAAGACCTTAAAAACATTATGCTAAGTGAGAAGTTAGACACAAAAGGCCACATACTGCATGATTCCCTTTATATGAAATGTCCCAAACTGGCAAATCCATAGAGACAGAAACCAGGTTAGTGGTGGTCAGGACTGCTTACTGAGTGTGGGGTATCCTTTTGGGGTGTTGAACGTGTTTTGGGGCAGATAGAGATGAGGTTGCACAACACTGTGGATTCATTGACTAGATGTCAATGAATTATCTGCTTTAAAATGGCAAAAACTGTGAATCATGTGATATGTGAGCCTTACCTCAATTAAAAAGTTTTAATAGCAGTTTTAAAGGGTGCTCTTCATTTCCTGTTTTTCAGCCCTTTAGCTTTGTTGCAACAGATTGAGTAAAAGTTTGAACTGTTTTCAGTTTATGTTTTTTCGTTGTTGTTGTTTCTTTGCTTGTTTTGGTTTGTTTGTTTTCTTTTGTGGTCAAGACAAACCAGAGATTCATAATATTTAGTTAAGGAGATGTTTTAGTCTGATTTTTAAAAGATTATTTTAAACATTTTTCAGAATAAAATCATCATGGCTTTGCTTTATGATCTAGGATTTTAGAGCTCAAAAATTTGTGTATTAAAAGAGTGGAACAAAACTATCCCCAATGAGGAAGCCGGATTCTTTCTTTGCTGAATCCCATGGCTCACTCTAATCGTGCATAGCATGGTCTCCCAGTCAGGATGAGCTCTGAGCACAGCCCTCAATGTTCACAAGAGGATATTCTTAGACCTGATTGCATACAAGATGTTTGTTTGAGGTCCCGCATATCTGACTTTCTGGCCAGCAATTTGCCACCACTGCAAATTTGAAAGGGAAACAAGCAGAGGGACGCTCATGTGACTGGCACACAGCCCAGTCACACTCATCAGAGCTGAGAGATCATTACTGTGACTTTGGCTCCAAACCCATGGGTGAATCCCCCACCCTAGTGAGCTGGGCTGGACCATGTGTGAGTTACTAGGGTGGCCTTTGCACCTCTTACCTAAGGCCTGTTTGATCCTATGGGCACAGCGAATTTTGTAACTTAAAGCTTTTTTCCCTCCTTTTCTCACTTACTACAGAAACATATATTTAAATATTTTTACCAAGAAATAGACTTTCTTGGAATACATTTTGTGCACTGCCCTGACTTCTAATTTAATCTTTCTTCCTAATTCATATACACTGGTATATCTTTTCTCCTCCCTCCCCCTTTCTTTCATTTAAGAAAATGAATATATTTCATTTCACTTTCTGTAGGGTGCATGTATTTTTAAGTTGTTGTAATTCACATTGGGAATAAGGCATGGGCCAAAGATAAAGTCCGGATAAAATCCATTTTTCTATTACCTCAAAAGAGAGTAGTACAAATTGTGGTCCTCCCACCTGTTCCCTTACACACACACATACACATGCACACACACACAGATGCACACACATACACACACATGCGTACACACGTTATACTGGAGAGCACAGTCCAATGCCCACTGTTTTCAGAGTGAGGCCTTCTTGTTACTCAAACCACTCTCTAATGTTTTAATTCAGAGCTCCTCATCAGAGCTCGACTCAGAGCTGCCTTCACATCCTTGTTCCGCAGACTGTAGATGAAAGGATTCAACATGGGGGTCACCACAGCATAAGAGAGTACCATCACCTTTTCCTGCTCAGCTGAGGCCATGGAGCGAGGCTGCATGTAGGTAAAGAGGGCCATCCCATAGGATATGGAGACCACAGTGAGGTGGGAGGCACAGGTCCCAAAGGCCTTGCGGTGCCCCTGGGTGGAGTGGATCTGCAGGACGGCAACTACAATGAGGGTGTAGGACAGCGAGACCAGGCAGCAGGGCACCAGCAGCACCACCACACTGGAGGCCACTATGACCACCTGATTGAAGGTGATGTCCACGCAGGCCGACCTGACCAGTGCCAGTGTCTCACAGGCCACATGGTTCAGCACGTTGTGCCCACAGGTGGGCAGGTGCATGGTCAGTGCCGTCTCCATAGCAGAATTAGCCAGGCCCACTAGCCAAGAGACAGCTGCCAGTGCCATGCAGAGCCTTGGGCTCATCACTGCTATGTAACACAGGGGGTCGCAAACAGCCACGTAGCGGTCATAGGCCATTGCGGCCAGCAACAAAAACTCGGTCCCTCCGAGGGCCAGGGAGAAAAAGAGCTGGGTCCCACATCGGGCAAAGGAGATGGTCTTTCTTTGCTGGTGCAGTGCACCAGCATCTGAGGGACCCTGCTGGAGGTGTAGCAGATGTCCACAAGTGAGAGGTTGCAGAGGAAGAAATACATGGGCAGGTGGAGTCTCACGTCCAGCCAGATCAGGAGCAGGATGAGCCCATTGCCCAGCAGGGTCAGCAGGTAGGCAGCCCCAAATAAGATAAAGAGTCCAGCCTGGGTCTGCCTGTCACTGGAGAGACCCATTAGGATGAACTCACTCACCCAGGTTATGTTGTCCCTTCCCAGTTGGGACATTGAACCTCACTTCTTCAATCTAGGTGGTTAGGAGGGAATGCAAAGGTCTTGGAGAAAAGGACATTTGGTTTCTGACACTAAACCAAATTCTGAGAGGTTCTGAAGGACAAAGTCCCTGTTTTGGCCATCCTTTCACGTCGAGGACCGATCACAGTTACAGTTGTGTAGGAGGTAATCTATCAATGTAGAAGGAATGATAGAGAAGAAAGGATGAAAGAAGCAAAGAAAAACTAAGGAAAGACAATAGGAAAATGGAAAAGGAGGGAAGGAATGTGGAAGATATGAAAGAAAGGAAGGATTCTTCACTGTGGGGAAGCAGTGGGTAAAGTATTGTAATCAGACACTTGAGAACTGTAGGCATGTCCTAGGATTTCTCAGCTCATTTCTTAACTCTGGATTGAGCTGCTCTTCCTGCTTCTTCTAGGGTCCACTAAGTCCAGACAGGAATCCTCTCACATCCTTTTCATTTCTCCCACAAGTCCAGATAAAGCTGAAGTCCTTGAAACCAATATCTACTAATCCCCTGCTGGTGTGCCAGGGTCTGTGCCAGGCATTGGTTACCTGCTGGTAAGTAAGAAAGATAGAAACACGGGCCCTTGCTTTCTTGATTCTTATAATTTATCTAGGGACACAGAGATTACATCAATAATTACAAATAATTAATTAAGTATAATTGTGCTAAGTGCTATGAAGGAGAAGAACAAGGTTAGTATTTGGCTAATTAAATTTGGAGCTTTGTAATTAAATTATGACAGTAGTTATGCCTTACTCCTTAATAACATGCAATTTATATAGTGAGTTTCAGGCATTTATTTAGATGTTTAAACAAATGATTAACAAAGTAATGTTGTGATGCAAGCGTTCGAAAACCAATGATACTCATGTATTACTACTGAGTATGAGGTGATAGAAACCCACAGAATCTTTTCAAACAGAGTGAATTCTCCCTTGTCAGCCAAGGTTGTACCAGTTCATCTCCCTTCTACCATGCTGACTGGTCCTCTTGAAAAATAAAATTAAGTGCCATCACTTTTTCTTAATATAAATATAATCTCCAGATGTATTTCCTGCTCTTAAAAAATTTAATTAACAAACTGATTCATTTATTAAAACATTATTGAGTATATCAGGCACTATGCTTTCAACCAACCTCTAGGAAATTCCACCTTTCAATGTTAGGGATTTGTGTTTAGAAAATCAGCAGTGCCAGAGGATCAAATAATAAATTTTTAAAAATGGATTTTGGTCAAATCTGAGAATCTAATGAGAGCATGTTTGTGCAAGCCACTACAGCCAGAGGACAAATGCCATACATCTGCATTAAGAAAATGAGAGCAGAACCACAGAATAAAATGCAAGAAAGCTGAAATGCATAATTCAATTTATGTTTCTTCTGGCTGGAAACATTGGTGGAGGGAGAGAGCAGAGAGGACCTGGATGGAGCTGGCATCTTGTCTCCATTCAGCCCTGGTCCTGCAGTGGCCAGAAGGTGTCACTGTAGAAACTGCTAAGAATAGAAACTGGCCTTGGGTTCTCAAGGTTGGAGATCAGGTTCTAGGGTCAGAGCCAGGGGCTGGAATTTTGACTGCTGCCCTAGGGAGATGGTTCCCTTGTATCAGCAGAAGTAGATCAATGCTGATCTACTATGATCAGTATGCTGCTTGTTACTATAGACAGAATCTTCACCTTCAGAGTTGGCCTCAAGGATTGAGATACCCTCCAGAAGGTAACCACAACTGTTTAAAATGAAAAGAAATATAGGGGCTAAGTGTTTCATTCCTTTCATTTTATAAACAAGGAAACCAAGGAATAGGGCTACGGTGATTTGCCCAGGTCTCAGATCTACCTGGAGACTAAGCTGGAACAAGGGTCAGGGCTGCCCTGCACATCTAGCTCTACCCAAGCCCATGAGTGAAGGGTGGGAAGGAGTTCTGAAAAGCTGTAGTCTAGGAAGGGAGGCACCTGAGGAACCTCAGATGGGAAGCTCAGGACAGCCATCTATCCTTGAAGAGAAAGACATGTGGTGTGGGGGTAAAGCTTTAAATAAGTCAAGGGGTCTGAGTTTGAGTTTGCCTCTTCCATTAGTCTGCTATGTGCAACTTACTAGACCTCTATGAGCCTCAGTTTCTTCATTTGAAATGCATGAATAATAATAATGCTTATCTCACAACATTTTAAGTAAGATCAGATGAACAAATGAATATGAATGTGCTTTGTAAAGTATAAGTAAACGTAAGTGGCTGTTACTATGCTCAACAAGTCCAAATTACAGAGGTAAAGTCTACCCAGTGCCATGGGGACAAGAAACAATAGAATATGTGCTATAAACGTCAGAAAGTTTTCAGAATGTGGGTCATAAAGCCCCTTGAAATGCATTATATTGCTTAAACCACCTAATTACAGAGACCCTGTTAAATATAGTGAAGAATCAAAGTAGAGGGTTCACCTGTACTCAGTGAGTAGGTAGTACATGCTCTGCACACAGTGTGAACTTAGTACTATTTTATTCCAATACATTTTGGTGATGTTTTTAGATGATGAAAAACTATTTTTATTGATAGATGGCCTCGTTCTTAGCTTTTTGGGACAGAGAATTTTATTCCACTTTTCTCACCTTGGTAAACATGTACTGAGCACTGTTCAGCGCCTGGTCCAGTGGAAGGTATTGGGATAACAAATCAATCAGTCTGGTCTCCTGCTTAGGAACTCAGCCTGCAGGGAGAATAGAAAGAGTGAGTCATCATGACCTTATCAGGGGAGTTTTCAGAGGAAGCTTGATGAAGACATCTGGTAAGAGGAGACATAGAGTCTGGCTATGTAATCAGCTCAGCAGATCTGTAGAAATAATAAAGTAGAAACAAAAAACAAAACAAAACAAAAACAAGAAATAGTGCTCTTGCCTCTTAAAAAAGTAGATGAGGTTTAAGGTATGCTAAGATTCATATAAGGAGGCCTGGGCTTCAAGCTGTATCAGGAAACCATCTACGTATCCATTGGGTACATTGCTACATTTTAAAGCCACAGTTTCTTCATCTACAGAATGAGCAAGTTAGATTAGGTACATTAAGATTTCTTCCAGCTCTAAAGATTTGTGATAAGTGAATATACATAATCTGTGGTTTAAAGTAGTATAGAAGGGAAAAATAGATCCTTTGGTGTTTGATTGCTCTAAGCATGCATAGCTAGTGGGACTGTAGGCAATGAGATATGAATTAGTGGGTTTTGGGTTCAAAGGATTCAGATCTCACACATAGCTGATTGGGGAGGTGTCAATGAACGGGACTAATTGACTCAAAACCAGAGACTAAGGAAACGGGGAAGAGGACTACACCAGTAGAAATGGCAAAACTACTTGGGCCAAGGCTGAAAGGCTGGTAGCCTTCTGATACGTAAGCCTCCTTCCTAAGCACTGCAAAAGAAACTACCATCAGAGTGAACAGGCAACGTACAGAATGGGAGAAAGTTTTTGCAATCTACTCATCTGACAAAGGGCTAATATCCAGAATCTATAATGAACTCAAACAAATTTACAAGAAAAAAACAAACAACCCCATCAAAAAGTGGGCGAAGGATATGAACAGACACTTCTCACCATCTTCTTTATCAAGAAAAGATGAAGGTCTATGTCTATCTTTGGTTCTTATACCAATCCAAGCCCTTCTCCATTCCTTCTTATCTCCAACAGAATAGAAATGCCTCAAGGCCAAGAAAAGAGTCATCTCCCTTTTGACTTCCATTCTTTAGTTTTTAAAATGTATATCTACATATACTGAGCACTTCAGTTTATGCTGTTGATTTGGTGACTGACAAGAACTAGGACTCTATCAAGTGGCTTGAAAACACTGATTTATATCATCTAGGTCACGGGAGGAATTCAAAGAGCCTCCAACTACAACCAGTGAGAAAAACAGTGGAGGATCACAAAACAGTCCCGGGTGCTCCCAGGAATTTGGGCTTTATCCTCCTACCACCTCCTCTTAGCCTTCCTTGTGGGTGACTCACCAAGGCTGAGTGCTCACTTCATGCACAGGACATTTTGAATGTGGAGATGTACATCTCTTAGAAAGTCCTTGATACAGTTGTTCATCCTCTTCTTCGTGATGCAGGCTTTACTTTGTCAGTATTAGCTGATAACTTTTCAGAATTTAGGCATCCCCAGAGGGAAATTACTTGCTCTTGGTGTGTTTCTTACTCATTCTTCCCCACAGCTACTTCTCTGCAACCACAGCTCCCTCCTCTACTAAGTTCCCTGTGGAATACATATTCTAAAAACATTTTATTTCAACTTTTAATTGTCCTTCTAGTTCCTAGCATAATGAGCCCTTCTGTAACTCTTTTATATCTTTTACTGCCCTTCAATGCTGTGGCATCACTGAGGACTTTTAGTAGAAGTTGGGATTCAGAAACATTTACTTTTCTGACCTGGTGAGAAGGGACTGAAAGTAATTGAGATAGGAAAGAGAAACTAAAATTTTAGAACCTGGTCTCCTTCCTAAAGGAAGAAAATGAAAGCACCTTCACCCCTCCTCCCACACACCTAGTTTTAGTGACAGTGACATCTAGTTTTAGAGTGGTGAGGACACATCGCACATTAGAATCATCACATCCATGGCCTGGGAGCCATTGAGAAGTCTCAAGTTCACAGTCATTAAAATAGTTCTGCAGGTTCTTTGATGGTCTCCCACATCACATTCCTGTTGTGTTTCCTTTGCATATTTTCATATTACTAGAAGTTTTTTCTTTATCAGCTTTCCTAATACTGATCTCCCGGTTCTTGGCCATCTTCCACAAAGTTTTAATTTCTTCACTGGAATTACTAGAAGGAGCAGAGGAAACAATGGGTCAGGATGAGGTTTTATTCCCAATATTTAACTATTTATTTCTATAGTAATAGAACATGAGTCTTTGGTAAAATGGGGAGAAAAAAGAGAGACATCAGTGTGTAACCCACTAAATTTTTTTTATAACAATTGGCCAATATTGCAAGATAAAGGTTTACTTACCTGGAAGATTTGTCATTGTAATGACAATGGACTAGGGAACTGTTGTTTAACTTCATGCTCTTCCCCTTTGGGCAAGACCTGAAGAATCTTGGGTTTATCTTTGCTGCTTCCACTGCCCAGGTAAGCTCAGGACCTCACAGGGCCTGAAGCTTTCCCCACCTCAAGGTCTGTGGATGGAGAAAACTGCTAGAACTTCTGACTGAGAGTTGTAGCCAAAGGTTAAGGAGGAGAGCAGCAGTAAAAAGAAAACCAAGGGCACCATGAGGGGGAAGAAGAAGAAAATGACATCTGAGAGGTGGGACCCCTGATGCACTTCAAAGGCAGACTCGGTATGAGCTGACACAGATGACTCCAGTGTAAAGGAAAAGAACTGTTGGGAACCATCCTCCACACTACCTCCTACTCTCATCTAATAAGAATGTTTCCCTGCTGGTAAAAAAGAAAAATGCATCCTTCTTACTTTTCCAAGCACTAAGGTTACAGAAAATATGTAACTAGATTTTTTTTTTTACAAAGTAGGTTAGAAAATAGTAGGAAATATAATATATATACAGTTGGATGTATATAAAGATTGAAAAGTAGAAAAAGAACAGGCAAGATGACCATAAAATGTCAGTGGGTTAATCTCTGGGTGATAGGATTATAGATATTTTTGTTTTCTTATTTTTAGCTTATCAATATTGATATGGCTTGAATTTGTGTCCCTGCCCAAATCTCATGTCAAACTGTAATCCCCAGTGTTGGAGGAGGGGCCTGGTGGGAGGTGATTGGATCATGGGAGCAGATTTCCCTCTTGTTGTTTTCCAATAGTGAGTTAAGTTCTCACAAGATCTGGTTATTTGAAAGTGTGTGGCACCTCCCCGCTGTCTCTCTTCCTCCTGCTCTGGCCGTGTAAGATGTGCCTGCTTCCACTTCGCCTTCCACCATGATTATAAGTTTCCTGAGGCCTCCTCTCCATGCTTCCTGAACAGTCTGTGGAACTGTGAGTCAATTAAACCTCTTTTCTTAATAAATTACCCAGTCTCAGGTAGTTCTTTATAACAATGAGAGAACAAACTGTTACAAATATTTTTAAATGTTTATAATAAACACATATTTTTTCTCTCATAGGAATCCAAATGAAATTTAAAAAATTCACATATCTGATATAGACGTATCGCATTGAGATAGTGATATTAGGAAATGAATTTGCTGTCTTAATGCCTGGCACTACTGAATAGCCTTTGGGCAACATAAGTGAGCATTCAAGGAAAGATACAATTAAAACTGTATCTCAGCAAAGTAGATATAACTATAGGTTTTCGACTATTTATACCATAAAAAATAAATCTGGAAATATTCTATGGTGGCAAACACCCTGGACTAGAGGCAGGACAATGGGTTTTACTCCGGCTTTGGTACAAATTGCTCTATGACTTTTGACAAGTCACCTAATCTCCCTGGGTCTTAGTTTCTTTGTTTGTGAAACCAAATGGTGGAATTGGACCTCAAGGTCCTGCAGAAGTCTGTGTTTTTCAGTGTGTGCATTACAACATTTTCCTTTCATTCTAGGTACTAGATTCTGAGGTCTGAGACTAAAGTCATTCCATCATGAGTTCCAAACTGGACTTGAGAGGGGAAGAATCATTTCCTTTGAGATTGACCAATACCAGGAGTTTCACTAAAGAAGGCAATGAAAGACCCACAGCCTTGGACATAATTGATTTCCTGTGATATCTGTGTGGGCCCAGGCATGCTGCTCACCTGGGTCTTTCCCCTCTTTCACTCCTTTGGAACTGCCCCACCACTAACCACTTTCCTACTCTCTCCTTCCCCACCCCAGTATCTCCTTGCCTCAAGAGTTTCCTGTTACTAGCAATAATTTAGTTCACTCCCAGGGAACTACTATTTCTGGTTCTCAGTTACTAACCTTTCCATTCAGTTCTTTCCATTCCATTTTTACCAGAATTAACGTTTCCTCATCTTTCCCAGTGAATGTAAAAGGTACCTTCTGGGAAGCATTTTACCGGAACTGATGACTGCTATGCTTGACAGCAGCTTCAACAGCCTCGGATACAACTCATCATGAATTAGCTCTGGCATGACTGAGTTAGAATACTGTTCTGTTTCCTATCTCTACATGTAGGAAAAATTTAAAGTGGCATTTCTATGCTTTGGTCTTTTCTCATAAATGACTTAGGGGAAAACACTTAATGAGGATGAGTAACTAAAATTCAATGAATACTAAAAGCTTTATAAGAATCATCTAATTGAAACTTTACATAATTTCCTTATTATGTATTAACATTGAACGGGCATTATGCATTCCATTTCTAGAAAAGAAGTCTTTCCTTAATAAATTACAAGTGCAAACATGAAGTCCAGGACAATTTTTACTTCAAGATCAACTTGTCTATATGCTAGGATAATGAATTTGAATACTCTTTACTGATGTTCCCTGAAGACGTAGCTATTTTGTTTTCTATAATGATATTATTTTCTTGAGTCTCCATTCTGTTGGGTACTGTAGAAAGAAGACAAAAAGCAAACAATATAATATACCAATTAAAGGTATCTTAGTTTTTTTACAGTATAAATGGTCTCTGTTAACTTAAAATGATCTTTCCAGGTAAATATTTAATTAATTTGAAGTTCTACCTTATATCAGAGTGGTATATTTCTTTTTCTTCCTTATCAACAGGGCTTCTGGGCATAAGACAAAACCTGATAGTACTGACTTGTGGGGCTTTGAATGGATATGTAGAATCACTCTTGTTTTGTGCTGGTCCTGGTGCTGGCTTCTGCAGCTGGACAACCACTCGAATCTTTGCTTATTCACGTGGCAGGTTTCTGTTGAGACATAGTTTATGTGGATCCAACCTGTGTCATCCACTGTTGGAGGCTGTGGCCAAGGAACCCATGGACTGTTTGTTGTCTTGGCTTTGTCAAGGCTTGGTGGCCATCTTCTTGTTGAAATGGTCCCACTTCTGGTTTTCCAATGCTGTGATTCCCCCAAACACACACACATCACCTCCCAGACATGACTGATTTCTTCTGGAGCCCTGAGTTGGGAAGTCCATTCTGTAGCTCTCAGTGATATGGCCACATTTTCTCCACCAAGCTGATCCCCTCTGGCATGTTCTTTGGTTGAGCTCCCAGCTGCTTCCTGTATCTGCACCTCCCATTCGAGACAAACAGGAACTTGAGGCATGAATTCCATATTCTAGGGAGCCAGGAGCATGCTCAGATTGGCTTGCCTGCCATCCTCTTTCACTGCTGCTTTTCTATCGTCCCTCAACATCTTTGGAGTTTCTAGGTCACCCTGAACAACAGTCTCTTGGTAGGGCTCTAAATGGGGATCAGGAAAGTATTTCCACCTTTGGCCTCTTCTTATCCTATCTCTTCATCCTCAGGGCCTCAGTCCCTTGGAGGGCTGTTTAGAACACATATATTTGAATGTCTGCTTCTTCTACCTTTCTCTTCCTTTATTTATTCCCAAGTCTGTGTCAGAAAGAGAAGGTTTTGCCCTCTCATGAAATGGAAGATTTCCCTTATGTCATATCCTGAGTTCCCTAGTTTATCAAAATCTCAGTGTTCAAATCCAAAGGTTGTGGGTTTTGATGTAGGTGCCTCAGGGCTTCAGAAATTTGGAATTAATAAAGAAAATATAGATTGATCTGTTTTTCTCTAAGTGTTATCCTTGTGCCTGCAATTCTCCATATGGTGTCCATCTTGGACAGAGAATTGGGCATCTCTTCTCTTCATTATTCAGCTCGTCCTGCTGAAACGCAGCCAGGACAGGGCACACCGCAGCACCAAGCAGCTACAAGGTAATCAGATTCTGAGCACTAAACCCAAGGCACATGGAATATTTTCCTTTTCTTTTTCTTATTTTATTTTATTTTATTTTATTTTATTTTATTTTATTTTTTTGAGATAGAGTCTTACTCTGTCAACCAGGCTGGAATGCAGTGATACAATATTGGCTCACTGCAGCCTCCACCTCCTGGGTTCAAGTGATTTTCCTGCCTCAGCCTCCAAGTAGTTGGGACTACAGGCACCCGCCACCATGCCTGGATAATTTGTGTATATTTGGTAGAGATGGGGTTTCATCATGTTGGCCATGCTGGTCTTGAACTCCTGACCTCAGGTGATCGGCCCACCTTGGCCTCCCAAAGTGCTAGGATTACAGGCTTGAGCCACCGCACCTGGCCGATGTGGAATATTTTTCTAAAGCAGCCTATTTGATTCTTTTTGAAAGGCCCTTCTCAGTTTCCCCAGCCTGATACGGGCTCGGCTGTAAAGATGGGACAGAATCTGTGTCATGTCTCAGGAGTGAGGAAAAGAAAATGTTATTCTGTCACATTCAGAACAGTTCTACAAGGTGGACACAGACTGGGCCAGAGGTAGACAACTGGTAAAGAGCCAGCCAAGATGAAAATTGGGATATACCCGATGTCAAATTTCAAATATTGGGCATTTTTCACTAGACCATGCTGCCTCTCACATTCCTTTCTAAAAGAAACTGGTTGCAAACGGCCAGGTGCAGTGGCTCACGCCTGTAATCCCAGCACTTTGGGAGGCCAAGGTAGGCAGATCACGAGGTCAGGAGATGGAGACCATCCTGGCTAACATGGTGAAACCCCGTCTCTATTAAAAATACAAAAAATTAGCTGGGTATGGAGGTACGAACCTGCTGTAGTCCCAGCTACTTGGGAGGCTGAGGCAGGAGAATCACTTGAAGCCGGGAGGTGGAGGTTGCAGCGACCTGAGATCATGCCACTGCACTCCAGCCTGGGAGACAGAGTGAGACTCCATCTCAAAAAAAAAAAAAAAAAAAGTGGTTGCAATGGAAGAAGGCAAAGGTCTCTTTATGCTCTGGCATTGTGGAATTCCACACAGAGGTTTGCAAAAGCAGAAGCAGTGTCTTTCTGCTGTCAAGATCTTTTCCATGACTGAATTAAGCAAAATGACGTGTCTTAATACTCAAAAGGAGCAGAGAAAAGAGTTCTGGCTGGGTGTTTCCTGCTCTTTAGATAGAGTTTGCTTCCTGGCCTTGAGTTAAGGAAGCTGACTCGTTTTTATTTCTAGAGCCTTCTGGCTCCCCTCCAGGCCTAAGCATTTGCCTCAATTTTTCCCTAACAGTTTGGACCTGGTTATAGGCTGAATAATGGCCCTGCACATGTGTCCACCTTCTGTCCTAATCTCCCAAGTCTATGACTGTTATCTTCTATGGCAAAAGGGATTTTTGCAGGGGTGATTAAGTATTTTGAGATGAGGAGATTATCCTGGGTTAGCCAGGTTTGCCCAATATAATCACAAGGGTCTTTAGAGAGAGAGGCAGGAACACCAGCATCAGATCTTTCTGCCTCCGTCTTCTCTTTAGGGCCAAGCCCATATCAAGCTGGGGAAACCGTGAAGGGCCTTTTACAAAGAATCGAACAGGCTGCTTTAGAAAACTACTCCACATGCCTTCTGTTTAATGCTCACAATCTGATTATGTTGTAGCTGCTTGGTGCTGCGGTGTGCCCTATCCTGGCTGCATTTCTTCATTCCCTCCCCTGCCCACATACATCCACAGCCCCAGTCGGCTGTATCCATGAAGAGCTGAATGGAACAGGATGACTGGCAGCCCACGCCAAAGGCCAAGAGATGTGAAGGTAGAAGCAAGAAGTTAGAATGACCTGAGGAAGAGGTCACAAGCCCAGGAATGCCAGCAGCCACTAAAAGCTGAAAAAAGGCAAGGAAATGAGTTTTCCTCTGAAGCTGCCAGAAGGAACAAGCCCAGCCAATGCCTTGACCCTAGCCCAGTAAAATTGATTTTGAACTTCCGACTTCCAGAACTGTGAGAGAATACATTTACGTTGTTTTAAGCCACAAATATGTGGCAATTTGTTACAGCAGCAATGGGAAACTAACACAGATTCTAATCTCTTTTCTTACTCCCATCCCAGGTTGCCCTGGGGTTAATTCATGATTAAAGATCCTCCAGCTTTGTTCTCTATACTTTCTCTTGTCTTCTTGAGTCTGATCTCCTTCTTGCTCTCCAAGTGCTTCCCCCACTGCACATCAACAAGAACATTTCTGCTTCTTACCTGTCTCTGTCCCCTGCTCTAACCCATGAGGAGTCAGAAGCAGTCTAGTGGGGGCCAGGCAGGGGAGGGAGGTGAGGAAGCTAGGAAGGTTAGAGAAGAGAGAAGAAGCCAACATTCCCCACTTTAAGCTTTTGGGGTTGGGAGTCAGAAGAAGCTTTATCTTAAAACAAGGTTTAGAGGTTTGATTTTACCTTGGGCTGGATATTTTTAAGACTGCAGTGAGAATGTTTTGGGGACTTAAGGCGAATGAAAACGTTTTGATTTTTTGGGAGGAACTAGAACATTCATGCTACTTGTTATGGATTTAGTCCAAGGCACAGAGAAGGACTAGCCCCATAGTGCAGGTTTGAGTGTATGGAGATGAGAAAGAACACAGCACTTTTCTGATTACAGTTTGTGAATTCAGCTTGTTCAGTAAACCAGTTCCCCTTAGTTTCTACAATAGATTTGAGATCTTGTGGTCTGGGACCTGGGAATTCCATCGTGGCTGTGATATTTTCGCAAGATTTTCAAATCTTTTTCAGTATCACATGCACTCTGTGTAGCGGAGGTTGTTTCATCTACTTAGCCCACCAAGACCCCTCTGGAGGCTGCATAGCCTGGTGGCTAAAGGTGTAGGTTCTAGACCCTGAATGTGCAAGTCTGAATCTTTGTTCCTACCTTGTGCCTTTGCAGCAATGGGCAAGTTAAAGTCTCTACTGCCTCAGTTTCTTCTGATGTAAAATGGGGAGGATGGTAATACCTGACTCACGGGCTTTTGTGAAGATCAAATGAGACGATCCATGCAGAGCACTTAGCACAGTGTCCAGTCCATGATAAGCCCTCAGTGAATAGTAGATATTTTTATGTTGAAATGCTTTGAAGAGTTTAGAAGAAAGGTGCCAGTCAAGCCAATGCTAGAAACAGAGATTAATTTTTATTTCCTCACACATTTACTTCTATCCTGCTGTGCCTTGTAAACTGAACATTTTCATATTTTTCTCCTTCGCAAAATACAAACTGTTCCAACAGTTCTCTGCCTCAAACCTGAAGTGTTTTATGCCATCCTTGGTAGGTTGTGAGAGATATTTTGGAAGCACCTTTTTAGAAGCTCTGTTAATTGAAACTATTCCTCAAGCTTTGCAATAAATGCAGAAAGTTTCAGTGCTCCCTCACATCCTGGAAGCTGACTGTAGCCTGTAGAGGGCTACTGGGTTAAGCCCTCTACAAAGGTGACGATAGAGTCCAGTTCAGGAAGCCATCTTCTGGCCAGGTAGGGTGGACATGGGCACACTGGAGCCAGAGGGAGGTCAAAAGAGGGTAGTGAGTGTAGGGGCCAGAAATGATTATCCAAGAGTAAATTGAGGTCCAGAAGCTGTTCAGAGGCACAGGAGCCCTTTTTCATCTTGTCTTTGTTCCTGTTGATAGTGAATATACAGCAGCTGTCTTGAAGATGGAGAAGGAAAGTGAGGGGTGCTGACTGAGAAACTGCCTTACAGACCTCCTTCCTCTCTCCATCTACCTCTAAGTCAAATGAAAAGGAATCCAGTGAAATTCTCCCAGCTCCCTTAATAAAGATGACTCTCCAGCTCTCATCTTGCTAGGAGAATGTTCCACTTCTTTTTCCACAAATAAAAATAATTTATGTTTGTACAGTGCTTAATTTCAAGAAATTTCATAGATATTATTTCATTTGAGGAAGGAGAGAATTGGGGCTGGGTTAGGCCACACAAGCCTGGCTCAATGTCAAGTATTTCCTAAATGGAGACAGAGGTCTGACTCTAAGCTTTATATATGACACTGGTTAGATTTTAGAGTTTTTTAGTTTTTTGAGTTGTGGTGGGAGAAGCACTATAATCATTATTAATATAGCCACCATGAAACATAGATTTAAAATTCTGCTCTGCTAGTTTGAGGTAGCATTAAGATCAGTAGAATGATTTTGAAGGTTTCTGCTTATCAAAGAAATGTTTAAAGAAGAAGAAGTGTGGGTGTGGTGGCTCACACCTGTAATCCCAGCACTTTGGGAGGCTGAGGCGGGTGTATCACCTGAGGTCAGGAGTTTGAGACCAGCCTGGCCAACGTGGTGAAATCCCCTCTCTACTAAAAGTACAAACATTAGCCAGGTGTGGTGGCACACACCTGTAGTCCTAGCTGATTGGGAGCCTGAGGCAGGAGGATCACTTGAACCCAAGAGGCAGAGTTTGCAGTGAGCTGAGATCACACCACTGTACCCGAGCCTGGTTGACAGAGTGAGACTCCATCTAAAAAAAAAAAGAAAAGAAAATATCTATTTCAAACATCTTTAACAAACAATTTTAAGGTATCTAGGCTGTCTAAACATTTATTCTAAAGTTCTCTCTACGAAAAACAATCTAGACTTTATAAAAGATTAGTAAATCTAACCTATTATAAAAATAGTTAAGTTTATAATACCAAGTTAAATTTTTTAGGATCTATATGTGCTTTTTATGATTGGGACACTTGCATTAAGAATAGTACTGCTTATACAGATTTTATTAAAGAATTAGACTTATTTCACTACTTTATTTCAAAGATTGATAATACTTTTATTTTGGTGTATTTTTGGCCATATAGAGGATTAATTTAATGGTAAGTTTTAGTCAGAAAACCAACCTTCTATCATATTGTCCTTATAGGAAAATACAATGAACGATATCATGTTGTACTCTTTGATAACATAGTTTTCTAGGAATATTCTGGGTAAAATGGTTTAAATAATTTGGGAGTAAATTTCTTTTGCTGAAGCTTTTAATTTCAACTACTCATGCAGCAAAATATTTTGCCAAAGTCCAATGACTTTCAAGTTTAATAGTGGCATTAGGTAAAGCTGAAAATAGGCCTATATTTTGTGAACATAATCACATTATGACTGAACCTCCTTAGACTTCCTTCCCTAGCCTTGTGGCCAGGATATAATTGCATCCGTCATGGGCCATAAGTCCCAGTGCAATGACGGGTAATTGATTTTGATGTGGAGGTTGAGGGGTGAGAGAGGGAGGGCTCCTCCCACACCACATTGCAAGCCTTCCTAAAAATCACCCAGACATCTTTGATGTCCTGAAATCCCTTTCCCCATTACAGCTGACTCCTTCCCAGTAACTCAGGCTTCCTCACTTAGATGCCTATGCATGATTCTGCTCCTGGACAGGGTCATGTGTTGAGGCAGGCATCTTATGGAGAGAAGGATGTGATGGAGCACTGAGCTTCTCAGGGCTGAGGGTCTGGTATCTGACTCCCCAACATCATATATTGTTGGTCACTAGCAGCGGAACTGTG
Source organism: Homo sapiens (assembly GCF_000001405.40). Taxonomy (NCBI): domain Eukaryota; kingdom Metazoa; phylum Chordata; class Mammalia; order Primates; family Hominidae; genus Homo; species Homo sapiens. Next base: position 123,132 of record NW_018654714.1, read on the forward strand.
GCGTCTTCACTAGAGCAGTCCCTCTATATGCTGTGCCTTGGTTCCTGGCTTCATCTTTGCCCAACTCTATTGTCCTCCTACAGATTCTGTGGGTCTTTCCCTAATAAATGATTTTTTCTGTTTAAATAACTCTGAAGGGATGTAAGTTTTAAAAAAGCCACCAAAATTCTCATTGACCCTGTTAACTTCAACTTTACTTCTAAGCCAGTTCTTAGCCTTTCCAAGTACTTTACTAGTCTTCCCATCTCAGAATTTCCCAATGTACAGGAAAGAGAGCCAGAGGGCAGTTCAGCAAAACAAAATCACAGCCACCTCGGGATCCCCAATTTGTCCAGGGACAACAACAGTAGCAAAGATACGAGGTCTTGGAGAGAAACCCTCCCAGAACCCACACAAGCAGAGGTGGAAAAGGTAGACTGGAAACCTGGTTTCTTCTTTTCCTGCTGTTCCAACCAGCAAGCCCCTTGCCCAGGCCCTACCAAATATATACCCATTTTTCTTCCAAGGTGTGTCCTTTCAAGGTATGGGGCCTGCAGTATAAAGCTAGTGATTTTCTTTGCTTAGAACAGCTCTGGGACTTCTGCACTGATTCTGCCTACCGGAAAACATCTGCTATTAATAATGCCCTACTAATAGTAGCTAACAGTGCCAGGCACTGTTCTAAGCATATTTCCTATATTAGCTGTGATTATCACAACCCTGTGAGGCAGGTGCTAATGTCAACTCCAGCTTATCCACTGAAGACTCAGAGGCCCAGAGAGGTTAGAGGAACTTGTCCAAGGTCACAGTCAGGAACTTCAGGGGTCAGAATCCAGATCCAGGTAGCCTGGCTCAATGCCCCTGTGCTACGGCACTGCCACTTTTCTCTCCGAGGCCCAGCCCTGCCTCTACAGGTGCTGTGCTCCAGCAACGTTCAGGTGAGGCACTTTACTTTTCCCTTTGTGATGTGTGCTTTAATGATAATGAGACAAGATGGATTAAATTCACTTTCATGATTGTTTCCCAGAAGGCAGCAACTGCTTTCGGGAGCAGCTGAAGGCTGGAGATAACATGGACCTCCATGGTGAGTCAGTAAGACCCATCAATCAGGCACAGCCAGGGGAGGAGGCAGACACTGCAGGGAAGATGGCCACCAGGAGCAGCTGAGGGATCCAACTGCTGGATTAAGGGAGATTGTGTGGTTAGGAGGCCTCCCCTCCCATTGTAAGATGAAGGAGGTACATTTGTCCATTGTCAGGAGGATCATAGAAAATCTTAATCTCCACTATGTGGGACTGGTACTTCAGAAGCTCCAGGCAAAGACTTAAGTCATTAATAGGCTTAATATAAAGGCTTAGCTGTTACCTACAACTCAAATATCTTGGAGAAATGTTGCCCCCCAAAGGGCTACACAAATATTACTTCTCTAAGTGAGCCTCAGCTTAGATGTGGGAAATGGTCTTATATGCAGAGAAATTTCATTAAATTTTAATAAGTATTTTTCCACATTTACTTCACCTTTTCTTTTTTCCTTCTGGATAGTGGTGTTCTAGTTCCCTCCCTACAGCCCCCTTTTAACTGTCCACTTGTCCAGTTACCCACCTTCTGTAGGAAGTATTCATTGACTGGGAACTGCAAACTCGGTGATCTAGCCACTTCCCCTCAGTTGAAAGTTGCTATGTCAAGAAAAAGAACCTGTGCAATTAGAATAATTGGAACTTTCCTACCTTAAAGATGTTCATATACCTGGGTTCTAAGCATGGGAGATAGTAGTGGTAAATAATGTATGAGCTCTCTGAGGAGGTAGGTGAAGATGAGATCTGGAACTCAAGGAGGGTTAAATTTAAGCAGAAGCAGGGTAGCCTCTTCCACTGTGAAGGACTGGAGTAATGATTAGAGGGCGGTGACTGTCAACCTTGACTACACCTTAGAATCACCTAAAGGGAGTTGTTGAAAACCCCAATGCCTGACTTACACCAAGACCAAGTGATATAATTAGGCTTTGTGTCCCCACCCAAATCTCATCTTGAATTGTAATCCCCCAAATCCGCATAATCTCTCCAAGGGAGGGACCAGATGGAGATAATTGAACCATGGGGGTGGTTTCCCCCATGCTGTTCTCGTGATAGTGAGTGTGTTCTCCCAAGATCTGATGGTTTTATAAGGGGCTCTTTCCTCTTCTCTTGGCACTTCTTCCTGCCACCTTATGAAGAAGATGCCTGCTGCTTCCCCTTCACCTTCCACCATGATTGCACATTTCCTGAGGCCTCTCCACCCACGCTGGACTGTGAGTCAAATAAACCTCTTTTTTTTTTTTTTTTTTTTTGCAAATTACCCAGTCTTGGGCAGCTCTTTATAGCAGTATGAAAATGGAATAATACACTAAGCAAATCAGAATCTCTGGTGTCAGGCTCAGACTTCAGTAGTTTTAAAGGTCTTTGGGTGATTCCAGTATGCAGCCAAGGAAGGAGCCCACTGATATAGCAGTATAGCAGGGCAGCAGAGGATGAGGCCCGTCTGAGTTTGGATCCTACAGAATTATAGTGGCCCTGTTATAGAGTAATGAGATTTGTCTTCAGAAGTATTGAGCACTCACAGATTTGTATTAGAGATGTCAGAAAATCGGATTGAGGTTTGTAAATTGGGTGTGTAGAACACAGACAATGGAGTTGAGAGTGTTGGCTCAAATAATTAAACATTAGTCTGAGAGATCTTGATTTTGAAAGAAAGTGAAGGAGCTTCATTTAGGTGGCACACAGGTGGAGAGAACATCTGGGCCAAAGGATTGAAGCTGTTGATGAAGGTGACAAGGGATGGTCTCAGAGCAAATAAATGAGAGCTGGGAAGTAAGAGGCTGTGGTGAAGAGAGGATTTGGTGAGGCATTGTTTTCAGACCCATGATGGGATTTGTTATAGAAAGACAGCTCGAATTAATGATGGTCCAGTTGAAGGGTTACAGAAAAAATTTATTCCATGCACACTGTCTTACATATCATTTTGGGACTGTGTGTATTGATTATGTTTTTTATTTTCTATGTTTTATGATGCTTCAACATCTTGGAGGCCTTGTTGGCTGGGAGAGACTGCTCCTGTCAGTGCTAACTAGTTCCTAGGTATGCAAACATCTTTAAGAAGGGAAAGTTCCCATTGTTTTAACTGCATAGATTCTGTCCCTATGAAGTGGCAACTTTCAGCTGAAGGGAAGTGGCTAGATCACCAAGAGTTTGCAGTTCCTGGTAAATGAATACTTTCCCAGGCTTTGGGATAACTGGACAAGTGGGAATTTAGAAGAAGGGGCAAATGTGTCCCCTGTGAGAATGTCATTAAGATGCAAACCAACCAATCCAGAGCTCATATACTCAGTCACCTCCTTTATCTAACTCTCACATGCCAAGTCAACATTTTCCCCACCCTAATCACCCCAGGGTGAGGTCTTGGACTACTAGATACCACGCATGTCATCCAGAGCCTGCTGAAATTATTCAAACTATCCTATCTTAGACTTCCTTAAGTTTTCTACTCCACTCACTCATTTCTTCCCATAGAAACCACAATCAAGTCTCTCGGGCATGGTCTTCCCTTTCTTTTTCTGTCTCCTGACAGAAAGAGACAGTATGCCTCTCCACGTGGCCCTGCATGACACAGCTTGCCTCCCCCTCTTAGGAACTGTGAGTAATAAACTGTTCTTTCAAAGGCAGCTGTTTCTGTGTCTGTCACTTTACCCTACCTGATTAAAACAAATCTGGGTACAAATCTTGAAACAGTGTTAAATATTTCAGCATTTAAAATGAAAGACAATGTTATTTCCCATTCCAGCAGTTGATTACACAGATTTGAATGGCTTCTCTGTGTTCTTTTAACCCTGGATGGAGTGTGGCAGTCATTATATGATCTCTGGCTAGACAGCATTTCTGTATGTGTGTTTTGTTGTTTGGTCAGTAGACCTTTGCACATGCACCGCTGAGGTTTGTACAGGTGAATTCAGTACTTTCTGGGTTGGAGTAGGCATCTTAAAAGCCATCTTTGGCTCCAGTCATACTATTCTAGAAATCGCAGTATCATTTTGGCACTGTTGATTACTCCATCCTTGAAATTCCCTTTCTTGGTTTCCATGACACCACAATATGTTTGATTTTCTTCTACTTCTCTGATTGCTCTTTTAAAAAAAACTCCGTTGGGTATTCCCCTTCCTCTGCCTATCCTGTATTTTTATTTGAAAAGCATTTATTGAATAACTGACACATACATGTATGTAAGGAAGGTATTCGATGAAAAACGTAGGTTTATCCCACCTCTATTCCCCAGTCTCCAAACTTTTACTTTGGCAGAAATATGTGTGTCTTTATCTGCGTGTATACATGCACACGTAGAGAACACATAGGAAATATACAGACACATACATGCACATACAATTATATAAGTGTGTGTATATATATATATGTGTATATATGTGTGTGTATATATATGTGTATATATATGTGTGTGTATGTATGTGTGTATATATATATATATATATTTGTTTGAGATGGAGTTTCGCTCTTGTTGCCCAGGCTGGAGTGCAACGGTGCAATCTCTGCTCACCGCAACCTCCACCTCCTGGGTTCAAGCGATTATCGTGCCTCAGCCTCCCAAGTAGCTAGGATTACAGGCATGTGTCACCACACCTGACTAATTTTGTATTTTTAGTAGAGATGGGGTTTCTCCATGTTGGTGAGGCTGGTCTTGAACTCCCGACCTCAGGTGATTGGCCTGCCGTGGCCTCCCAAAGTGCTGGGATTACAGGCATGAGCCACTGCACCCAGCTACAATTAAATATTTTTGCTCATAAATGCTAGCATACCATAAACCTTGATTTATTTACTCATTCATTCAACAATTTTTTAAGACTCTATTCCATGCCAGACACTGATAGGAACTGGGAATACCATGGTGAGTGAAGCAGATGGCCTTTCACAGAGTTTATGTTGGAAGGAATGGGCAATTAGCAGTAGAAATGCAAGTAAGATGATTTCCAGTAATGACAGATGATTAGACATTAAAGCATGATAATGTGAGAGGGGGTGGAGAGGCAACATTACATGGGGTGTTCAACGAAGGCCTCTTTGAGGAGTCAATATTTGAGTTGAGACAGCATCTGAATGACAAAAAGCCAGATTGGGAAGATCTATGGGAAGAGCATTCCAGGAGTGGAAATAACAAGGGAAAATGTGAGATGTGCCAGAAGACAAGAGTAGAATGAGGGATGACTCCTTAATACACATAATCACATGCTTTGCTTTTTTCATTTAACAACTTTTATGAGACCTGGTTCCACACCTGCCATAGATAAAACTGTTTCATTCTTCTCAGCAGCTGCATAGAATTCCATCACAGGGATAAACCAAAATGCATTTAATTGGTCACATATTGATTGATATTTAAGAAATTACTAGATTTTTGATAATCCAAGTAACGCTGACATGAATATTTTTGAACATTCATATTTTCCCACAAAGCAAATAAATTTGTAGGGTCAAACCCTGGAAGTACATTGAAACAAATAATACATGCCATTTATTTTAATTAATATCATCCACTTTCCCTGTATAGAAATTGTATACATTTATACTCTCATTAATAACATACAAGAGAGCCTGTTTCACCTTCCTGCTCTGTGTTAGTCATCTTTCAGTGTTGTTAATTTGACAACTTTATAATTTTATTTTGCTTTCTCTTATGAATGAGATTGAAACCTTTCCGCTGTGTAAGGGCTATTTACATTTCCTTTTCTACAAACAGTCTATTCATAACTTTGCCCATTTTTTGGAGTTATCTTTTTCTTATTAATCGTTAAGAGCTCTATATGTATTAATGAAATGAGCCTCTTTCATTCATTACATGTGAATTTCCAAGTTTCTCTTTTCTCTTTTTGGTTTGCTTAAAGCGGCATCCCATGGAGAAAGCTTTGGGTTATTTTTTACATAATAAATTTCATGTTTTGTGTTATGCTTAGAAAGTCAGTTCATTTTTTTAATGTTAATGCTCCTTGTCTTATCTTGAAGCTGCTCTTCTAACTGCACTTGCTCATTCTGGGAGATCTCGGCCATGCAAATCTCAGATATGCTGGTGACTTCTACCAGCTATGCCAGTTTTTAACATGCTGGTGACTTCTACCAGCCATGCCAATCTCTAACATGCTGGTGAATTCTATCAGCCATGCCAGTCTCTAACATCGGCATTTCTCTACCCAGATTCTCCTGACGCACATCACATAGACTGCTGAGTGTGCTACCCCTTGTCAACATAATCAACAGTGAACTCATCAACTCCACCTTGTCCTTCCCTCACACTGGTTGCTTTCCTTGTGCTCTCCATCTCAGTGAGCCCAATATATCATCTTTTCCAGGACAGAAACCTATCTGTCATCCCTTACAAGGCTTGCAAGACCTGGTTTCTATTTGTTCCTCTAGCACAACCTCTTAATATTTGCAACACACACAGCATCTCTCCCACCCACCTCATCACTACCAATAATTTGCATAGGTGCTAGGAATACAGTGGCATCTTGATCACTGTTGAATTCTTAACTGTCTAGTTCTTGGCATGGAATTCAATCAACAAGTATTTATTGCAAATATGGATGAATAAATAAATTCTGGAATTTTCCTAGTATAACTTACATTTGTACTTAAGTTTTGTGCCAATTTGTGCTCTTTGACATACTCGCATATGTTAGTGTAACATTGTTTAGAAACAGTTATGTCAAGTGAATTTATTTGCTCATTAATTTTTACAAGACAGTGCGGATTATTATTCTTCCTCTTAATGTCTCTTTACTTTATCAATGACAGTAAGGTTTCCTTCAAGCTACTGGGGGATTAAAATGCTTTGTGTAATGCTACTCTCTTTTTTGGAGGGAGGGGAAGTTTCACTCTTGTTGCCCAGGCTGGAGTGTGCAGTGGCACAATCTCGGCTCACTGCAACCTCTGTCTCTTGGGTTCAAGGGATTCTCGTGCCTCAGCCTCCCGAATAGCTGTGATCCCAGCTATTCAAGGGAAGAGTGGAGGATGGGGCAACCTCTGGGAGGCTTTCTCTTTCCTGGATGCAGTCCTTGAGTCCCCTTGTTGGCTTTCCCCATGCAGACCCCTCATGATGGGGAAAACTCTACGGAGCGGAGCGGCCCCCTCTGCCTGGTACGGGCCTGCCATCAGAGCTCGCGCAGATCCCCGCCTGGAGCTTGGCCTGGCCGCCGGCGCCCCAGCACCCTGCTCAGGGCGGCGGTGATCTCGCGGTTGCGCAGGCTGTAGATGAGTGGGCACAGCAGCGGCGTGACGTTGGTGTAGACCAGCGCCAGGGTGCGGTCCAGGCGCGGGGAGTAGCTGGCCCTGGGCCGCACGTACATGAAGGTGGCGCAGCCGTAGTGCAGGAAGGTGACTGCCAGGTGCAAGGCGCAGGTGGAGGCGGCCTTGCCCCGGCCTTTGGGGCAGCGCAGGCGGCGCAGGGCGGCGGCGATGGCGCCATAGGAGGCCAGGATGAGCACCGAGGGCAGCAGCAGCAGCACCAGGCAGGCGCCCAGCAGAGGCAGCTCGTCGGCGTAGCTCCGCGTGCAGGCCAGGTGCAGCAGCGCCGTGATGTCGCAGAAGAAGTGCAGCAGCAGGCGGGAGCCGCAGAAAGGCAGGTGGAAGATGGCCACCGTGAGCCCCACGGACACCGCCAGTCCCCTGAGGCAGCAGGCCAGAGCCAGTCGCGCGCACAGCCCGGGGGTCACCACGGCCGCGTAGCGCAACGGGTGGCAGATGGCCACGTAGCGGTCATAGGCCATGGCGGCCAGCAGGAAGCACTCGGCCCCGCCCAGAGCCACAAACATCTGCATCTGAAAGGCGCAGCTCAGGAAGGAGATAGGGCTGCCCCTGCGGTGGCCCCGGCGTGCTCAGGTCGACCAGGGAGCGGGGCACCACCACCAGCGTGTAGCACAGCTCGATGGCTGACAGCTGGCACAGGAAGAGCAGCATGGGCTGCCGGCTTGGCATCGAGGCCACGGCCACCAGGATGAGCAGGTTCCCGCCCAGGGTGGCCAGGTGCACCCCCAGCAGCAAAAGGAAGAGCACGGGTCTCAGGTGCGGGAATTCGGAGAAGCCTTGAAGGAGAAAGCCACAGGGCACGGTGGCATTGCTGGGACTGTCCATGCACGAGCCCGCCCACAGGCACCTGTAGAAGAGAGGCACAGGAGGGCAGAGCTTGTCGGGTACGCATGCTCTGGCCCTGCGCGTGGAGGAGGAGTCGGGTGGAAGGTAGAGGCTGGACCAGGAATGGTGGCTGCAGAGAGGTCGCAACAGTTCATGGGTCCATTCCCAGCCCACCACCCCCAGTCCTCCTCACAAGGAAGTCTTACTGACTTGTTCAGAAAAAGAGTGCAGTTTTTGCTGCCTCCTGGACAAGAATTCCTATAGCTGCCCTCTCAACGTGCTCTTTCAAAAGAAGCCTGGGTTTTAGCTCATGTGCCTCTATAGTCCAGTTATTATTTTGTGGGTCCTATAGGGCTGTGAGTATAGTGTCTGCTGCAGTCTTGAGACCACCATGGCAGGAAATGTCTTTAGTTCCCGCTTCTGTCTTCTCCTGCCTGCCCTGTTCTGTCATTTCTAAGTTGCCTTCTGTGATGTATCACAGAATCACAAAAACACAATGCAGGTGAGGGCCTTAGGGATCATCTCATGTAACTTCCTAATTTTAAGGAGGAAAATAAAGTTCAGGTTGGAGGGAAAGGGGATTGTTGAAGGACGTATTGCTCACAGGAAGTTAGGAACGGAATCTGCATTCTGAGGCTGAATCCAAAACTTTCTATGACCCAGGTCCTGAAAAAAGGTCACTCAGGTCAAGATAATCCACATTTGTTTAGTTTTAAGTAGACACCCAGATCTGTGCCAGGCTCTGGGGCAGGCACTAAAGCAGCAGAACATGCTTTGTGGGAGGGCTTCCCTGGGTGCATCAGGAACAATATGTCCCTAACATTTTTATTAATGCTTTGTCAACGTGAGAAAAGGGACGTGTATTTGTTCTAACTTGACTTTTAGTTAGCAGTACATTCCAAATTTGCCATCAGAACACAGTTTCGTTCTAAGCATTATACGGTGACTCATTTGCAAGTAACATTTGGAAAACAGTGACAGTGTGCAGGTCAGCTGCATTTCTCATAATCCTTTGGGATGGAAGAACCAGGAGGTGGAAAGAGATTTGAGGTCATGCAAGCTGGAGGAGGAGGTTTAATTTTTCCAATCGATATTAATGAGCTCTCTCTTTTATTAATTTTTAATTTTAAATGTAAGCTCAACTATTTGCTCTTAAAATCACTGTTAATCAATGTTGGAAGTGGAATTTCTTCATAGTTGTTATATCCTAGAGTAAAAGAGCAATAAACCTGGGTCAAAGGGCAACAGGAAAATCAGATGAAAGAACTGGAAGGAATGCAAAGAGTTGGGCTTTTGCTAATACTTTTTTTTTTTTTTTTTTTTTTGAGACAAGGTCTCAGACTGCTGCCCAGTCTGGAGTGCAATGGCACCATGATGGCTCACTGCAGCTTCGAACCCCCCAGCTAAAGAAATCCTCCCACTCCAGTATCCTGAGTAGCTGGGACTACAGGCACACACCACCATGCCCAGCTAACATGATGGGGTTTCACCCTGTTGCCCAGGCTGATCTCAAACTACTGAGCTCAACAATCCATCTGCCTTGGACTCCTAAAGTGCTGGGATTACAGGTGTGAGCCACCATGCCCTGCAAAATACCTCTTTTTGAGAGGAGAATTCTAAGGGTTTTTATTTCTCCGTGTCACTCTGTGCTCTTCCTCATCCTATCTGAGGGCAGCACTTTCAAATGGATGTTTTCAGTCTTCTAATGGAAGAGTAGGGTTGGGTTTTGGGTAGGTCTGAGGGAGGTGGATTCATTTCCCATCTGTTTTAGATCATTCACTTTTCAGTTTTTGGCCACCCTTCATGCTGTTGAGCAAATGTAACAAACCTGTGTTGAGTGCCTCCTCTTCGCCAATTATTGTTTGCTATGAACATGAGAGAGATGCCTGGCTTTCTTGGAGGATTCCTGAAGTGCCAGGACAACTCTCTTCTCTCCGCCTCTGCTCTGTTCTCTACTTCTTCCTCTTCATCTCCTTAGAGAAGCGTGATGAGCACAAGGGAATGCAGAAGAAAAAAAAAAAAACAGAAATATTCCAGTTCTTCCTCCAGGTTCATACCACACAGAAATGTAAATGACAAGCAAATCCCATTGATGGCACCAATACCTAGCAGCTCAAGGTACATCGTGTTTTAAAAACATTTGTGTGGAAGTTAAAACAAGTTGAACTCAGAAGAAGTAAAAAGCAGAACAGAGGATAGTAGGGGTTGGGAGGTAGGGGGAAGGGGGCTAGGAACAGATCCTTTGTTAAAGGATACAAAATTACAGCTAAATAGAATTTCTTATGTTCTACAGCATTGGAGGATGACTGTGATTAACAATTTTATATAGTTTCAAATAGTTGGAAGGAGGATATTGAATGTTCGCAACACAAATAAATGATACATGCTTGAGATGATGGATATACAATATCACTATACATTATATGTATCAAAACATCACTAAGTTCCCCATAAAAATGTGTAATTATTTGTCAATTACACAATAAAATTTAAAAAAAGTGCTCTAAAGCAAGTCAAAGGGGCTAATTAAATGGAAAAGAGACTAAGGCGTGTTTCTGCTCTTAGAGTTTTTAGGAGGTATTGTCACAAATTCTAGGAATGTATGTTTCAGTCTTTTCTCTGGGAGAGGGAGGGAGAACAGATACTTTCAAAGCTTCAGTGATTCAAATCCAACTCTACCCTAGGAGGAGAAGTTACAGAGAGAGAAGAAAACACCACAAGGCCTGCCTAAGCCACCTTCCTCCCCCAGGGAGAAAGCAGATGTTCTTACTCTTCCGAGTGATGAATAACATCAGCTATAACAGCTAACATTTAAGAGACTGCCAGGCAATGCTCACGAGGACTTTGCAAATTTAATTTAACTTATTCTTAGTGACAGTGCAATAAGGTTAGTGGACTCTCTCCATACCCATGTTATAGATGAGGAAATTGAGGCCTAAGGAAATGAAACATCATCTAGCTAATTAACAGTATAGCCAGATTTATACCCAAGCAATCTAGCCCCCAATAGTCCATAGTCTTATCCACTATATAGTCGTCCTTATTTATACCTTTTCCAAAACATCCTTCCCTCATGAGACACATCTTACCCTTCTTTTCATATACCCCACCTTCTGCAGAAGAGAAATCACCCACGGTCTCTAGGCATTTCTGTCCTCAGATTTCCCTTTGTTGACATTTTTCTTGAGGACATGTGGATGTGAGCAGCAATGCAGATAATCTAAGATAGCAAATCTAAAAATAATTTCTCCTTAGCTTTGACATTCATTGCTGCTATTGTTATTGTTCCGGCAGATTCACTTTTTTAATTGGGTAAGACTCCATGGAGCACCCACAGAGTCATGGCTGGCTGGTGGCCCAGGACATCTGGATGTGGCTGAGAGCCTTGCTGGGCTGGAGATGCAGATCTGAGATTTGATTTTTTGCTGTATAGAATAATTAAAATTATCTGCAATCATGATGTTTTTAATCGGCCATTTCAAGAGTCAATGGAAGCACCCCTAAAGGGTGGATGTGGGATGGGAGATGTGAGAGCTAGACCAGTCAGCCCCTTTCAGGTTTTGAGGATTCCATAGAATGCTGAACTGGAATGGAGCTTAAAGGTCAAACATTCTAGGCCTTCATGTGAGGTCCAGAGATGTCACTAATCAGACTTGGATCTCACCATGGTCTTTTAGCAGGAGAACTGGACTAGAGCCTGGTTCTCACACCTCTGGCTGAATGGTTCCATTTCTGTAAGAATTGTCTTCCAGAGTAGACCTGAGCTTACTGATCTAGTATTATAGTTTACAAAATCACCAAATGAGAGGTCACAGCAGAATTTTATCATTGTCCTATAGTAGTTTAGGATAAAATTTTATCATTTCCCTGATCTGGTAAGAAGTTAAACTTAGAAGATTATGAATATGCCTGGATTTCTTAACCTCATTTAATAACTCTTCATAGGCTTCTGGTCTATGAATTTATATAAATTATTCTGGAACCCACTTTTATCCAGTGATTCCTTTTAGGAATAACACACTATACATTCATTTTTTTTTTTTAGCCTTAGTCCTTAGTGAAGTAAAAGGAGTCTCCATAGTTTATATTTCTGCTTTGTTGTTTATAGTTTATATTTCTGCTTTGTTGTTTTCTGAATGCTTGATGTGGGGAAGGGGCAAGGTAATAAACTCTTCCAAAGTCTCAGACTCCTCACTGATTCAACAGAGGGTAACAAAAGAGGCTTGATGATGGATGATTCCATAGAAATAACATGTACAAATTTCTGGTACAGACCTGATACATAGTAGGTGCAGAAAAACACTGAAAGCATTTTTACTTTTATCCTTTATTACTTGACAGGCTTAAGTCATATTTTCTCTGAGTATTCTCCCTCCCACCATGGAACTCTCCATAAGCGTGCTGTTTCAGGGGATTACCTAGTGCCTTTTCTCTTTCTGAGGTGCAAGAAGTAAAGTGAGTGTATATCTGGGTGTGGGAACCTTATGAGGAGATGAGTAGACATAGATGTAGGGAAGTCTGTCTATCTGTCTGTCTGTCTTCTATCTATCCACCTATTTCTATCTTTCCACTTATTTTCCCTCCTGCACTTCCTACTGTCTTTCTGAGACTGTACAAGCTATGGAAGAAGACATCACTAGATTAAAATCCTGGCTTAATCACTTATGTGCCATATTGACTTTGGTTGATGTACTCAATTTCCATGATCCTCAGTCTCTACATCTAAATGGAGATAATGATGCCTAATTCATAGGGTTGCTGTGAGAATCAGGCATATTATAAAGAAAGCCCATTACATAGTACCAGGCATGAAGAAGCTAACAAAAGGTGGTTTCTAATCATTTCATTTGACTACTCTGTCTTCTACAATGTCATGTCAGTCTTTGTGCTCCCTCTGCATAGCAGCCGACAACTGCAATTACTGTAATGCCTCCTTTCCCTACATCATACAGGCCTTTTTCTTGGTTTATGACAGATAACTTGAAAATAATTAATTTACATATATTTGCATTATATATGTTAAATTTAAATTTATTTTATAAAAGAAAACTCATTTACTATTCTTCTTGTTTTTTTTTTGCTGTCATGCAAACTTCCACATTTTTTAGTGTTTTTTTTTTTCCTCATCAATTTGGTAATTCCTTTACTGAAAGGAGGTAAATGTCATCTCTGGATTTATCAACTTCACTGTGTTGTCCCTCCCCAACCTTTTATGATCTCAGCCTCCATCGCTGGGATATGTGTTATTTGCCTGCATGGTGTTTCTGTCTTGTGAGCCAGTTCCTTTTACATGATAAAGCCGCCTACTGAATCTGTGATGACTAAATTTGGTATGAGATCTTGTCAAGGTCTTTTGAAAGTCTAAATAAAAGAAACCCTCTGTTAGTTTCTTGTTGGCTTCTTTCTCTCTCAAAAGCATTTAACTATTAACAGATTCAATAGGGAATGTTTTCCTTACACAAACATTCTTGCTTTTCCCCCTTTATGGTGTTTTCTGAAGTGTTTAGTGATCCTGCACGTTATACAAATGAGATATCCTGGGTAGCTGTGGCATCAGCCCTGGAGCCCTTCTTTAACATGATGGTTACATGGGCAGTCTTTTAGTCTGCTAGTTCTGGGTCAGTATGCGACCTTTGTTTTTGCCTTTTGACCAACACGTTCCCCTCAAGCTTCCTGACAAGTCATAATTACCAGTCTCGGCAACATGTGCACCTGTGTTTAGACCTCCTGAATAGTTGCCACTGCCAGTTCTCTTTTCTGCAGAAGTCAATGATGGGATCAGGGCTTTGAGGAAAGCATCATTTCAGGCTCCCTGGTCTCTTTTATTTTCATCTGGAGAGGAGCTTTGAACCAGGAAAATCTAGGAGTCCTGCTGATATTAGAGCTGACTTTGATGCTTAAAAAAAAAAAAAATTCCTTACTTCAATGAGGCAGTACCCGTTTTAACTAATGTCTGTAACTCAGGCTTCTGCCAGAGGACGAGGGATAAGCTTCAAAAATGAGCACTTGAATGTTCCACATCAAAATTATCTGGTGGAGGGACTGTCCCAGTTCTGGTGCTGTGAAGGTCAACTTCATCACACATAGATGCATGATATTGTACTTTCACATTTTGAAAACGACCCTAGGCCTGAGGATTAGTTACTTTATCTACTTGAGAAATATTAGCATTTAATAGGGAAGCTAGTTTGTTTTCAAAATTTGTTTCTAAAAATAACTATCATTTTCCATGAAGTTGATTTTAGTAGACTTGAACATACTTTAAACTTCTAAACATCATTTTGTGCTACAAAACAGCAAGTGATCTCCCTCGAAAACCCAGCAAGACCCTCCTTCTAAAAGATGTTTTTCTGTTTCTTGCTGGCCATAGATGAGAGCTGGAATGAAGTACCAGGGCAAGGGAGCTGCCTGGATGAGGAAACCAAGGCTATCTCAGTACTGCCAAGGTGTTTTCATCATTCATCAAAATGCAAAAGTAAACACTGGTGAGAAAAACGATGTTGATCTCCCAGGCAAGCCACTTTCCAGGAGTGTGGCTGATTATTTTCAAATGCTGCATCGGAAAGTTGCAGGCCCCTTGGAAAATCTGTCACCCCTGAGAGTGATGTGAGTGATTTTGGCTTCGGGGGCTCTTTCCAACGGGATCATTTCCCTGCCATCCAATTGCCTGCCTTAGTGTTTCCAGAATAGATCCCTGTGGTTGCTGAGAAAGAGCAATAAATGCCTAAATGATTCAGGAGGCCCGAGGCTGGGCTCTGAGGGGGGCCCAGTCTCATCAGTGGGGAGTCTCTTCAGTGGCGGATCCTGTTATTGATGTGGTCTGGGGCCTGGGGATTTTGTTCTTTGACCAAGACAAAGGAGTAATACATGGAGACTTTCCTTCCTAGGCTTTGTCTGAGGTCAAATATTTGTTCTCCCATGGAGCTGAAAAATAATCAAGGATATCATCTTCTTGAATATTCTCTATTCTGCTTCTAAGAGTTGAAGAAATAATATTTTCCTCAATTCTATTTTTACAGATTATTCTACAGAAACAACACATCACTGGATGCCTCTCACCATGCAATCCTCTGTGCACTTGAGAAGAAGACAAGACTCTCCTATTTTTAGATGGGAAAGCTGAGGCAAAACGGATGCACTTGGGCAAAATCATTTGATAAAAATGGAAGCTGAACCTCCAAGTCCTGGCATCGGTAGCTGCCTCATGTTCCTCCCGCCTCACTCCACCTCAGTGTACCCGCGACTGGAGGGTGCCACAGGCTGGAGCACACAAAACACTGTGTGCTTCGTGATTCTGATGTGGGGCGCCAGATCCGGTGGAAGGAGGGTGGCTGCGTGGGAACAGATGCTCGTGTCACAAGGAGTTGTCTCTTGTGGGCAAAGCAAGCTGGAAAGTGTTTCGATTTCTTTATTTTCATGCTCTACTCTTGGTGCTTCCTTCTCCTTTGCCCACCAATCCCCCCAATGCCAGGCTTCTCCTTACCTGGGTGCAGAGAGAGGAACAACTTGGAGGTGGGCAGAGAGGGACTCAGTTCATGGTGCTTGGAGGTGGGAGAGCTCCCAGGCAAAATAGAGAGGAGACTGTGGAGATGCCGTGGGCAGGTGTGGAGGAGAGGGAGAGCTTGAACGGTGAAAAACAAGAGATGGAGAGTCTGGGAGAAGGGTGAGCAGCCAGAATGGGGATTTCCACAGTAGCTTCTGATGAGCTATGTCTGGTCAGAACTATAACCTTAGCTTCCTTTATTTCCCTGGAGGGGTGGGGAGATAGGAAGGAGAGGAGTATACTAGTCTCTTCCAAAGGGAGGGCCAGAGCAAAAGCGTCCTGTGATTAATTACTCACCACAAAAACCCTCTTCAAGGCTGGAGACCTAGGAGGGGCTTGGCACACAGACAACTCCTCTGCAGCTGTTCAGAGAAAAACAGCTCTTCCCATCTCAAGCCGCCCACCTGCCCAGTGTGCTGTCTGTCCCACTGGTCACACACTTTCCCTAGAGTGCTTCTTGCTTCTCTCACAGCAATTCCCACCTCCGCATGCTGGACCAGGCGGCCCCCTCTAGATCCCATGGTGAAGCATCAGGTGCCCACAGGTCTAAGATGTCTTCATTTGTTCAATGGCTAGAGCAGGCAGCTGGCTGTCCAGATGCATGAATGAATTCCCTAACTCTCACATGTCTGCAGGAAACTGCTGTAGGAAGCCTGCACCAGTGGATTGCCATTCGGGCAGATCCTCTCAACTTTGAGAGCTTAAGGCTTGCTTTTGAGTATGTGATTATGATCCTGCCTGTGTGTATGTATGTCAGAATCATAGAACTCTAGAGGTCATGTTTTAATTAATTTATTCATTCATTGATTCATTAACAAATGCTTATTGAGTACCTACTATGTGTCAGGCTGTGATCTGGATACTGAGGCACAGATCAGTGAGCAAAACAGACCAAAAGCTCTGTCATCATGAAGCTTATATTCTAGAGAGAAGAGATATACTATCATCAAATTAAGTCAGTTATGTAGCATATTAGAAAGTGATAAGTCCAGTGGGGTAAAATAAAGGAGGATGATGGGGAATGTGAGGGGCGGCATGCAATTTTAAATAGAATGTTTGAGGAAGGCTTTCATGGGAAAGTGATATTTGGTGCAAAACGTGAAGGCGGTAAAGAGGTGAATTATGTGGCTATGTCGGGGATGGACATTACAGGCAGAAGAATTAGTTAGTCGGGGCTCTGAGCAGGGAGCAGGTCTGGCATGTTCCCATCCCAGCAAGTAGGCCAGTGTGGCTCTGGTGGAGTAAGCAAGGATGGAATTGCAGCAGGTGAGTCCAGAAGAGTGATAATGGACAGCCAGTTGGGGGTGCCTTCCAGGTGATTGTGGGAACTAGGCTTTATTCTGAGTGTGATGGGTAGCCACTTGGGGCTTTCAGGACAGGATGGTAAAAAAAGGATCATGCTGCCTGCTGTGTTGGGAACAGACTGTATGGGACCAGGTGAAAGCAAAGCAGTCAGCCTCAAATAATTCAGGTGAGGGAAAACGTGACTTGAATAAGATTCACTGTAGAAGTGGTGAGATATAAGTGGATTCTGGATATAATAAAAATATAGAGCCAGCAGGATTTTCTGATGGATTAGCTAAGGAGTGTAAAGAAATAGAGGAGTCAGAGTGACTTTTTTTTTCCTTGAGCAACAGGAAGTGGAGAGGTATCATTACCTGAAAGGAGGAAAGCCTCAGGTAGAGAAAGTTTTAGAGGAGGTAAGATCAGAGGTTTAGTGCAAGACATGCTAAGTTTGAGATGTCTATTAGATACCCAAGTGGATCTGTCTAATGGGTATTTAGACAGATCCACTTGGATATCTGTCTCAATGGACATGTGATCTACATGTAGTTCACAGGATAAGTCCAGTTTAGAGTACCAATTTGAAGTCATCAAATGTAGGTGGCATTTAAAGTGGTAAAACTGGACTGAGCACAGTGGCTTATGCCTGTAACCCCTGCATTTTGGGAGGCTGAGGTGGGTGGATAACTTGAGGTCAGGAGTTCGAGACCAGCTTGGCCAACATGGTGAAACCCTATCTCTACTAAAAATACAAAAAATTAGCCAGGCATGGTGGCACATGCCTATAATCTGAGCCTCTCGGGAGGCTGAGGCAGGAGAATTGCTTGAATCCAGGAGGCAGAGGTTGCAGTGAGCCAAGATCGTGCGACTGCACTCCAGCCTGGGTGACAGAGTGAGACTCCATCTCAAAAAAATAAATAAATAAATAAATAAATAAAACAAAAATAAAAAATAAAGTGATAAAACTGGAGATCACTATGAGAATGAGGATAGCTAGAGAAAAGAAGGGGTCCAGAAGGTTATCCTTGCTGTGCTCCAAGGTGCTTGAGTTTGGAAACATGAGACAAAACCAGAAACAGAGACCCTGGGAGAGTCTGTGGTCTCCATTTTTCCGCTGAGCAAACCACAGGCTTGTGTTCTGCCTATCTCCCACTTCGCACATGTACAGCATTGTAGAATATTTACATGGAAAAGGATTCTATGATATAGTAGAGTGACTTCCCCTATTGATAACAAACAATTATGTCAGTCCCTACACAACTCTTATGCTAAAGGTAATGGGGAGGGTTGAATGGTACTCATTTGGGCAGCTTTTTTTTGGCTATGTATACTTTCAGAAAGAATTTACCTCACCTAGATCACATGACTAAAATATAGGAATATTAATACCCACTGTGTCTAATTGGCAGATTGTTTTGAGATTTTAAATGAGATCTATTCATGAAAACATTTTGTTAATCTTAAAGCACCACACCAATATCACCTATTATATTGTACAGCCATGATCAACACAATTTCCAATCTAGAAGTCCCTCTCAACTTTTCCTGGGACTGAGCTTTCAGGACTTAGAGTTCCTTCTCCTTCTCATTCTTTTTCTGCGCATAGTCTCCCGGTAAAGTGAAAACCAGCTGAGAAAAGATTCGGGCTGGACAGGCCTCCGTGGCGATTAAGAGTCACGAATGTGATGATATTATTCGCAAACAGCAGTGTAGTCATGGTTCAGAATTTTGGAAACAGTGCCAGGAGGATCTTGGACATAATTTTCAGGGTGTATAAGCCCTGCACTAAAGTAAAGTTTACCAGTGCCAAGAGTTTGACGTTTTCTTCTTCATGTTTTCTTTGGCTGGAGCCTGGCTTTAGTTGAAGAGTTCTGTCAACAAATGGAATTCTCTATTTGGGACTGGGATTCTTGATTGGTGGTGCTTCTGTCTCCTCTTGCTGTGAGTTTCCTCAAACTTAGAGTCCTGTGGGATCTGTGTTTGAACAGAGACTGGAAATGCTTACCTCATCTCCACATTTCTTAGCCATTTGTCACCAGACTGTAGATTGACTGGTGGGATGCCTGTTTCTAGAGAGAAAAGATACTGCTTTTCTCTGACTCCAGCTGAGAAGAGGTTGGTTAAATTACGAATCTGATGACTATCTATGAACCTAAGGAGGAAAAGTTAATTTCTTTTGAGGGTTTGCATAATGTTTTAAAACAAATTTATAGAAATATAGATGATGGAAAAAAGCAATAGGGTAAACCTAAATTATTAAAAATAAATAATACATAGGAAATAAACAGCATAGAAAAGAAACAAAAAAGAGATTGTTACCAAAAACCATAAGTTTTTTTTTTTTTGAAAATTCTAAGAAGGTGGATAAATTTCTGGAATTTTCAATGAGCAAAAAAGTGAAAAGATACAAATGAATAAAAAATGAAAAGGTAGAAATTAAAATAGGTCTAGTAGAGATTAAAAATAATAAAAGAATATTATTAAAAAGTATTGGTGGATAAAATAGGCACATATCTGAAGATAAAAGCCGAATTGACCCCCTAAAAAGCAGAAAACTTACAATAACAATCATTAATGGCTTTGAATGGCTATGAAAAAATAATATCTCTGCCCTCTTCACTACTCCCATGTAAAATAATTTTACGGGTAGATTTTACCAACGTTTCAAGAGAGACATGATTCCCAAATATTATGTAAGTTTTTTCAGAAAATGAAAAAAAAGAAAACATTAACAACTCATTTTATAAAATTTGCATAATTTAGAAAATGCATACACTAATTTTATAGATAAAAGCATTTAAAAATATTATCCAAGTTCAACATTTTAAAAAGCAACACATTTTTACAATTTTCTCAGGAATAGAAAGATAGTTCAACTCCAGAAAATCTAAAACAGAGTCATCTCAATATACATGAAAAAAAGATGAAAATTATTAGAAAGCTAGAAATACACAGGAATTTTATAATCTAATAAACCCTATGTACAAATATTCCACAACAAATTTCATGTTTAATGGATAAATCTGAGGCACTTATTTTCAAGTCAGGAACTAGATATATATGCTTTGTATAAGTGATACCTGTCAGCACAGTGTGCTAACAATTTTAGTCAATACAGTGAAAAAGAAAATAATTGTTATAAATAATACATTGTAATTATTTGCTGATGATATGATCATTTACATTTAAAATGCAAGAGTATTAATGGCAAACTAGTCACACCAATAAGAAAGTTCAGCAAAATTTTCTAACATAAGATCAACATATAAAAGTAAATAAGTTTTCTCTATATCAACAATATTATATTAGAAACCATAATAAAAAGAAGCAACACACTCATAAAATATATAGAAATGAATTTTTTTAATGCATAGGATTTATAAAAAAATTATAAAGCCCTAGTAAAGCACAAGAAAGAAAGTTCAAATAAATGGAGAAATACACTATGTTCATGAATGGGGAGACTTTATCTTGTAAATACATCGGTTTTTCTAAGTTTGGAATATATTTAATGCATTTCCAATAATAATTACAAGAAGAATCATGGGAAAAATTCCATATTGATTTAAAATATATAGAGAGAAATAAAGGTCCTAAAATAGTTAACACAGATTTTAACTTTTGAATTAAGGTGGAGAGAAGAAAGGATGACTAATCCTTCTAGATATTAACAAATACTGCAGAGCAACAATTAGTAAAATACATTCATTTTTGTATAAGAATAAGTAGATATACAGTACAAGATCGACAGTCCAGAAACAGACTGATATCTCTACATGAACTTGGTAAATGATGGTGATGGCATCGTAAATCAGCGGAAAATGTTTTAAGTTTAAAATAAATGTTCTATGGAAAGTAGGCTAATTATATGAGAAATAATCAGTTAAATGCTCCAGATATACCAAGAAGATATAAAATACATAGGACTTTTCAAGAAAAATTGATGGATTTGACTATAAAAATAAATAGTTTGGCTAACACAGGACAGCATAAGTCAAAATAATAGTCCAGGAAGTGATATTTACATCATTAATGACAAAAATTCTAGAGCTATATAAGGAAAATCACTAATTAATTTAAAAATTAGACACAGGATGCAATTAAACTGTTTAACAAGAGGAATTTGAATGGACAAGTCTTTGAAGAGAGTCTTCTCAGCATTGCTTTTAGGTAGAGAGTAACATTTAAATTACCATGCAATCTCTTTCTTCTTCATTTTAACCACGTCTTACCATTAGACTTTCAGGATCAAGCTATCTGTTGCTAAGAAACAAAAGCAAAATTGCCTTTTTCTCAACAGATTTAAGTGAAAATCAGTAGTCAGTTCAGGTGTGACTCTAAGAAGACACATTGGAGAGTATGCTGGGCTTACATGAAGCTAGCCACGTGTGTTGGCTCACACATCTATCTTGCATTGGTTCCACGTTCCTTCTCATGATCCTCTGAGCAGAAATATTTTTCACAGTTATTAGTTACAATTTGCTGGAAATTGCAACCCATTGGAGTTTTTTTCCCTTGTTTTCTTAAATTCACTAATAAACATATGTGACACTTTTTGAACTATTTACCAAACGTGACTTTGAGGCTACATTACCAACTTCAGCCAGGTGGTTTAACACATTTGAGCATCACACTTGGTGCTTAAAAGGTGCTAAGTAAAATATTAAATGAATCCAGCAGGAACAAATGAGAAACCCATTTATAATCATTGCATTGGCAAAAATTAAAATGCTGGAAAGCATAAGTGTTGGTGAGGTTGTAGAGAAACAAGAACTCTTCTCTACTGAGAGTGGAGGGATAAATTAATGTTGTTATTCTGGAGAATAATTTAATAATACTAGTGAAATTACATATATTCATATTCTATGGCTTTGCAGTTTCATTACTGAGTATACACCCCTCAGTTACTCTTCTGGAGATATATTAAAGATAAGTTCTCAGAAGTTTACTTACTGCAGCACAGTTTGAACCAACAAAGAGTTGGAAATAACTCGAATGCCCATTAGTGAGAAATGGATAATCAAAATGTGAAATATGCAAGTAGTGGAGTACCATGCAGTAGTTAGAAGTAATAAACTACATTTAAGTACATCTACATTAATAAATCTCAAAAATATGATGATAAGTAAAACAAGTTAGAAGAAGAAATGTAGCAAAATGCCAAGTATGTTAAAAACACAAGAGTGAGTACCTGCATGTAATGTTAAATAATACTACCAAATATAAGGATATAAAAAGAGCAATCCTGCATCACTGATAATATTCTACTATAAGCTGATTGTTGTAAAGTTAGTTTTTTTGCCTCTAAAATAAAAATAAAATTTGCAGTAACCTTCAAAATTAGTAAATAAAATTAAAAAATAGAACTATTAGGAGCTACAAACGATTTGGGTCAGTGTGAGTCTCATGTATATAATTTCCATTCACATTTAGTGTGCTGCACATTTTCTTACATCAATTCATTCATTCTGTGAATTCATTCATTCTATGAATTCATTCTATCAATTCATTTATTGCTTATTGATAACTAATACCATTCATAATTCATAATTGCTTATTGATAACTAATACCATTCTAATGATTGTTCCTTCTCTTATTATCCATTTTTCTCATTTGAGGTCTATGGTATCACGAGTTGATATCAGAAAGTCTTGTTACCATTGTCTATAAATTTCTAAGATTACTTTTACCATCTTTGATGATTTCTGGTAATAAAGGCTGGGCAATATAGGGATGCAGACAATATTTTTGATCTACTTGCTGTCACATAATCAGTTTCCTAAATGAAGTAATACTTCATTTATGGAAACTTGTTGTCAATTTTCCTGTCCATCTGTCTTCTGGTACATTTTCAGTGACTTCAGCATTTATGTTATAATATGCTAACCATGCTTCCCATTCTTTACTATTTCTATTCCTCTGCTTAGCTAGTAGCAAGGAGATCCTTAAGCCCCATGACCAATTGTCACTAATCCTCTAAGATATCTCCTGAACCTTTTAACTATAAACCCTTGTTTATATAGTAAGACTGCCCATTTATTATAATTTCAGCCACTCCATTAGCTTTGCTTCTGATCAGACACTTAGCAACTTTTTTGATTACCAGTGCCTGGCCAAAGTTCACGTGGGTTCCTATACATGCTTAATAATTGTCTGCTCAGTTGCTGATGAAATCTCTATATCTCTGCCAATCAACCTTCTGCTTTTCTCAAGCCTAATCCTGCTCACTTTATTCTCAGACAGATGTTTTTTATTTATTATTACTGCTCCTGCTCCTTCTCCCTCTACCACTACCACTACAATAGCTTAGGAAAGCTCCTGGAACATAGTAAACACTCAGTAAATGTTCACTGCTGTTCTTATCAATGCTACTACACTACTGTTAAGTCTCCTAGGACCACCACATGGTGAACATTTATTATATATCAAGCCTTGTGCCAAGTATTTTACACGTATCATCTCATATAATTTAATATATTTTTACTGAGAACATTGAAACCATTCAAAAAGTAATCTTTAGCTTTTTTCAAAATTGATTTCCTTATAAAGTAACACCTTTTAATCTCACAAAAGAGGTCTGCTCACCCTGTCCAAGACCAACACCTTGATATGTATTTTCATCCTCTGTCTTTTCTGTCACTTCCAAGGCCCTGTTTTGTTGCCTTCTGACTTCTAGATTCTTCAGTCTCTTCCACTGGCTCCTTTTTTGGCCTTTCAATATGCCTACGTCTAATTTGTCTTGAAAACCCCCAGGTCTGAATGTTTTTCTGTAAAAGATTCTTTCATATTTTTCTCCTGCCTATCATTGTGCTTATCGTTAGGCATGTTATCTATGCCTTCTTCTTGACTGAATTACATGCACTTGGAATCCATTTCTATTCTTTCTGAACTAATCATTGGTAATAATTTCCTAGTTATCAAAGTCTTCTTCTAGCTACTTAATCTCTATAGGTTTTTCTAATGCATTTTGCCCCTTTGATCACTGTATCCTTGAATCTCTTTCTTCTTTGGCTTTTATGATAGGAGAAGTTCATTTCTATTACATGCTCCCCTGCCTCTTTAAGGCCAGACGTTGTGTATCATGAGGCACCATCTGAAGGATCTTGGAAGTAGACCATGCACAGAAGGTTCGGAATGGGGCAGCAGTGGAGTCAGGATTTACATTGTCAGAAAGAGTCAAAAGGACACAAGAAGGCAGAGAAAAGCAGAAGATTTGTTTTCCTGGCATCAATTAATAACAAAGATTTTAAGAGAAATATTATTAATATTAGTCAAAGAGTTGACAAAAACTGATGGATAGCTGAGATACCTGCACTAGTTTTAGGTGAAATATTATGAAGATCTGGGCAGAGTTGGCCAAAGAGTTTTGGCTAGTTCAAAAACTGATGGAGCTGGAGCAAGGAAGGGCAGCAGATGTGCAGGTGGGCAGTTGGGTGGGCTGACAGGGAGGGAGATAGGTTGGTGGACAGAAGAACAGATAGAAAACAGGAAAAAAAGGCCAGGCACGGTGGCTCATGCCTGTAATCCCAGCACTTTGGGATGCTGTGGTGGGTGGATCACATGAAGTCAGGAGTTTGAGACCAGCTTGGCCAACATGGTTAAACCCCGTTTTTACTAAAGATACAAAGATCAGCTGGGCATGGTGTTGTGTGCCTGTAGTCTCAGCTACTCAGGAGGCTGAGGCACGAGAATTGCTTGAATCTGGGAGGCAGACATTGCAGTGAGCCAAGATTGTACCACTGCACACCAGCGTGGGTGACAGAGCAAGACTCTGTCTCAAAACAAAAATAAAAAACAAACAAACAAAAACAGGAAAAAAGATAAAGCGAAAGAGACCTAGCTCCATTTACTTACCTTCTCTTGATGGAAGTTACTCCTTGGTTGTTTTTGCTCAGAGGCCTGGGGGTAGTGAAAGCAGGCTGGGTGACTGTGGGATTAAGTGAGGAGCTGGGTTGAGCTGACCACGGCAGTGAAATGAGTAGAACCTCATAGGGGTACAGAGCTGATGGGAAAAGCACTTGGGCCATCATCATCCTCCCGGTTTAATAAACATCGGTCACCTATACATTTTTAGAGCTTTTTATTATAGACATTTTCAAACATATACAAACATAGTATACTGAGCTGAGCCCTCATGTATTTATTATCCAATTCAATACCTATCAACATTTTTTCAGTTATGTTTAATCTGTGTTTGCTCCACTGCCCTTTGGTGTTTTTATTTTTGCTGCAATGTTTTAAGACAAATCCAAAGTATCCTATTATTTCACCCACAAATAATTTAGTACCCACACTTGTTTTATATTGAAGCACTGTATGTTTTTAAAAGAAGCAGTAGCTGAAAGCCCAGAGGGCTCTGGAAGTGGATAGAGTAGGGACTTTGGTACTAGTGCTTTTGGTTTCCTTTAAGTTTTGTGGCTTTGAGATGCCCAAGGACTAGACCTTATTCCTTAAATTAAAGCAGGGTTTTCATTTCTTAGGCAGTCAGCTTGCTCTTTAAAACTGAAATTTTTATTTTGGGTAAAAAGGACTTTGCCATTTGAATGTCTGTAATAGGTAGCCACAGAACCATTATTATAATCAATGTAAATTCTAACTCTGAGAGATAAATAAGTACTAGAGAAAAATAGACTAACCTACTAGGAGAGATATGAAAAGACATAAAACAGAATTAACAATGTAGTACTACATAGAGTGCCTCAAATTAGCAATACAAAAAATAGGTGTGCTCAATGACAGCAAGCCAACTATATAAATTGGAAATTGGGATATGTAATTCAGGAAAAGATTTGTTTTCTAATGTGCAACTTATTACAATCAGTGATGGATGCACCAAGCTTAATTGTGGTAATTACTTCACTTTATATGTACATAAAATTGTCACATTGTACAGCTTAAACTTATACATTTTTTTGTCAATTGTAACTCAATAAAAAATTTTTAAATAAAAATAAATCTCTCAAAATAAAAAGTTCATTTCATGCTATGTTTTAATCATCTTTATTAAGAAGGGCAAATTACATAAAACCAGGACCATGTAGAAAACCTGGGACATGTGGTCCACACTGCAGTGAGTTGAATTTGGGACACTTTATGCCTCGGGTGGTCAGAGAAGGGTGGTGTCAAACTTAAAGGTAGGACTTAGTTCAATTTACTTAGCAACCAATGTAAAGACAGGAATGATTTGTGTAAGGTAGTAGCAGAAGCTAAGTTTAGAAAGGGACAAGGAGGTGAAGAGGTGAATATCTTAAACCCTTTTGTGGAATGTTAATGCCAAGCGAATATTCCTAAGTTTTCACTGAAGAAAGTGTTCTGTGGTCCAACACATTTTGAAAACGTTGGCTTAAGAAAACTTCCAATGTCTTGATAATATATTCAGTTTCTTAGTGAATGTGCATGTACATGGAGAAGTGGTGATAGCAGGTAGCATTTCTTTCCTTTTCTTTTTTTTTAAATGAAGCTTCTATTAATATTCAGGGAGTCTAGTGTTTCTTAGCACATGGTTTAGGAAACAGCACGTTAAGAAATTGAGAGCTTATCCTAAAGGATGTGCAGAACCACAGAAAGCTTTTCAGTGAGAGATGAAGTGGCATGTTACCAAGATTAATTTGGTGTAGCTTTCAGATGAAATGAAAAGGGAGAAAATGAACACAAGGAGAAGACTATGGTAATAGTTCAAGGGTGAAGTGATGAGGACCTGAATTGGAGCAGTGGGTGCGTGACCGGAAAGAAGAAGAAACATATGGGAGGCAACACAAAGGAAGGATCTTCGGCTTCAATAGATAACTGAATGTGATGGGTGAGGGCGAGGCAGGAGTCAAATGTTATTCTGAGGTGTTGAGTCAAGGAAACACTTGAGACCATTGATGGAAATGGACCCATACACATAGACAGTGCTAGTGAGCTATAAAGGATGCTGAGCTTCATGTGGCTGTGGAGGTGATTATGTACAAGAGCTGCTAATGTAGGTACAAAAGTTGAGGTGAGAGTCAAGGCGGGGCATATCAGCTTGGGAATTTGTATAGCTGCGCTTTGGGTGGTGGAGGGCTGGTATGAAGAGTGTGCAAACCTTATGGGCAGATTGGAGTTACAAAAGAATACAGTGTGTGTAGTCAGAAGACTTGATTTCTAGTTTTATCTCTGTCAGTAATTCTTTGTAGTTGTGGTCAAATTATTTATCTTGCCTGAACCTCCTTCTATATTTAGGAACAATAAAAATGCCTGCCTCAAAGGATTGTTGTCAAGGTTGAATTTCGTAATGTCTGTGGAGTTGCTTTGTAAATTGTAAAGGGCTGTACCAGTTTTAGTTCTACTATGAGGGATAAATCAATAGAGGTGCAAACCTAAAATATAAATGTCAGATCCAGAGTTTAGTCCCAGAGTAAGGAGGCAGTGAGTAAAAAATCACTCTAGTTCATGCCAACAGACATGCCAGAATCCATGGAGCTGAACTACTATGGAGGAGGGAAGGAAGGGTCAAAGTGGCAAGTGGTTTGTAACAAGGACTTCTCAGAGCAATTATTAGGGATCTACTCATTGGGAATCTGAGGCATGAGGCCGTGGGCCACAGGTTGCTCAAAATGAGGTAAGAAATCCAAATCAGTAGGTCTGGGGCGGAAGACAAAGACATAAATTCCTGAGGCTTAGAATGCCAAGAGCAGAACAGAAACAAAAGCAAGCCTCCTGTCAAGGCTAAGCAGGTGAATACACAGCAAGAATTAGCCACAGAATTGGGAGCAGAGCATATTTCAGGAAGTCCTTAATTAATATAAAACACAATTATTTTATAATCAATGCTAGCACTTAGTGTGTGGGTCAGGAATTATTTAATACAAGCTGTTCTTACAGCAACTTACAATGACTAAATCACTTATTCCTCTAACAACCCCGTTATCGTTAGCATTTTTCAGATGAAGAAACTCAAACCCAGAAAAGCAAAGTAATTTGCCCAAGCTTACATAACTAGTAAGCAGCAGAGCCAGGACTTGCAGGCAGTGTCATTGGCCTTAGAGTCCAGCCCCTGTACTGCTATGCTGCAGTTGCCAGCGTTGAGAAGTGGCTAGAAAATGCAGGTCACCCATCCCATCATCCACACTCCCATGGTTTGGGGGTGGTTATTTGTTAACCTCTGTTCTCTCTATCTCTATACTCCTGATACCCTTTTATGCCACTGATCAGTGTATTCGTTATCACTGAGTATTACTCCTAACACAAAGGATGGCTTACTTTTCTTATTCTATTGGAATTAGACTTTTCCTCTATTATGGAGGCAGTATGATAGACAAATGTAGGGTGTACTTCAGGTTCAGAGAAGGTTGGATTTGAGTACTGGTTCTACTCCCTGGTGGCTGTGAACCCTTGGCTTTGTTACTTCAATCCTCTAAGCCCAAGTTCTGTCATCTGTTGCGATAAGCTAGTGTTGTACATGAGGAGTCTATGCACAGGCTTTGGAACTAGACACTTTGAGTCCTGGCTTGGCCATTTATTAGCTATGGGAGTTTGGGCAAATTTGAACTTTTCTGTTTTTCAGTATCCCCATCTATAAAATAGGATAATAGCAATTATACCTCCACCAGAGAGTTGTTGTGAAGATTTAATGGAATATTGGCATAATGCCTGAGACACGGTGAGTGCTCAACCAATCTTCTCTACAATTTATTTTTATAGGGTTATGAATTTATAACACAGCTTATATAGGGCTATAATTCTGTGCAGTGGTGAGTACAATGCAAGGCACAGAGCAGGTCTAAACACCATGTGTTATTATTATCTTCTTCTTCCTCTTCTTTTTTTTTTTTTGAGACACAGTCTCACTATGTCACCCAGGCTGTGCAGTGCAGTGGCATGATCACAGCTCACTGTAGCCTCAATGTCCCAGGCTCAAGCAGTCCTCCTGCCTCAGTCTCCCCAGTAGCTGGGCCCACAGGCATGTCACCGTGCCTGGCTATTTTTTTTTTTTTTCAAGTTTTGATGAAAGCTTGTATACAAGATTCCTTTATTCCTTTATCCAATTGTTTCTTCCTTGTATTTGCCCCTTTCCCTTCCTACTTGCTAAGATTTGGCTTTCCGTTCAAGAATCTTTTTGCAGTCTTTGTCCAGTTTTAGCCTAGTGCTAACCACCTTGCTGGGGTGAATGCCTATGTGGACAGTTGTGCCATTAGCCTTTTCCTGCTGCACCTGTGCAATGTAGGTGACATATTTCTTCCTGTAAACCTGGACTACTTTGCCAATTTGCTGACCTTTGTAGTGCCTGTGTACAACCTGAACTTCATCATCCTTTCGGATGGTCATGGATTGAACATTGTACTTCTGTCTCAGCTCTTTGCAAAGAGAGGAAGACCTAATATTTCTGAGAATGTGGGAAAGTGCATTGAAATGCCTTTTGTGGTACTTGCTTCGATCAGAAGTCACAAAGGGATTGAACTCCACTTTGGCCACTGCCGCTTTGGTGATGGCCACAAAAGGGAAGAGCTATTTTTTTATTTTTTATTTTTATGTAGAGACAAGGGTCTCCCTATGTTGCCCAGGCTGGTCTTGAACTCCTGGGCTCAAGTGATCCTCCCGCCTTGACCTCCCAGAGTGTTGAGACTACAGGCGTGAGCCACCGTGCCCGGCCTATTATCTTCTTATTTATCTTGACACACAGAACGACAGCAGTCTGCAGTCTGCATTCTTCCCCCTGATGGCCGATCCTCTGCATCCATCCTCAGGATCAATCTTCAGGGTTATGTCTCTTAAATTAAAAGACTGCTATGTATGCTTGAATCTAAAATTCAATCTTGTTACTGATTCCAAGATACTTAGAGAAAGTTTCCTAATAGAGCTATTGGCTGCAGGGCAGCATCTGCTCATTCCTTTCTGTTTTCTCATCTGAGGAATCTCTCTGCCCTTTGCACTCCATGAGGATTTCCACAGCTGGCCTCATTCCACAGGAAGAGCTTGAGGAGGCACAGTTCTGTTGGACACCTCTCCTTGCTGCTAGCTGGGTGATTCTTTGTAAGCCCCTCTCCTGAATATTACTACATACCCTACTTCATCCTCAAGCTCTGGGCAAGAAAATACACTTCTTTTTTAGTTGACTGTTAAATTTTTATCAAAATTAAAAAATAATTAGGTAAGATTGAAAAGAAGTCATCAGCCCTATCCTGCCATTCCCCACTTCTGACTTCTCAATTTAACTGTTTGAGCTGCATCTCTGCATTTTATTTAAAAACCAGTCAATCTAGCTAATTTTTTTCAGTTTTATACGTGTATTATTTCTTGTCATTTTACTGTGGAAGAGGAGCATTTGGTTTTTTTAGACCTCTTCTCTTCAACGCAAATACATACAAGACAAACACACATGTATTTCCTTTCTCCATATAATAATTATATCATAATTTTGGCATACAGCAATATTCACTATGTACATGATTATAACTATGTTAACATTAATCATAGCTGAGTCATAGATTATTCTGTTATCACCAATTATTATGTTTCCTTTCTTCTTTTTCTTTTTTTTTCTGGAAACAGCGTCTCACTCTGTTGCCCAGGCTGGAGTGCAGTGGTGTGATCTTGGCTCACTGGGTTCAAACGATTCTCCTGCCTCAGCCTCCCGAGTAGCTGGAATTACAGGTGCATGCCACCATGCCCAGCTGATTTTTGTACTTTTAGTAGAGACAGGGTTTCACCATGTTGGTCAGGCTGGTCTTGAACTCCTGACCTCCTGATCCGCCCGCCTCGGCCTCCCAAAATGCTGGGATTACAGGTGTGAGCCACAGCGCCCAGCCACTCCTCTATGTTTTTTTAAGTGTGTACTTTCTGTAATTTTTCTTCTCTTTTTGTGTTACTCATGGGAGGTATTCTCTATCTCTCAACATTTTCATTAAAATTTTCATTTCTACTCTCAAATTTCTTAAAGAACATTTTATTCTCTGATGTTCCTTTTTCTTGTATGATGTGATGTTCTATTTATTCTTATTTTATAGGTGCAATATCTTTTCTAATTTCTCTGAGGTAATGCATTATGTGTATTTTGCAATATCTTTCTTTCCCCTGAGATTGCTTTTTGTGTGTTTATTTTTCTAACATTAGAGGTTTTTAAAATGACTGGTGCTTCTTAGCTCTTTGTTCACTTTCATAAATGAATCAAGAAACATTATCTAGAAGCACAGCATTCCCAGATGAAGCTTTGATGGGTGGGCTTCAGCATTTGGGTGGGGCCTCAGCTACTTCACTGTGCCATCTCTAAATACCACGACCCGTAAGTCTCTTCTACTGATGTGTCAGTATACTCAGAAAGAGACCTCCTAGTCTTTAGCCTGTCAGGTGTAAGCTGGCTGCCAGCATCCTGGGAAACTCAGAGAGGACGGGGCCTGGAGTGGGGATACAGAAGGAGTCTTAGTCAATGCCCCTGTTTTCATAGGACTCTTGGTCTTGGATACATGTGTCATCCCTGAGTATAGAGTGCTCTAGGTCAACTTTTCCTGGTTCCCGCTAAAGATAGAGTAACGGTAGCTCATTGACTTCAGGGATCTAACGGCTTCTGTGCAGACATTTTAACCAGCCTTTATTCAGCCTTCTAATCTCGACTGTTTTTGAGTTCCTGAGGCTTCCTAATAATCTGTAGTATAAATTTGGGCATTAGGGCTACTGCACTTACAGTTTAGGTTTCTGTTTTCCTTGGTCTGCTAAGTTGGTTACCCATCCATCTGTTTTGCAAAACAGCATTTTGTTGCTGTCATCTCCAGTCTCTTTTTGATTATTGAGGGTTATGTCTTTTGCAGTTTCTTAGTTATCATTTTAGTGAGGCTTGGGAAGAAGCAGGTGTAAACTCATATGATAAAGCTCACGGGTAAATGGAAGTTCTTTGGGAGGTACTTCAGCACCATTCTCTGAGGGGCATGTGTAGGTTTACCAAGCAAAGAAGACAGTTCTTTTCTTCTTTACATACATTTTCCTTCCTGACAGCAGCCAGACTTTTTTTTCCAGGATTTAACTCTTTTTTTTTTTTTTTTTTTAGCTGGATGAAACTGTAACCAGGGGTCCTGCTCTCTCCTATTCAGGTCCTTTTCTCTCTTATGCCAAAGAATCAGTTTGATTCTTTCTTCTTGAGATTTGAATCCTCAGAAGAAGTAAAAACAGGTCTGAAAATATTTGGAATTTATCCATCTCCCATCCACAGCATTCTAACCAGATTCCTTCCTCTATTAGGCCATTCCTGGTTTTCTTGCCTTCTAGGTTCCAGAAACTGTCTTGGTTCCTATTGATTTCTAGTTTGGTTCTTCAGGCTTCCAGTCAATTCCATTAACTTCTGATAATGTTTCAATGAATGTCTCTTTTGTTTAAGTTAGCCGTAATTGTGTACAACCAAAGAACTACAATTGATGCAGAAACTCAGTAGTTTATTTGATTTTGAAACAATTTCTTATGTTTTGTAGTTTCAAGGCTGAGAAACAACAACAGAAAAAAAACAAATTTAGGTGTTTTCTTTTTCTGCCAAAGTAATGGATTCCTTCATGATATGATTTCATATTTTCATGAAATAACTTTTGTGAAAGAATTAGAGGACTAGGACCCCAATATTAGTAAACTATTGCTGCAAAAAGCTATTGTGACAAAAACAATATATCAGTGGCAAGTGATAAGCATTTATTTCTTGCTCATGTATCTGTGGGTGACTGAAGTGGCTCTTCTTCAAGCTGCAGATTTGCATTGGCTGGAGCTGTTCTGTTCAATGCATTTAATTATGGGGCCAAGCCAGATGGGCAGAAGCTATTCAGGTTATATCCTTATTAAAATAATGGCAAAAAAGTGATGTAGGGAAAGCCCAACTGCATATGTTAATTTCAAGCCTTTGCTCATGTCTCATCAAATATCGCATTGGCCAAAGCAAGTCACCTAGCCAAACTCACAGTGAGAAGACAGGGAACTCCACCTACCATGAGGCCATGTGATGTATGATGACAGATACCATTTCAGGGAAGTGAAGAATTTGGACAAATACTTCAATCTACCAGTCTTCCCTATTAATCATGATTATCCACATGCTTATATTCCCTCCAACTTCATCTAATCCTAATATCAGGCCAGAAAGTCCAGGATCTTGTGATATAAAGCAAATCTAGATGTGCTTTTCTTTGAGTCAGAGACCTATGAATAATAAAGACAATTTTACTGTTTACACTTAACATACAATTGTGGCGTGAGAGCACAATAACAGAAATAAACACTTTCATTAGAAAGAGAAAGAGTGGTAGGCATATAGCAGTTACTGCTCAATAGTTGTTCCCAAAGCCTGCTGTACAAATATTTCTGGGTCCTTCTATCCTGGGGCAAGGAATGTTTCATGATTAAGTTTTAGTTATTTTCTTTAGGAGTGGCATCTTAATCTATTATTCTTCAAGCTCTTGGTTCTGCACACTGGAAGTCCCTTACTTTTCCATCCTTACCCAGCTTCTTAATTCTGGAAGACTGAAGACTCAGAGGTAATTTTTTTTTTTTTTTTTTTTTTTTTTTGCGTGTGTGTGTGTGTGTGTGTGTGTGTGTGTGTGTGTGAGCAATAAAGCTTTTTATTTCACCTGGGTGCAGGTGGGCTGAGTCCAAAAAGAGAGTCAGTGAAGGGAGATAGGGGTGGGGCCGTTTTATAGGATTTGGGAAGTTAATGAAAATTACAGTCAAAGGGGGTTGTTCTCTGTTGGGCAGGGGCGGGTGTCACAAGGTGCTCAGTGGGGGAGCTTCTGAGCCAGAAGAAGGAAATTCACAGGGTTAATCACTCAGTTAAGGTGGGGCAGGAACAAATCACAATGGTGGAATGTCATCAGTTAAGGATGGGGCAGGGCCTTTTCACTTCTTTTGTGATTCTTCAGTTACTTCAGGCCATCTGGGCGTATACGTCCAAGTCACAGGGGATGCAATGGCTTGGCTTGGGCTCAGAGGCCTGACATTCCTGCCTTCTTATATTAATAAGAAAAATAAAAGAAAATAGTGTTGAAGTGCTGGGGCGGCGAAAATTTTTGGGGGTGGTATGGAGAGAGAATGGGCGATGTTTCTCAGGGCTGCTTCGAGCAGGATTAGGGGCAGCGTGGGAACCTAGAGTGGGAGAGATTAAGCTGGAGGAAGATCTTGTGGTAAGGGGTGATATTGTGGGGTTGTTAGAAGGAACATTTGTCATATAGAATGATTGGTGATGGCCTGGATATGGTTTTGCATGAATTGAAAAACTAAATGGAATAAGAGAAGGAGAAAAACAGGTATAAAAGGTCTAAGAATTGGGAGGACCTAGGACATCTGATTAGAGAGTGCCTAAGGAGATTCAGCATAGTCCTGTCAGCAAAGATTATTTATTTACTTCAAGAGTTTAGAGTGGCAGTTTGGGGATAGCACCAGGAGGTATCAGCTGTGATGGCTTGGAGAAACAGTAAACCGGCAGTGTAAACAAGAGCAGGGCATGCATGAGTACTTGAGAATAGTGAATAGGAGTATGACTAGAAAAAAGATAGTAGGGATGACAAGTTTTTTTGGGGCACAGTCTAAGTTGGTCTGGTGTCGAATGAGACTGGGGCCTAATAAAAATGAGTGTCTATACAGGAGCTTAAATGGGCTGTACTTTGTAACATTCTGAGGACAGGCCTGAATTCTGAGAAGAGAAAGTGGTAAAAGTATTGTTCAGTCCTTTTTAAGTTGGTGGCTGAGCTTGGTGAGGTGTGTTTTTAAAAGACCTTTAGTCCATTCTACTTTTCCTGAAGACGGAGGACCATAAAGGATATAAAGGTTTCACTGAATACTAAGAGCCTGAAAAACTGCTTGGCTGATTTGACTAATAAAGGCTGGTCTGTTATCAGACTGTATAGAGGTGGGAAGGCTAAACTGAGGAATTATGTCTGACAGAAGGGAAGAAATGACTGCGATGGCCTTCTCAGACCCTGTAGGAAAGGCCTCTATTTATTCAGTGAAAGAGTCTATTTAGACTAAGAGGTATTTTAGTTTCCTGACTCGGGCATGTTGAGTAAAGCTAATTTGCCAGTCCTGGGTGGGGGCAAATCCTCCAGCTTGATGTGTAGGGAAGGGAGGGGGCCTGAATAATCCCTGAGGAGTAGTAGAATAGCAGATGGAACACTGAGAAGTTATTTCCTTGAGGATAGATTTCCACGATGGAAAGGAAATGAGAGGTTCTGAGAGGCCGGCTAGTGGCTTGTACTATAGCATAGCCTACCTTTGCTGGTGTGTGGCGATTAGGCCTGGTGGAACTGCCATCAATAAATCAAGCATGATCAGGGTGAGGAACAGGAAAGAAGGAAATATGGGGAAATAGGGTGAATATCAGGTGGATCAGAGAGATACAGTCATGGGGGTCAGGTGTGGTATCAGGAATAATGTGAGAGGCCAGATTGAAGTCCGGGCCAGGAACAATGGTAATTGTGGGACTTAAAGAGTGAGTACAGCTGAAGGAGCCGGGGAGCAGAAAGTATATGTGTCAAGTATGAGGAAGAAAATGGATTTTGGAAGTTATGAGAAATGTAGAGAGTGAGTTGAGCATAGTTTGTGATTTTTAGGGCCTCTAACATATTAAAGCAGCGGCAGCCGCCGCACGCAGACATGAAGGCTAGGCTAAAACAGTAAGGTCGAGTTGTTTGGACAGAAAGGCTACAGGGTGCGGTCCTGGCTCTTGTGTAAGAATTCTGACCGCACTAACCATGCCTAGGAAGGAAAGGAGTTGTTGTTTTGTAGAAGGTGCTGGGGTTTGAGAGATCAGTCGGACACGATTGGCAGGGAGAGCACGTGTGTTTTTATGAGATTTATGCCGAGATAGGTAACAGATGAGGAAGAAATTTGGGCTTGATTGAAGTAATGGGGGCTGTCCGTGAAGCTTTGTGGCAGTACAGCCTAGGTAATTTGCTGAGCTTGATGGGTGTGAGGGTCAGTCCAAGTGAAAGCGAAGAGAGGCTGGGATTAAGGGTGCAAAGGAATAGTAAAGAAAGCATGTTTGAGATCTAGAACAGAATAATGGGTTGTAGAGGCAAGTATTGAGGATAGGAGAGTATATGGGTTCGGCACCACGGGGTGGATAGGCAAAACAATTTGGTTGATAAGGTGCAGATCCTGAACTAACTTGTAAGGCTTATCTGGTTTTAGGACAGGTAAAATGGGGGAATTGTAAGGAGAGTTTATAGGCTTTAAAAGGCCATGCTGCAGCAAGCGAGTGATAACAGGCTTTAATCTTTTTAAAGCGTGTTGCGGGATGGGATCTTGGCGTTGAGTGGGGTAAGGGTGATTAGGTTTTAATGAGATGGTAAGGGGTGCATGATCGGTTGCCAAGGAGGGAGTAGAGGTATCTTATACTTGTGGGTTAAGGTGGGGGGATACAAGAGGAGGACGAAAAGGAGGCTTTGGATTGGGAAGAAGGGCGGCAACGAGATATAGCTGTAGTCTAGGAATAGTCAGGGAAGCAGACAATTTAGTTAAAGTGTCTCAGCCTAATAAGGGAACTGGGCAGGTGGGGATAACTAAAAAGGAGTGCTTAAAAGAGTATTGTCTAAGTTGGCACCAGAGTTGGGGAGTTTTAAGAGGTTTAGAAGCCTGGCCGTCAATACCCACAACAGTTATGGAGGCAAGGGAAACAGGCCCTTGAAAAGAAGGTAATGTGGAGTGGGTAGCCTCAGTATTGATTAAGAAGGGGACGGGCTTACCTTCCACTGTGAGAGTTACCCGAAGCTCGGCGTCCGTGATGGTCTAGGGGGCTTCCGAGGCGATTGGGCAGTGTCAGTCTTCAGCCGCTAAGCCGAGAAGATCTGGGAAGGAGTCAGAGAGCCTTGGGCCAGAGTTCCAGGGGCTCTGGGAGTGGCTGCCAGGTGAGTTGAACAGTCCGATTTTCAGTGGGGTCCCACACAGACGGGACGTGGCTTAGGAGGAATCCCGGGCTGTGGGCATTCCTTGGCCCAGTGGCCAGATTTCCGGCACTTGTAGCAAGCTCCTGGGGGAGGAGGTTCTGGAGGAACGCCTGGCCGCTGCAGTTCAGGCATTTGGAAGTTCTTGTGTGCTGGAGATGTGGCTGGGGTTTGTCTCACAGTGGAGGCAAGGAATTGCAACTTTTTTCTGTTATTGTACACCTTGAAGGTGAGGTTAATTAAGTCCTGTTGTGGGGTTTGAGGGCCAGAATTTAATTTTTGGAGTTTTATTTGATGTCGGGAGCAGATTGGGTAATAAAATGTATTTTGAGAATAAGACGGCCTTTTGACCTTTTAGGGTCTAGGGCTGTAAAGCGTCTCAGGGTTGCTGCCAAACGAGCCATGAACTGGGCTGGATTTTTATATTCGATGAAAAAGAGCCTAAACGCTTCTGATTTGGGATAAAGAAAAAGGAGCATTAACCTTGACTATGCCTTTGGCTCCAGCCACCTTTTTACGAGTAAATTGCTGGGCAGGTGGGGGAGGGCTAGTCACGGAATGAAACTGTAAGCCGGACCAGGTGTGAGGAGGGGAGGTGATAAAAAGATTATAGGGTGGAGGAGCAGAGGCTGAGGAAGAATTGGGACCTAGCTCGGCCTGGAGAGGAGCAGCCTGGGGAGGAAGGGAGAGGTCAGATGGGTCTGTAGAAAAGGAAGATTAGAAAGACTCAGCGACGCTTGGGGTTGGTACTGAGGGGACAGGTGGGAGGGAAAGAAGGAAGATTTGGGACAAGTTGCACTGGGCACAGAGACTAGGAAGGGACTGATGTGTAAAAGAATGCCTGGACGTCAGGCACCTCAGACCATTTGCCTATTTTATGACAAGAATTATTTAGATCTTGCAGGATGGAAAAATTCAAAGTGCCATTTTCTGGCTATTTGGACAAATACTGTCGAGTTTGTATTGGGGTCAAGCGGCATTGCAGAAGAAAATAAGGCATTTAGGTTTTAGGTCAGGTGTGAGTTGAAGAGGTTTTAAGTTTTTGAGAACACAGGCTAAGGGAGAAGAAGGAGGAATGGAGGGTGGAAGGTTGCCCATAGTGAAGGAGGCAAACCCAGAGAAAAGAGAGCGTAGAGACATGGAGGGAAGGGGTTTGGGGGTTCTTACCCTCCTGAAAAGCAGGAAGGGGGGTCGGGGCATGGAAATAAGGGATTGGGGCACAGAGATAAGAGGTTGGGGCACAGAAATAAGGGATTGGGGCGCAGAGATATGAGGTTGGGGCATGGAAATAAGGGATTGGGGGATCTTGCCCCCTAGAAAAGCGGGACTTGCCGCTAAGGGTGAAGGAGAAGGGGTTGAGGGGTACTTGCCCCTCCCCCAGAAAAGCAGAAAAGGGGTAGAGACAAGGAGAGAAGGGGTTGGGGTACTTGCCCCTTCCCCAGAAAAGCGGGACTTGCCGCTAAGGGTGAAGGACCAAGGCAGGCATCCCTTCGTGGTCTGACACCTTTGAAACGTGGGTCAATAATCAGAGAGGCTTCCCTGCAATGATTAAACACCAAGGGAAGGCTGCCTTCCCAGTCTGTGACTGGCGCCGGAGTTTTGGGCCCACTGGTAAAATGTGTCTCCTTTGTCTCTCCCAGAAAATGAAAGGAATTGAAATTAAGAGAAGGGAGAGAATGAAGAGTGGAAAGGAGAAAGTGGTTGAGGGACAGTGAGAGAGGTTGGAGAAAGAGAGTAAGAAGAGGCCGCTTACCTGATTTAAAATTGGTGAGATGTTCCTTGGGCTGGTTGGTCTGAGGACCTGAGGTCGTAGGTGGATCTTTCTCACGGAGCAAAGAACAGGAGGACAGGGGATTGATCTCCCAAGGGAGGTCCCCCGATCCAAGTCACGGCACCAAATTTCATGCGCGTCCATGTGAAGAGACCACCAAACAGGCTTTGTGTGAGCAATAAAGCTGTTTATTTCACCTGGATGCAGGTGGGCTGAGTCCAAAAAGAGAGTCAGCCAGTAATTTTTTAAAATTATTATTATACTTTAAGTTTTAGGGTACATGTGCACAACGTGCAGGTTTGTTACATATGTATACATGTGCAGCCTCAGCTTTTTTAAGACCAGGCTGCTGACACTTTTGCCAATATAATTCTCTCAGAAATATTATGTGTTTTCTATGTATTTGATTCCATTTAACTCCATGTGCCAAAAACACACCACAATTCTGGGTCTTAAAAAAATGAAATAGGCTGGGTGCGGTGGCTCATGCCTGTAATACCAGCACTTTGGGAGGCCAGGGTGGGCAAATCACCTGAGATCAGGAGTTCAAGACCAGCCAGGCAAACATGGTGAAACCCCATCTCTACTAAAAATACAAAAATTAGCTGGGCATGGTGGCACATGCCTGTAGTCCCAACTACTCAGTAGGCTGAGGCAGGAGAATCGCTTGAACCTGGGAGGCAGAGGTTGCAGTGAGCTGAGATTGTGCCACTGCACTCCAGCCTGGGTGATAGAGTGAAACTCCATCTCAAAAAAAAAAAAAAAAATAGGCATACCATTACAGCCTTGCTATATTTTTAGAACACATACGAGTCCCAATGAACAGAGGTCTGTTGAGCCACAACGACAGAATTATGGTCCTTTACCTAATTCCCAGAAATGGTTCCATTAGACCCAGATCCCTCCAATGAAGGAGACTAGGTTACTTCAGGGATAAATACTGCTATAATAACCACAAATGAGGTACATGAACCTTCTTCCAAGCCTTCGCCAAAGGGTTCTAGTACTACTTACTTGGTTTAAATAGCTGTGAAAAAATGCCCCAGACTTTCAGGAACTACTGGATGCTGCCTCTGAGGAAATACTATTTCCCGAGGATGACCAATTACCACTGCTTCCCCCTATCAGAGAAAGGGCTCCTGAGACTCAAGAAACAAATTGGATCCTGTCCAGTTTGCCTCAAAATAGGTCAAACAGTTCCCTGAACCCATATGGTTGTCATTCTCCTGGTTCTTGAATGTATATTTGGCAACGATATTCTTAACAATTGATAGAAGTCCGTTTTCTGATAATTCAGAGAAGACATTCTCTTTCTTTTAAATGCCAGCCTCGAAAGTATTTAGAGAATATCTTCATATTTTTCCTCAGACTTTGATGCCTTAGAGTTTCTGATATCACATTCTTTCCTGAATATTCGCCTTGGGTCTTTTCCTCTGGGTGAGCTTGAACTGGTCAACATGCTTGTTGAAATGGTGCCCAGAATAGCATGGATTATTTCAGAGATGATATGAAAAGGGAATATGCTTGGGGATTATTAGTTCCTGGGAAAGAAGCATTACTAATGTAGCTAACATGGAAGTTTGTGTTTAAAGATATATCACGTTACTCATTTTCAACTTATGAACAACTAAAGGTACAGAGATTTTTCACTTCATTTATTAACAAGACAGAGTTTTCCTATCCCATGCTTGTAAAATTGATTTTAAAAAATTTTTTAGGATAAAAAGTGACATATGTTCACTAAATGAAAGTTGAAAATGTGAAAAAATGAAAAAAAAACCATCATCCATAAGAATAGGTGTCATTTTCTCAGCAATGTTTGCTCTTCATGATTTAAAAAAATACAAGCATGATTATAAAATTGAACATACTAATTCTAAAATTATTTTTTTCTGATAGAAGTAATATACAATATTACTAATAGTAGAAAAAAATTAAATATGGGAAAATATAAAGAAGACAGCTTTTCCCACAAATGATATTGAGTATTTCTGCCTGTGTTTATTTGCCATCTGCATATCTTCTTTGGTAGAATGTCTAATAAAATATTTTGAACATCTTAAAAATCAAATTGTTCATTTTATGATTGAGTGTTGTTGTTGTTGTTGTTGTTACATAGCCAAGTAAGATTCGCTAAATCTTCATTTGGCATGGCAAAGGTAACTCTACTGTTTCCATGGAAAATTGCTCTAAAAACCAACAGAGAAAGTCTCAGAAAAGTCCCCTTTCCGTGGGTCCAACAGTGTTCCTCTACCTTGTTTTCTACCCAATCTCAACTTTTCCTTAAAAGAAAATCAAAACGTATCTATAGATATACATGTAAATAGAAATCACTTTCTGAAATACTAATTGAAAATTTAGAACTATACCCTTAGAATTTTGTGAAGACCACAGAGTGAATGAGAATTATATTGCTCTTATCACCTAAAATATAGCCAGTTTTACTTTCTAAAACTTATGGATTGACATACAGAAGGTCAGGTAATAACTCTAGAGCTTTATAATAGAACATTATTAGCATTTATAAAAGATATTTCTTTAATTATATTATCACCTAACAATGACCATACAGTGGACAGGAGAGTAATTTGAAAATGTCCTTATAGTAACTTCTCTGCTCATAAGGAGATATTAATAAATATGAACAGATATTCTACATACCTATGGATCTGGAAAAGCATTTATTCACTAATACATTGTATTTGTGTTCTCTAATTTAGCATCATCTTTTCATCTTGCTTGATTTTCCTGCAGCTAAACATTTGTAGTTCCCCCCTAAAAAAAGCAATGACAATCTTTCTTATAAATTACGTTCTCTGATTTCCTTGTCAACCTGC
Organism: Homo sapiens; assembly: GCF_000001405.40. Lineage (NCBI taxonomy): Eukaryota > Metazoa > Chordata > Mammalia > Primates > Hominidae > Homo > Homo sapiens. The sequence continues at coordinate 164,580 of NW_018654714.1, forward strand.
TTCAAGAAAATCCATGTGTTCAAAACGCTTGCTCACAGTCTGCCCCACAGCAAATGATTGTTTAACCCAAATATCTGTGCAGCAAACTGAGCTGATCCTTCTGGAGAAAGGGTGGTTGAGCAGCTGAGACCACTGGGTAGTCGAGGAGAAGACCACACATCCTGAGCTCCCCAGTCTGCTTGAGCGGAGGACAGCTGATAACTGGATATGCAGTGTTCCCAGACGTCACTGGTCCCAAACCATTTCTTCTGCCTGCCACTGCCACAAACACAGTGGGAATGCCATCCCCTTCACACTCACCTTTAATCCGCAGAGTTTTATCTGGTCCTTTATGCACAGATGTTACTTGAAGTTCTCAGGAAATGCCAAGATTTCCACAGGCCTTCTTGATTTTTTCACAGTGGCCAAGATCAGAAGTAGAGCCTACCAATACTGCCATCCCGCACGGACTTTCTAATTTCAAAAGCAACTCTTCTCTCTCTGCAACCCACTCTAAGTTTTTCTATAACCATCTTGAGCCCTTCAGGAGTTACTTCTTTGAGGTCCTGATGAGGCTGTTTGTCTTTCTGTTGGCTTCCATCTACTGATGGCCAGAGTCTCCAGGAATCATTATCAATAACATCAGCAAGAACAATTTCTTTAGGGGTTACATCAACACCAAATTTGATCTTCATATCAACCAGCATACAGTTCTGGGGCAACCAAGATTTCTCCAGTATTTCAAAAAAGAGCCTATGTAGTATATGACATGATATCCACTTCAGTTTGGCCTATGAGAAGTTCACCAAAGCAAAATTTTGGAGCAATTAGCTGTTCCTCAGATGACTCTGGGTCATTACTGGCATCATCCTTGAAAAACATCTCCACTTTAGGTGGGTAAAACTTATATCCTTCCTTGTCATCAGGATTTCTTTTGAAAAAAGAATCAGTTGCTATTCTTCTGCAAACCCATTCAGTTGGAATCATTTCACACTCGGGAGCAGCAAAAGCTGTCTGTTTCCCCACATTTTCTGGTGAAAGCAGTTTTGACACTTGCTTCCTGTAACAACTGAAAAACACAACTGGTAATTTTATTTGAGATTGCAGCTTTTACCTTTTACTTCCGGGTGATTCTTTCTTTTTTTTTTTTTTTTTTTGAGGCAGGTCTCGCTCGGTCGCCCAGGCTGGAGTGCAGTGGCACGAGTGAAGTAGCACGATCTTGGCTCACTGCAAGCCCCGCCTCCCGGGTTAACGCCATTCTCCTGGCTCAGCCTCCCAAGTAGCTGGGACTACAGGCGCCCGCCACCATGCCCAGCTAATTTTTTGTATTTTTAGTAGAGACGGGGTTTCACTGTGTTAGCCAGGGTGGTCTCTCCTGACCGCATGATCCGCCCGCCTCGGCCTCCCAAAGTGCTGGGATTACAGGCCTGAGCCACCGCACCTGGCCCAGGTGATTCTTTCTAACTGCATTTCCTGCTGTTATCTGGTCCTTGAACTGCAGGAGGATTTTTTCTGGACTATCTAATAATTTATGGACTTTGTTTTACCCTCATTCAGTTTTTTACCAATACTTAGTACCTCAGCTGTTGCCAGTATCCTGAGTGGGCTGAAGGTTGTGACCCCACTGGGAAGAGAGGCAGAAATCTCGGATACCGGTTCTTCATCAGAAATGCCTTTTGCAAATATTTTCTCCTGGTGTACAGCTTGTCTTCTAAGGTTCTGAACAGTGTCTTACAAGAGCAGAAGTTCTTAACTTTGATGAATCACTATCAATTTTATCTTCATGATTGAGATTAGATTTCATATCTAATAAGTCTTTGTTTAATCCAAGGTATCAATTTGTGGTCTTATGATTTCTTCTGAATTTTTATTTTTTCTTACACTTCAGTTTATGATTCATTTTTATTTAATTTTTACATATGGTGTGAAGTATGGGTCAAGATTTAAAAAATTTTGCAAATGGATGTTCAATTTTTTCAGACCATCTGTTAAAAAAATTCTCTTTTCTGCACTGAGTTTTCTTTGTACCTTTATCAAATATTAATTGATAATTTATATGTGAGTCTTTATCTGGACTTTGTTTGGTTACAGTGATTTATGTGTCTGTCCTTTCACCAATATGACATTGTTTTGATTAATGTAGCTTTATACTTTAATCTTGATCTATACATCTTGATTAATGTGTCTTGAAATGAAATAATTAAGTCCTTGGGCTTTGTTCTTTTCAAAATTATATCAGCTCTTGTAATTCCTTTGATTTTTTTCCATAAAAATTTTAGAATTAACTTGTCAATTTCTCCAAAAAGAATATTGCTGGGATTTTTTGTAAGATTGCATGGAATCTATGGAAGGTTAATTTATGATTAACGTTAATAAATTAATATAACAATGTTGAGACTTGCAAATCTTGAATAACGAACATCTTGTATTTGTTTAGGCCTTTGATTTCTTTCACTGGCGTTTTGGAGTTTTCAATATGCAGATTGTACACTTGTATAAACATATTTTGTTAAATTTATACCAAAGTGTTTCTTATTTTTCTTATTATTATAATAGCACTGCTTGAAAATTTTCAGTTTCTACTGGTAGTATATAGAATGTAGACAGAAATGTGATTTTGTGTATTAAATATACATTGGCCTTCTAACTATTGACCTTGCTAAATTTACTAATTAGTTCTAATACCTTTCTTGTAGATTCTTACAATTTTCTAAACATACAATCATGTCATCTGCAAAGAGAAACATTTTTACTTCTTCTAATCTGTAGGTCTTTTTTTTTTTTTTTTGAATTTCTTCTCTTATTGCACTTAGAATTTTCAGTGTGTCTAAAAAGAGTGGTAAGAATGGACTTCTCGTCCTTATTCCTGATCTTAGGGGCAAAACATTTGGTCTTTTAGCATTAACTCTGATGTTAGCAGCCCATTTTGTAGATACTCTCCCTCAGTTTGAGGAAGTTCCTTTCTATTATTAATTGATGAGAATTTTTGTTATGGTTGGATTTCAAATTTTGTCCAGTGATTTTCTGCATCTTTTGAGATGAGCAATGTTTTTCTTCTTTTGTCTACTGATGTGGTGAACTAATTTAATTAACTTTTGAATGCTTAACTATCTTTTCACGATGAAATAAACCTCACTTGGTAATGATATATTATCTTTTTTTTACATATTGTTGGATTGTAAGTGCTAGCATTCGATTGAATATTTTCATATCTATGCTGTGAGGGATATTTCGTCTGTAGTTTTCTTATAATGTCTTTGTTTTTAATATCAGGTAATGCTGAGTTTATAAAATGAGCTGGGTGTCATTCCCTCCCCTTTTATCTTATGGAAAAAATTGTGTATAATTATATTACATTTTTCTGAAATGTTAGGAAAAACGTGTTAGTACAGCCAGCTGGACTTGAAGATTTTTCTTTGAGAATTGTAAGCCACAAATTCAATTTCTTTAATGTATAGTAGCTTATTCAAGATACCTATTTCTTCTTCAGTGAGTATTGCTGCTGTGCCATGTATGACACATGTATGATTTATTTTTATGTTTATAAATGACTAGGAAGGATCTGAAATAATTTTCTAACCTTCATTCCTAAAATTGATAATTTGTGTCTTCTCTCTTTTTATCTTGGCCGATATGGCTAGTCACTATTAATTTATGGACTTTTTTCAAAGGAACAACTCTTTGGTCATTGGTTCTCTCTTTGCTTCTCTTTCATTGTTTTTCCAGTTCATTGTTTTCTTCTGGTATTTTTATTTCCTGGAAATTTTGGGTGGATTCCTGAGAATCAATATTGTAGGCCATTGGTTTTTTTTAAAACACTGTGACCTATAATAACAAATACTTTTTATATCATATTTCATTATGTGCTCAAAAAGCCCATTTACATATAATTAAAACGAACTTTCACAAAACAACACTCAGCCATATTACATGTGAGAAAGTATTTTTTTCAATTCAATTCTATTTTGTTCCAGCCTGGATGAATTCTCTTTTGTTAACAAGAAGCTGATCACAACCTGCTAAACTACCTTCACAGACTACTGATTGTTAGTGACCTGCGGTTTGAAAAGCATTGCTGAACATGATTCTGCTAACAAATCATGTATACAATGCTTGTGAGACCCTCTACTATTTCTTTTTTCCTTTTATTGGTACATAGTGTTTTGCACATTTATGGGGGTACATGTGAGCATTTTTAATGTGCATCGAACATGTAACATCAAGTCAGGGTATTTGGGGTATCCATCATACTGAGTATTTGTCATTTCTGCATGTTGGTAACATTTCAAGTTCTTTCTTCTAGCTACTTTGAAATATACAATATGTTGTTGTTAACTATAGTCATCCTAGTCTGCTATTGAAAATTAGAACTTATTTCCTCTATCTAACTGTAAGTTTGTGCTTCTTCATGAACCTCTTTTCCTTTCTCCCTCCACCCACTCTCACACCCTCCCAAACTCTGGTGTCATATCTACCCGTCTATTGTCTACCTCCAGGAGATCAAGGTTTTTAGTTCCTACATATGAGTAAGAACATGTGGTATTTGTCTTTCTGTGCCTGGATTATTTCACCTGACATAATGACCTTTATTTCCATCCATGTTGCTGCAGATGACATGATTTCATTCTTTCTTATGAACAAATAGTATTTCATTGTGTATATATACCACATTTTCTTTATCCATTCACCCACTGATGAACAATTAGATTGAGTCCATACCTTTGCGATTGTTAAGTATTCCCTTTTCTATACATCCTTGCCAGCATCTGTTTTTATTTATTTATTTTTTGTCTTTTTAGGAATAACCATTCTCATTAGGATGAGATAATATCTCATCATGGTTTTGATTTGCATTTCTCTGATGATTAGAGATGTTGAGCATTTTTTAATATGCTTGTTGGCTTTTGTGTGTCTTCCTTTGAAAATTGTCTATTCATGTCATTTGCCCACTTTTTAATTGAATTATTTGTTTTTTTTTATTGTTGAGTTGTTTGTATTCCTTGCATATTCTGGATATTAGTCCCTGGTTGGATGAATAGTTTGCAACTACTTCCTCCCATTCAACAGTTTGTCTCTTCACTTTGTTAATTGTTTCTTTCACTGTGCAAAAACTTTTTTAGTTTACTATAGTGCTATTTGTCTATTTTTGTGTTAGTTTTCTCTGCTTTTGAGGTCTCAGCCATAAAATCTTTGCCTAAACAAATATCCTGGAGTATTTTCCCTTTGTTTTCTTCTAGTGGTTTTATAGTTTAAGGTCTTACTTTTAAGTTTTTGATCCATTTTGAATTGATTTTTATATAAGGTGGAAGATAAGGGTCCAGTTTCATTCTTCTGCATGTGAATATCCCATTTTTTTCAGCACTATTTATTAAAGAAGGTATCCTTTCCTCAGTGTATGTTCTGGGCAACTTTGTTGAAAGTCTGTTGGCTGTAAATATGTAGAGTTATTTTTGGGTTTTCTATTCTCTTCCATTAGTTTCTGTGTCTATTTCTATGTCAATACCATGCTTTTTGGTTACTATAACCTTGTACTATATTTTGAAGTCAAGTAGTGTGATGCCTTCTGCTTTGTACTTTTTGCTCAGGATTGTTTTGGTTATACTGGCTCTTTTTTTATTCCATATGAATTTTAGAATTTTGTTTTCTATTTCTGTAAAAAATGACATTGGTATTTTAATAAGGATTTTATTGAATCTGGATATTTCATTGGTCATTTTGACAATATTGATTCTTCTGATCCATGAGCATGGGATGTCTATTTGTTTATGTCTTCTTTAATTCATTTTAACAGTGTTTTACAGTTTTTCTTGTAGAGATCTTTTACCTGCTTGGTTAAATTTATTCCTAGGTATTTTTTTTTTTTGGTAGCAATTGTAAATGGGATTGTCTTCTTGATTTCTCTTTTGGCTGTTTTATTATTGGTTATAGAAATGCTACTGATTTTTATATGTTGATTTTATATTTTTCAACTTTATTGAATTTGCTTATCATTTTTAGGTGGAATCTTTTTTTTCTAAATATAAGATTATTTCATGTGCAAAGAGAGACAATTTGACTCCCTCTTTTCCAATTTGAATGCCTTTTATTTTTTACTCTTGTCTGATTTCTCTGTCTAGGGGAAATAGTATTTTTAGCATTATGTTGAATAGGAGTAGTGAAAGTGAGCATCCTTGTCTTGTTCTAGTTCTTAGAGAAAAGGTTTTCAACTTTTTGCCATTCAGTATGATGTTGGCTGTGGGTTTGTCATATATATGGCCTTTATTATTTTGAGGTATGTTCCCTCTATACCTAGTTTGTTGAGAGTTTTTATAATGAAATGATGTTGAATTTTATCAAATGCCTTTTCTGCATCTATTGAAATGATCATATAGTTTTTGCCCTTCATTCTGTTCATGTGATGTGTCACATTTATTCATTTGCATATGTTAAACCGTCCTTGTATCCCTGGGATGAAACCCACTTGCTCATGGGGTACTATCTTTTTGACATGCTGTTAAATTCATTTTACTAGTATTTTGTGGAGAATTTATGTGTCTATGTTCATCAGGGGTATTGGTCTGTAGTTTTCTTTTTGTGTGTGTGTACTTGTCTGGTTTTGGTATCAGGGCAATGCTCACCTCCTAGAGTAAGTTAGGGAGAATTCCACGTTGTTTGATTTTTTGGAATAGTCTGAGGAGGATTGATATTAGTTCTTTATAGAATTTGAAAGTGAGTCCATCTTGTCCTGTGCTTTTCTTTGTTGGGAGTCTTTTTATTGCTGATTTAATGTCACTACTCATTATTGGTTTGTTCAAGTTTTCTATCTTTTCCTGATTCAATCTTGGTAGTTTGTATGTTTCCAGGAATGTATCTATTTTATCTAGGCTTTCCAGTTTATTAGTGTATAGTTACTCATAATAATCTCTGATGATCTTTTATGTTTCTTTGGTATCAGCTGTAATGTCTCCTTTTTTATTTCTAATTTTGTTATTTAGTCCTTCTCTCTTATTTTCTTGGTTAGTCTAGCTACAGGTTTGTCAGTTGTGTTTATCTTTCTGAAGAACTTTTTGTTTTAATGATCCTTGTCTTTTAGTCTCTATTTTATTTAGTTCTCATCCTATCTTTATTGCTTCTTTTCTTCTGCTAATTTTGGGTTTGGTTTGTTCTTCCTTTTCTATAATAATTCTTTGAGGTGCATCATTACATTGTTTAATTGAAAACTTTCTACTTCTTTTGATGCAGATGTTTATTGGTATAAATTTCCCTCTTAGTACTGCTTTAGTTGTATTCCACAGATTTTGGCATCATGTGTTTCCATTTTTATTTGTTTCAATAAATGTTTTTATTTCCATTTTTATTTCTTCAGTCAGGACCATGTTGTTTTATTTTTAGGTATTTGTATAGCTTCCAAAGTTGTTCTTTGTATTAATTTTTGGTTTTATTCCACTGTTGTATGGGAAAATACTTAATATAATGTCAAGTTTTAAGAATTTGTTGAGACTTCTTCTTTTGTGGCTGAAAATATGATCTATCCTGAAAAATGTTCCACATGCTGAGTAGAAAAAAATGCGTATTCTGCAGTTGTTGAATAATATGTTCTGTAGGTGTGTCTGTTAGGTCCATTTGTTCTATAGTCCAGTTAAATTCAATATTTTTTAGTTGATTTTACATCTAGATGACCTGTCTAATGCTTAGAGTGGGGTGTTGAAGTCCCTCACTGTTGTTGTACTGGAATTTATCTCTCTCTTTAGTATTGGGGGAACCAACCCCTGATAATTCATCATAGGTTCTTTTCTATTTTCCCTAAGTGTCGGCTGGTCTGAGAAATAAAGGGAAAGAGTACAAAAGAGAGAAATTTTAAAGCTGGGTGTCAGAGGGAGACATCACATGTCGGCAGGTTCCGTGATGCCCCCTGAGCGGTAAAACCAGCAAGTTTTTATTAGCAATTTTCAAAGGGGAGGGAGTGTACAAATAGGGTGTGGGTCACAGAGATCACATGCTTTAAGGGCAACAAAAGATCACAAGGCAGATGAGCAGGGCAAGATCACAAGTTCAGGGCAAAACTAGAATCACTAATGAACTTCCATGTCCTGCTGTGCACCCACTGTCACTGATAAACATCTTAACAGGGTTCAAGAGCAGAGAACTTGTCTAACTAGAATTTGCCAGACTGGAATTTCCTAATCCTAGCAAGCCTGGGGGCGTTGCAGGAGACTAGGGCGTGTTTCATCCCTATCTACATCTGCATAAGGCAGACACCCCCAGAACGGCCATTTTAGAGGCCCCCCTGGAAATGCATTCTTTTCCCAGGGCTGTTAATTATTAATATTCCTTACTAGGGAAAGAATTCAGCGATATTTCTCTTACCCGTTTTTGGTAAGGAGAGAAATATGGCTCTGTCCTGCCCGGCCCACAGGCAGCCAGACTTTAAGGTTATCTCCCTATTTCCCTGAAAATCACTGTTATCCTGTTCTTAAGGTGCCCAGATTGCATATTGTTCAAACACACATGCTCTACAAACAATTTGTGCAGTTAAAGCAATCATCACAGGTCCTGAGGCGACATACATCCCCAGCTTACAAAGATGATGGGATTAAGAGATTAAAGACAAGACAGGCATAGGAAATCACAAGAGTTTTGATTGGGGAAGTGATAAATGTCCATGAAATCTTCACAATTTATGTTCAGAGATTGTAGTAAAGACAGGCTTAAGAAATTATAAAAGTATTAACTTGGGGAACTAATAAATGTCCATGAAGTCTTCACAATTTATGTTCTTCTGCCATGGCTTCAGCCAGTCCCTCCAGTCGGGGTCCCTGACTTCCCACAACACTTTAGATCTAGTAATATTTGCTTTATGAATCTGGGTACTGCAATGCTAGGTGCATGTATATTTAAAATTATTATATCTTCTTGCCGAATCGATCTGTTTATCATTATATAATGACCTTCTTTGCCTTTTCTTACTATTTTTGACTTAAAGTCTCTTTTATCTGATATAAGTAAATCAACTTCTGCTCACATTTGGTTTAGGTTTGCATGGTATATCTTTTTCAATCCTTTTTCTTTCAGTCTGTGTGTGTCTTTACAAGTAAAATGTGTTTCTTGTAGGCAGCACATAGTTGGATCATATATACTTCTTTTAATCAATTAAGCCAGTCTGTATCTTTTAAGTGGAGAATTTAATCAATTTACATTTAAGGTTATTATTGATATGCGAAGTTGTTTTTTTTTTTTTTTTTTTTTTTTTTTGACAAGAGTCTCACTCTGTTGCCCAGGCTGGAGTGAAGTAGCATGATATCGGCTCACTGCAACCTTCGCCTCCCAGGTTCAAGTGATTCTCCTGCCTCAGCCACCCAAGTAGCTGGGATTACAGGCACGTGCCACCACGCCTGGCTAATTTTTGTATTTTTTTTTAGTAGAGATAGGGTTTCACCATGTTGGCCAGACTGGTCTCAAACTCCTGACTTCAGGTGATCTGCCCGCCTCAGCCTCCCAAAGTGCTGGGATTACAGGCATGAGCCACCACACCTGGCCAGATGTGAAGTTTTGTTTCTGTCATATTGTTCATTGTTTTCTGGTTGTTTTGTATATTCTTCATTCCTTTCTTTTTCTTTTATTGTTTGTCATTGTGGTTTGGTAGTTTTGTATGGTGGTACTGTGTGAGTTCTTTCTCTTCCTCATTTGTGTGTTTGTTTTACCAGTGAGTTTTATACTTCGTTGTGTTGTTGTGATGGTAAATGCTGTCTTTTTCTTCCAGGTTTAGGACTGCCTTGAGCATTTCTTGGAGGACCAGTTAAGTGGTGATGAATTTTCTCAGCTTTTGCTTCTTTGGGAAAGACTTTTTTATTTCTCCTTCATTTATGAAGGATAATTTGCTGGAAATAGATCCTTTGTTGGCAATATATATATTTTTTTCTTAGCCCTTTGAATATATCATCTCATTCTTTCCTGGCAGAAAGGCTTCTACTGAGAAATTCACTGTTAGTCTGATGGGGGTTCCTTTAAAGGTGACTATATGTTTTTTCTTGCTGTTTTTAGAATTCTTTCTGTGTATTTTACTGTAGACATTTTGACTGTAATGTTTCATGAAAACTTTTTTGCATTGTATCTGTTTGGGGATCTCAGAGCCTGTTGTATCTAGATGCCTTAATCTCTTGCTAGATTTGGGAAGTTGTTATGTATTGTTATGTTGAATAAGTTTTCTAATCCTTTTGTTCTCTCTCTGCCTTCTGAGACCCCAGTAATTCAAAATTTGGCCACTTTATGGTGTTTCATATACTATGAAGAATTTGCCTATTCTTTTTTCTGTATTTTTGTTGGGCTGTGTTATTTCAATAGACTTGCTTTCAAGTTCTGAGATTCTTTCTTCTGCTTGATCTAGTCTATTTTTGTTGAAGCTTTTGAATATATTTTGTATTTCATTAAATGAATTCTTCAGTTTATGAATTTCTGGTTGGCTATTTTTTTATTATCTCTATCTTTGGCAAATTACTCATTCATATCCTGAATTGTTTTTCTGATTTCTTTGTAATTTTTCAGAAATTTCTTGTATTCCACTGAGCTTCTTTAATATTCAAATTTTGAATTCTTTTCCCATGATTTCATTCATTTGTTTTTTATTGTAATCTATCGCTGGAGAGTTATTCTGTTCCTTTGGAGGTGTATATTTCCTTGATTTTTCATGTTTCTTGTGTTCTTACATTGATATTGACATATCTGAAATAATATTAGTTTCTTCCAACTTGTTGAATTTGCTTTTATAAAGGAAAACTTTCTTGAAGATGTATCTATGGTGTTTGTTGGGTAGAATGTTTTGGGTTTGATTCTGGGTGCATGCAGTAGTGTAGCTTTCAACAGCATCAGTGGTATCTGTGATCTCCTTGGTGGCTTAGGGTACAGCTGGAAACTGTGGTGAAGTTCTGCTGGGGACTGGGAAGCCAAGTAGGCCAGTTTTCCAGCACCATTGGTACCAGTGTTGGGCTGAGCATGCCTGTTCTTGGGCACCGGGGGGCAGTGTAAACTGGCACTAGTATTAGTGGGTACAGTCAGGCTAACCCTTGGGCCTTCTGGAAGCTTACTCATATGCTGGTAGTGGCAACTTTGGGCAAGGTGGGTGGCAGGTTCTTGGACCTCTAGGCAACCAGTATGGCATGGGCAAAGGTAGAGTCAGTGGCAGAACAATCCTCTGGGTCTTGAGAAGTATGTGCTGGTGTTGGTGGTGGCTGCAATGGGCTGCATGGGCCAGTCTTTAGGCTTGCAGGTGGCACATGCAGATAAGTGCCAGTTGTGGTATTCTCATTTTGGTGAGTAGGCCCCTGGGAGGAGTGTTTAGGTTCCGATGGTGGTGAACCAAGTTGGGAAATCCCCTGGCCCCTAGACTATGTGCTCTTTTATGGAGAGGGGGTAAATCTGGGTCAGATGAGCTTGTCCTCAGGCCTCCAGTGGCGTGTGGAGGAGCCACCCAAGGTACAAAGGGGTTGGGTGATCCGCAGGCCACTGGTGGAATGCTTGCATTGGGGGAAGAAACAACTGTGCTGTTATCCTGCCACTGGGGAGGGTAGTTCTGCCTTCATTGGCAACAGCATAGGCCAATGGATGGGGAATGTGTGCACCACTTGCACCTCAGTCCCAGCAGCACTGCACCTTAGCCCCAGGTGTGATAGCCCAGGGTCACTCACGCCTAGATCTTGGGGACACAGCCTGCACTTCTCTTGAGCCCCAGCTCCAGCACTGCTGGACTCCAAGACAGCATATAGTTTGTTGGGCCTCTACTATTTCTTGATCCATGACATTGATAAAAATTAAAAACAACTTGGATAGGACACATGGTCTAGACTCACAGCATATTCCAAGAAATCTCTCACCAGGTTCAAACAAAGTCATTAATTTCTTCATTAATTTAACAAATATTGAGCCATTACCTATGTGCCAGGTATCAATTTAGATACTGGGGATATAGCAGTGAACAGCACAGATAAAGTATTTGATCTATGAAGTTTCTATTTTAGTGGGTAAAAACAGTCAATAAACAAAATATACAAATAAATATGTCAAGTGACGATAAGTGCCATGAAGAGAAAGAAAGTAGGATAAAGAGAGACATGGGAATGCCACACTATTTTATTTGGGATGGTTAATGACTATTTCTATGAAAAGGTAATATTTGAGCAAAGAACTGAAGGAGTGAGATATATATGGGGAAACCATATTCCAAACAGAGGGTACAGCAAGTGCAAAGTCACTGAGGAAGTGTCATGCTTGAAATTTGAAAGGATTGCAGCTGGGGAGGGGAATGGTAGAGATGAGTTTAGAGAAGCAGCAGTGTCCAGGCCGCAGATTCTTCTACAAGCCATGGAAATGACAGATTTTACACTGAGAGAGAAGGGAGCTATTGGAAGTGTTCTGCAGCTGAGTTATATGACTTGACTTACACTTTAAAAGAATCATTCTGACTGCTGTGGGGAGAACAGACTATGGGGGGTAATATGGTAGCAGGAAGATCAATTAAGAAACTCTTGCAAAAGTCCAAGCAAAGGATGATGGTGACCTGGATTAGGGAGATAACAATACAGAGGTAGAGAAGATATTAAGTTCTCTACGTACTTAGAAGGAAAAGCTGACCAATTTTCCTGATAAATTGTATGGACTGCAAAAGGACAGAAGCCAACCCCTATTCTCTATCGTTCCATTTTATATGTTTTTATAGCTTTTGTTACCATTTATAATTATATTATGTATTTTTTGCCCACTTATTGATTGTCTTCCTTAACCAGTAAAGTAGTATTCCACGATATCAGAAACTTCACCTATCTCGTTCACAACCAAATTTCAGCACCTAGAAGAGTACCTGGTACACAGCAGGTGCTCAATAAGTATTTGTTTGTATGGATGAGTGAAAAGAAAGGGATTTGGCATCTATGATGAGCCCTTAATATATTTCTACCCTTCCCACTCTAATCCTACTTCTGGGAATCTATTTTGAAGAAATTTCACAAAGGCAAAAACTTATCCCAATAGATACTCATCAAAGCAACCTATTCTTACAGTGGAAAATTAAGCACATTCTAACAGTTCAATAGGAGGAGAATTTGGGACACTTCCCAAAAGGTTCAAAGAAGACATTGCCCACTTTTGGGACAGGATGGTCAATGGTTAGAAACAGTCTGCTCTGCCAGGGCTTAAGCACCCAGAGATCAGTAGACTCATGGGCACTGGGTTATGCCAGCTAGATGGCAGGGTTATGTTAATTCATTTCAAACCATGCATTCTAATTACAAACTCTTAAAATCTCAAGGGTTTAATTTAAAAAGTTTTACAGCAGGCTTTGTACCAGTTCCTGGGGCCTCATTATTGTCAGCTCTCCTCACCACAGGCCTATGTGGCGGGAGTTTAGGGAAAAGAGAGAGAAGACTATGGGGAAAAGAGGGGAAAGAGAAGCGTATATGATTGAAAAGCCCAAAGGAAAGTGGGAGTAGAAGTTTAATTAAAACACAGCTGGGCAGTTTGCATCAGTGAGTTTAACCCTGAGAAGGAAAACAGGCTTAGGAAATGCCATATGAATGTGGGTATGCTTGCCCCCCAAAGAGCTAACATTTACAATAGACATTGCAGTACAGCCATGGCAGGTACTCAGCACCTTTCTGTGTGCAAGCATGAACATATTGAAATGTACAATTTTACTAATTAAAGACCCCCTTTAGTCTACTGACAGAGTATAAAAAATAAATAAAATATAACCCCATTTTTTTTCTCCCCAAAGATAGAATTATTTTTTAACTTGCACTGCAAAATTCTGAATTCTAGCACTCAATCTTAAGTATATTTACTCTCAAAGCAAAGAATTTCTGAACTGAAAGGTACTTAAGGCATTTTGACTCTTCATTTTTCAAATAAGGAAAACAATGCTCAGAGAGTATCTCAACATAGTAAAGAAAGGAAGAAGATGCTGTATCTTTCCTGATCTCTACTTAAGCTCTCTCTTCACTGTTCTGCACTATTTTCTAGTTATTTCTGGGATTATTTATTCAACAAACACTGAGCCTTCTAGTGCAATGCACTGGTTAACCATGGGGAAAAGTGCACACAAAGATGAAACAGGAATAAATTCTATCTTCTGGAGTTGTATACTCTGGATGTAAATGTTCTTATATTCATTCTTTCTCTCTTTTCCTCTGCCTGCTTCTAAAAAGAACTTGAGGTGATCAAGCTTTAGACCATTATATATTTAAGATGCTGAAAAGATTTCATTCAACAATGCTTTTTGCATCAATAATAATTTTATTCACTATTAGTCAGACATATTTTTTCTTCACTTTAAGTCCTCTCCTTGACTTTCTGTAAGTACCTTAGAAATTTCCAAGTAAGTGTCATTTGCTTTGCCTATTGAAGTCAAATTATGTTATGTGTTTGAATTACAACTTGAAGGGGGCTATGCTTTTAGTAGCTCATTTTTTGTGTTCAAATGCAAAAATTATTGAAATTATTCTATGCTTGTATTCTATGATTGCTTATTCTGAGTTCCATTTGCCTCTTCTTAAGAAATCATTGTTGTCTAGAGAATGAAAAAAGACAGGTCATATTAGTAAATCAATATTTATATTCAAGAAAAAGATCTAAAATATTTTTTAAAAGAACTATTCTCATATAAAAATAAATCATCTCTGATAATATGTTTTCTAAAAGAGTTTGGCTTTTATGTTTATGCAAGACTGACTTCCTGCCAAGCCTTCACTCCAAGATATGTCACAGTGGAGGGTCCCAGTGTTTCCCCTTGTCACTTTATAGGATTAGTTCGGTCCACTGTCATTCGGCTAAAATGCCTTGTATCTCTGGTTAGTGTGAAGCCCATAACTAAGCCCAAGTATTGGTTCTTTAAACTTTATAAAGTGGCTCTTCCATTCACTCTCAGGTTGTACCATTCATCATACCTTCAATGGCTGGGGAAAACGTACTGTCTCTTTATGGTCTTTTTAATGCTCTGCAAAGTGATTTGTTAAAGGAAGGGTTTTGAAAGAAGTATTGTCCTTTTGGCTTAAAGTTTATAGTTTTTCAGCACTTACTATAAAAGGAACACATCCACAACCACATTTTTTTTTCTACAGGTAAAGGAATGGAATGTTTAGTCTGAAAGCTTAGAAGGAAGATGAGGTGCAGCATGAAGACAAAAGCAAAATCGGAAAGCTAAAACAGTAAGAAAGGAGACAAAAATCCGAGATGAATTGTAGCAAAGTGATATATTTATCATTATCCCAGAATATATAAATTTCTTTTTTTACCAGATTAAGTCTTTTGAAATGTTCCAAAAACATGAGAATCTAAAACTGATTCTCACTCTTGATTTCAACAACTAATATTTCATGAGTTTCTGCCTCCTCTTGGTGAATTTTTTCAAACTAACAGTTCCACATGGCACTTTTTCATCGCATGCAGGGATCACAACACAGGCACCTTTATCTTCACAATAAATGGATACTGAACTTTGAAAAATAATTTAGACCGTTGTGAGCCAAGTAGGACCCAATACAAACGGGAAAATGTAGGTACTATTTGGGCTTCCAGAAATTTCAAGAATTGGGTGGCATTCTTGGAGAAAAAGGCTCTCAGGTTATCCTGAGGATACCGCAGGTGTGTTTTATCTGGTGTATCACTCAGGGATCTTGTTAGCAATCAACCAAAAGGAAAGCCTCGGTTAACTCTGCAAGGTAGGAATTTATTAGATGTGATTTGGATTGCTCTCATAATTGGTAGAGTATGTGGAGAAACAAACCTGACCACCAGGAACTAGGATCTGGATGTTCAGAAATACAGTCAAAATTACGCCACCAGAATTGGTTATAATGCTATTGCTATGGCCACTGGCCACTGAATGCCACTAACAGAGTTAATTCCATACACTCACACCTTCCTAGTGTCATCTGCAGAAGATTCAATGGCCTCGTGGACTTGAACTGACTACAGTCTAGCTACACGGGTTGAGGGGAAGGAATATATGTATTTGGCATTTTTAGCTAGTGCACTGGCTAAAAATAGGAAGGGCCTATCTTCCATTAAGAATCTGACTGTTTTAGGAGGCCCCCAGACAGAATTAGGATCCAAATGCTTGAGCAGCCAAAAAAGAAAAAGAAAACTAAAAATGCCCCCTTTTCTGGTTAAAATTAAACTAAATCAAGTGAGTTGAGAGCAGATAGGCAGTCTGTATTATTCTAGTCAAATCTGCACTTTTTCATCCATAGAAAGTTTTGAACTATGAATTATTAATAATAAGCCTTTTGTTAATATAGGTACATCCCAGATACCAAAGATATATTCGGAAGTAAGGTGCCATTACTGGGGGAAAATCCCAGATATTTTGCCATTTAAAAACAATCTCGGGCTGGGTGTGGTGATTCATGCCTGTAATCCCAGCACTTTGGGAGGCCAAGGCAGGTTCATTGCTTGAGTTCAGGAGTTTGAGACCAGCCTGGGCAACATGTGAAACCCTGTCTCTACCCAAAACAGGAAAATTAGCCAGGCGTGGTGGCACATGCCTGTGATCCCAGCTACTCAGGAGGCTGAGGTAGGAGGGTCACTGAAGCCTGGGAAGTCAAGACTGCAGTGATCTGTGGTCACATCACTGCACTCCAGCCTTGGTGACAGAGTAAGACCCTGTCTCAAAACAAAACAAAAACACCAAAATACTCTGAGCTAACCAAATTTCTTTAAAAGAAAAATATGCATTTTTTTACACATAAGTTTCTTAAAAGTCAAGCATAGAACAAACTTCAAATCCAAATGAGTTGATAGAAAATTAGTTTGTCAGGCTGACTTATGGATCACATTCTATCCAAATGGTTTCTCTTGTAAACTACTTTATAATTTTATGTAATATTAAATTTAGTTTACTTCCCCCCCTTTCCAACACATAAGTCATAATCTCTCTCCCCATACTGCATTATTTACATCAATGTAAAAATACTCTCTAGTATCTCATCACCTTAAAAAATAAGCTCTTCTCTGGGTCCTTTATCCCTCTAGTTATCCCTTGATTTCTCTGCTTCCTTATCAAGAACAATGATCAAAAGCATTTTGAACATGAGATTTCTCAAGTTCCTCACTTCCCTGATCTCCTCAACCCACCCTAAGTCGCTTTCCAACTCATCTGCCACGTTACCTTGTCAAGGTTACCAGTAGTCCCATGTGGATAGATTTCAAGGTTACTTTTTCATCTTTATTTATATGATTTTTCTATCAGCATTCAATAACATATGAATGTTGACATCTCGATCTCACTCCTTCCCACTCCCTCCCCCCAAAAAAACTTCTCTCCCACAGCTATGTGATGCTATAATAAGCTTGAGCTTTCCTCTTATCTCATGGAGCTAGTCTTCCAAATCTCTCTCTCTCTCTTTTTTTTTTTTTTTTTTTTTTTTTTGCCTCAAACTGTTGGTTTGCAGCATTCTCAATGTTCTTTTTCTGAGATTTCAATTTGGCCTAAAGCTTTGAATACCATCTATTTTCTGATGACTTCTAAATTTATATTTGCAGACCTGACCTCTGCTCTGAAGTCTAGATTCATCTATTAAACTGCCTATCTAATATCTTCTCTTCATTCTGTACCCCAAACCTCTAAAGTCTAGACTCATATCTCAAACTGTCTAGCTATTTTCTCTTCATCCCGTACCCTCATTTTCCATTATCTCAGTTAAAGTTCTGAAAAACACTGATGGCTCAAGCCAAAAGCCTAGGTATCATCCTTGATCTTTGTTTACCTGTCCCTATCACATCCAATTCATCAACTAAGTCTATTAGATCCACCCTCAAATTATAAAGGATCATATTTTCCAAATATTATGACTTTTATTTATTTCTGTCCAGTTTATTTTTCTTGTCTTAATGCACTGATAAGGACCTCTATGAGTATGTTGAAGGTAACACTGAGAGTGAACATTCTTTTGTTTGTGAATTTAATGTGAATGCATCTGACTTTTTACAGCTGAGTATAATGCTTGCCGAAGGTTTCTGGTAGATATACTACTTCTTATAGGAAGTTTATTTCTATTTTACTATGCTGCTAATGTTTAACCATCATCGGGACTTGGATTTTTTCAATTTATTTTTTGGCATGAGCATAAATTTTTTTTTCTTGTAATCTGTGAATTCAGAGAACGAATAGATGTATTAGGAATACATTATCCTTGCATTCCTGAGACTTATCTGTTTCCCCCATCTGCTCCCTCTGGACTTGCAAGACCTCTTGTGGTCATTCTTGTTCTTTGCAGCACTTTGTTCTGGGCGAGTTCTTGGTTTTCTTTTACCATGTGATACCATCTCTCTAGATCTTTTACGGGGAGCCTGCCTTCTGTTTTTTTAAAGCTGTGTTAGAGTTTTAGAAAAGATCTGTCTTTCTAGTAATGGACGGCGAAGTTGAAGAGGCTGGAGCCTGTGCTTTGGGTGCCATCTTGAGGAGAGTCAGGAAAAGACTCGAGTTATATAAAGACACTTGGGGATCTTCCAATTTAGAGGAATGCCCTTGATCCAGAGTGTAGTGACAAAGCAGGACAAGGTGAGGTGATAATTCAGAGAAAAGTGTCTCCAAAATTAATGTTGGCTGAGTTCAAGTGAGGAGAGAGAAGAAACAGGCATGGTAAGAGATGAAGACAAGGACCGTACAATGTCAAGGGCCAAGAAATTTAATTAAAAGCTAATTATTTCCTCTGAAAGTTTTCATCATCGTCCCCCACAAAAATATTGCTAAAAATATTCCCATAAGTTCTGATTCTTGCATGTATAAATGGGGAAAAGGGGACCATTGCAAAGTTTCCTCTTATTCAATCTGATGACCAATATCACCCAAAGTTTTATAGCTGGTTACAAGACAGAAAAAAATTGGGGAGATATTAAAGTCATATTGCAACTTCTTTCTAGAATAATAAAAGGATTTCTTTGATTTCAGTAAATATCATAGGCCTCTGTAGGAGTTTGGTCTGGTTTTCCTTTCTGCTCTAACAAGACAGCACTGAGTTCAATGCCTCACAATTGCTGTATTCTTCCTTCCCCAGCACCTAGAGACGCTCTCTGCACCACGCCATGATTGCTGAAGGGTGCAGGAGGGGTGGCATACTTGATTTAGGACTGTTTTTTTTCTATCTCTTCAGTGCTTGTTTCAGCCATATGAAGTTAAAACCAGGTACTATGAGGGCTCACCGGATTTTTGGTTCGTATGAAGGTATTTTTTCTGTGTAGATAGTTGTTAACCTGGTGTCCTTGTGGTGGCAGGGCAGACTATCAGTGGAGCCTTCTATTCCGCTATCTTGCTTTGCCTCCTCCCCTCTGGAAAACTAATTTTTAAAAAATCAATTCTCGGCCGTGCACAGTGGCTCATGCCTGTAATCCCAACACTTTGGGAGGCCGAGGTGGGTGGATCACAAGGTCAGGAGTTGAAGACCAGCCTGGCCAATATGGTGAAACCTTGTCTATACTAAAAATACAAAAATTAGCTGGGCATGGTGGTGGGTACCTGTAGTCCCAGCTACTCGGGAGGCTGAGGCAGGAGAATCACTTGAACCCAGGAGGTGGAGGTTGCAGTGAGCCAAGATCGTGCCACTGCACTCCAGCCTGGGCGACAGAGCGAGACTCCACCTCAAAAAAAAAAAAAAAAAAATTCAAGTCTCCACTAATTGATGTATATTCTTAAAAAATTACTTAGAATCAAAATCTCAACAGGGTTTTTCATTATTGTAGTTGTTTACTCACTTGTTTTAGTGGAATGCAACAAGCTGGTTTAAAAATTTAAATGGAAGCACAAACAACCAAGAATAATTGTGTGTTCTTGACAAAAACTAAGGTAGAATAATTAGCAAGATTTATTATGAAGATATTACAATAGTATAGCATTGGCATAGAGATGAAGAAAAAAAATAGAAAAGAATAGAGAGCCTGCAAAGAGATCCACACAGATCCAGACTTTTGGCCCCGTAGATGAGGCAGAAAGAGTGAACCTTTCAATGAACAGTGCTATAATTAGGAATCCATATTTTAAAAAAACTACAGTTGTATTCCTAGTTCACTATGCCCAAAACTCATTTAAACTTAAAAATTTATACAACTCTTTGAAGATAATATAGAAAAATCTCTTTGTGGAATTTGGGTAAACAATTTTTTTTACTCATGGTACAAATAGTATTAATCATAAAAAAGATTAATAACTTTGACTACTTTAAAATTAAGAAGTTGTGTTTATTAAAATACACCACAAGAAGAGTGAAAATTGGCCCAGAGTGGGAAAAGCTGTTGGCCACACATGTAACTGACCAAGTTCATATATCTAAAACATTGTGACATACAGAAAATCCGATAGAAAAATACACAAGAAAATGGAATGAGCACTTCAAAATAAAAGCAAAAATCAAATGTTTAGTTAATATATGCAAAGCTGCTTAACATCATTAGTAATGAGGAAAATGCAAATGAAAACCACAATAATATATTACTATGCACTCATCACTTTGGAAAAAAATGTATCTCATAATATCAAGTGTTCCTAAGGATCTAGAGCAATGGAAACTCATATACTCTAAGTGATATGATTTTGACTTGTCTTTATCTACAGCTTGGTTTTATCTAAGAAGGTTGAAGCTATGCATATTCTACGATACAGCAATTCCTTTCCTAGGGTATGCCAGAGAAACTCTCGCCCAGATATACATGTAAAGGATGTTTGTAGTATCAGATAGGCCCCAAATAAAAACAATCAAAAACCAATCAGCAGCAAAATAGATTAACTGATTGTATTATAGTTATATAATTGAGTATTAGGCAGAAAGAAAAATGAAGTAGAGCTACACAAATCAACACAGACGATGTCACAGTATTGCACTAAAGAAGCAAGCCATAAAAGATTACATAAAATATAACTTTCTTGTATTCTTATACAGTTTAAAACAAGTTAAAACTAAACTATGTAGTTTAAGTTTGTGCACATAGGTAGTAAAACTAAAGGAGCAAAAGGAATGATCACAGAAGTCAGATTAGTGTTCCATCTGGTGGTAGGAGAGGGACAATGAACTTGGAGGAACATATGGAGGACTTCAATTATTGGCAACATTCTATTTCTTAATCTGTTGCTGATCTGATTGTTCCCTTTATAATTATTATTTAAATTGTACATATGCTTTTAGATACATTTTTTGTGAGCAGGTAATAGAAACTAAACTGAAACAAGTAGAAGCAAAAAAAAAAAAAAAAAAAAAAAAAGCAGTTTATTGATTAAGGAAACAAAAATGTCTAGATGTTGACCTGGAGCTTTAATCAGTACTATATCTAGATTCTTTAACAATATCCCTAGGGGTATCGCTCTTTGCCTTTGATTTGTCATTTATGTGTGTGTGTATGGTAGGGGTGGGGGTGGGTGGTGATGGTGCTTATTGTCCATCAAGCTCTCTTTGTGTGAAGATAATATTACAAGGCAATTCCAGGCTTAAATGGTTTGTAGAAATCATTATCTCAGAAAGAAAGAAATTATTTCTCCATTAATGCCTTTATCACTCATCTGGACACTGACTGGCTATACTTAGGTCGTTTGAACATTCATAGTCAAGTCTTGAGGTCCAGGGCATGGAATGCTAAGACTGGCCATCTGTAGTCACACCTACTCTGATGATGAGAATGGTGGGGTCCCTTGGTTGTCAGCCCCATTTCAATCAGAGAGAAAGTAAAGGCAGCTCTCAGAATAAAGATTCATAGAACAGATGAAAAAGCAAAAAAGGCCACTAAAGGAAAGTGAATTTATATATATATTTTTTCACTTTAAGCATATCTTGGGCTCTTGCAATTAGGAAAAGAATAGCTATGATGCTGTGTTCTCTCAGTTAAGGACACTGGTTCTGGAATTCAATGATCTGTTTCACATTCTTGCTCTACCACTTATTCGTTTTTCATTTTGAAATTTAGTTTTCTTCACGTGTCGCTGAAGATTAATTATGAGTATGTGGCTTAGTAATGCGCATTCATCATGGACTTGCAGTGACACTGATCCTTCAGCACAGAATATCCTGGCACACGTTCCTGACCAAAAAGCAGCCATTTGTGGGGCACAAGCCAATATTTATTGCATATTCTTGCCTTGGTCTATCTTTCTGATACTAACACCAAATTTTCTAGGATAGAAGACTTCTTACTCTCAGGAAGTAGTTTGTTTCTCAAAGAGAAAACATGGGGTGTTCAGTTGGCTGTGTGGCTGCTCCCATCTGTAGAGGTGAGGTGGATGTACGTAGTCTTCTATGCTGACAGAATAATTCAAAAGAATGCTTTGAAGGTAAATATATAAATCAGTACACTCCCCCAACTCAATACCTTCATGAAATGTATCTTCATGAAGTCTGCCTATTACATTAAAGCTTTTTTTTTCTTTGACAGAGTTTCACTCTTGTTGCCCAGGCTGGAGTGCAATGGTGCGATCCTGGCTCACTGCAGCCTCTGCCTCCTGGGTTGAAGCGATTCTCCTGTCTCAGCCTCCTGAGTAGCTGGGATTACAGGTACCTGCCACCACATCTGGCTAATTTTGAATTTTTAGTAGAGACGGGGTTTCTCCAATTTGGTAAGGCTGATCTCGAACTCCAGACCTCAGGTAATCTGTCTGCCTTGCCCTCCCAAAGTGCTGGGATTACAGGTGTGAGTCACCATGCCCGGCCTACATTAAAGTTTTAATTTCCAGGAAGACACTCCGACTTGAAGCAGAGTGATATAGTTTGGATACGTCCCCACCAAATCTAATGTTAAATTATAATCCCCAATGTTGGAAGTAGGGCCTAATGGTAGGTGTTTGGGTCATGGAGGTGGATTGCTCATGGCTTGGTGCTATCCTCACCATAGTAAGTGAGTTCTCAGAGATCTGGTCATTTATAAATGTGTGTAGCACTTCCCCCTGACTCTCTCTTTCTTGCTTTTGCTCTGCCTTGTGAGATGTCTGTCTGCTCCCACTTTGACTTCTGCCATGAGTAAAACCTTCCTGAGGCCTCATCAGAGGCTGAGGAGATGCTCCCTGTACAGTTTGCAGAACCATAAGCCAATTCAACTTCTTTTCATTGTAAATTACCAGTATCAGGTATTTCCTTCTTCCTTTCTTTTCTTTGTTTTTGTGGGCGGAGTGGGGAGGTGGGACAAGGTGCTGATTTTAAAAGATAAACAGGAGTTTTCCTGTTATAGAAAGAAGGCAAAACCATTTCAGGAAACCCTGTTATAGAAAGAAGGCAAAACCATTTCAGGAAACCCTGTTATAGAAAGAGGGCAAAACCATTTCAGGAAGAAAGAGTAGTATTTGTAAATGCACAGAAATATGAACTGTGGTGAAATGTTCTGAAAACGATCATCAGTTTGGAATTGCGGGAGAAGGGGTGCAAAGATGGGAACCTGGAACTTGAGGCAGGAGGTGAAGGCAGACCCAGATGATGAGAAGGTTGGCAACAGGAATTTACTGAAGGATTCTACCTGAAGGCAACAGGAATTTACTGAAAGGTTTTAAGCTGAAATTTATGGTTAATTTGGCAGTATTCTGGGAGACAGCTCAGTTGGGATTGTGGCTAGAGGTAGGGAAACTAGTGAGGAGGCTTCTGGAACAGTCCAGGTGAGAGGTGCTGAGGACTTGAACTTTGACCGTGGGGATAAGAATGGAGGCTGAGGAGTTAGGGAGGTGTTTGCCTGGTGTGGACTCAAGTCTCAGACTGCAGAGCAATGGACGTCCACACAGAAGGCAGTGAAGAGAGTCTATTTCCAGGGGCTTTGAAATGAGCTTGAATGTCAGACTTCTGGCTGACACTATGACTGTCTCATGCAGACCTTCAGACAGATTACTTACTAATAAGGAAAATGGTATAGTCTGAAAGTAATCTCAGGCTCTTTGGAATTATGAAGACAGGGCAAAAGTCAAGAGATGGTATGTTTTTGTGCCAAAGACATGGAGGTCTAATGCTGAACCTGAGTTTCAGGTCTGCCCTTTCTAATCAATTATAAGGTGAACTTCAAACTGTTTATGTCTTTTAACCTCAAGGTTCTGCATCTGCCAAATGGGGGACCGGATAATACTTCCTCCAATCTATTTCACAGCTAGCAAGAAAATACTTGTAAGCCATACTTCACATTCCTGACCAAGTCTCTTCCCTCATGAAATAAAATCATTAAGAAATTTTTAGTAATATTTTAATTATCATATTTTAATTAAAAATTTAAGTATAGAAAGAAGACTGTATAGCTCTACATTAAAAACACATTAGTACATGACTTGGCTACTTGACACCAAAGTAGCTGGTGTCACATTCACCCTCCCACGATAAAAAACTATACAATCTGGACAAAATATAGAAAAAAAATTCTTGGCAGTTGTATTAGTCTGTTCTCATGCTGCTAATAAAGACATACCCAAGACTAGGGAATTTATAAAAGAAAGAGGTTTAGTGGACTCACAGTTCCACATGGCTGGGGAGAACTCACAATCATGATAGAAGGCAAAGGAAAAGCAAAGGCACATCTTACATGGCAGACAAGAGAGAGGGCATGTGCTGGGGAGCTCCCCTTTGTAAAACCATCAGATCTCGTGAGACTTATTCACTATCACAAGAACAGCATGGGAAAGACCCACCCCCCATGACTCAATTACCTCTCACCAGGTCCTCAGCATGGTTCAGGTGGGCAAGGCTACACGTGGGAATTATGGGAGCTACAATTCAAGATGGGATCTGAGTAAGGACACAGCCAAACCATATCAGCAGGCATTGAAGAACATTGTTGTACCAAGTCAGGTATGAGATCTTTAAGGAAGGTGAGACACATGAGGTTAGTACCACATTTGCCAGGGTTTTCCAGAAAGGCATCTTCCTGACCTTGGTACAGGAAAATGTGACCCAACCAGAGGTTAGTGGTCTTGGTAACCAAAAGAAGCAAAAAATAGAGTTCAAAGCTAATAAGCTGGTTGGGAATTGGGGGTTAATGTACCATATGGGAGAGAGAAAGAACCCTGGAAATGGGTGTGTAAATGCCATTTTGGTCCTTCCGTGACTCTTTAGCTGTGTGACAGTTGGCTAAGAAGAGGAGAGACCTAGTAGAAAGCAACTGCTGGGAAAGCAGAAGAGATCATCAGGGACTGAAAATTTCCTGGAAACCTACTGGGTTTCAGATCCAGCCAGATGGGGAAATGTTGGTAAACAACTGAGAAACCCAGTTGGGACCCTAAAGATTCTGTCTAAGGAGAGGTACAGTATCCTAGGAGTAAGGCATATGTCCTAAGAGGAAAATAAAATATCATTACCATAGCACAGCTTAAAACTAGGTCTTGAGAGCAGCAAGGTGATCTGCAGGTAATATAACATCTGTCCAGAAAAAAATTCAAAATTTTTGGGCATTTCTATATCATATTATCCAGAAACTCAGCATACTTTTAAAAAGTTACCACATACACAAAAAAGCAAGAAATACAGACTCATAAAAAATAAATCAATTATTAAAAACAAATTCACAGATAATCCAGATATTGGAGTTAATAGATAGGGCATCATAATATCTATGATCAATATAAAGGAAAGAAAGAAAAAATGAAAGACAAAGCAGGTCGTGTCCTATTTCCTTCTGGCAGCTCTAAAATGCTCACTTTATTTATTGGCATAGATTTCGATTTCCTAAATTATGTTTGATGTTTCAAGCAAAAATCATAGCATTGTCTGGTGTTAATCTAAATGGATGTAAGACAATGATACTATAAATTTGAGAGGGTAAAGAGACATAAAATGACATAGGGTTGCTATACTACACTCAAACTGGAATACAGATGACACCAATTGACTGTGATAATGTATGTATAAAGGAATATCTAGAACAACCACTAAGCTATAAAAAGCAACCAGAAAACTATAAAAAAGAAGATACATCATAAACACTATGAATAACAAAATGGAATTCTAAAATAAATGTTCAAATAACCCACAGAAAGTCATGAAAAACAAGCAGAGACACAAGAGTTGATAGAGAAAACAAAAACTGTCAGGCTTATGCACTAAAGTATCAATAATTCATTTAATTATGAATGGTCTACCAAGAGACAGATAATAGAAGAGTGTATGTAAAAGTATGACCCTTTCTTATATGTTTCTTGCATGCTGTGTACAAGAAACTCACTTGAAATTTACCAATACAGGGCAGACCAAATTAACAGGATGAAAAAAGATATATTACACAAACATTAATGAAAGGAAAGCAAGAGTGCCTGTATGTATATCAGATAAAGCAAAGAAAATTACCAGAAACAGAGAGATTATATAATGATCAAAGGTTTAATTCATGAAGAAGACAGCAATTTTAAAAGTGTATTCACCAAAAAATAAAGCTTCAAAATATGTGATGTGAAAACTGCCAGAACTAAGGCGGGCCGGGCTCAGACCAGCGCTGCCTCAGGATGTGAAGTGTAACAAGAGGGCCAGGGGAGGTGGTGGGGGACAACATGGGCCTGTGAGGCCTGTGGGTGCCCGCGTTCCCCAGCTCCCCCCGCAGCCCGCTCCACAGTGGTCCGCTCCGGTTGGTTGTCACGTGCGCATTCGGGTTCCAGACCCAAGGCTGCGTGTTCTCCACCGCTTGTTGTGGCCAGTGTTACTGCGGTGACCGCCAGAGCAGCCTCGACGCTATGGAGGAGCCCGGTGCTACCCCTCAGCCCTACCTGGGGCTGGTCCTGGAGGAGCTACGCAGAGTTGTGGCAGCACTACCTGAGAGTATGAGACCAGATGAGAATCCTTATGGTTTTCCATCGGAACTGGTGGTATGTGCAGCTGTTATTGGATTTTTTGTTGTTCTCCTTTTTTTGTGGAGAAGTTTTAGATCGGTTAGGAGTCGGCTTTACGTGGGAAGAGAGCAAAAACTTGGTGCAACGCTTTCTGGACTAATTGAAGAAAAATGTAAACTACTTGAAAAGTTTAGCCTTATTCAAAAAGAGTATGAAGGCTATGAAGTAGAGTCATCTTTAGAGGATGCCAGCTTTGAGAAGGCGGCAGCAGAAGAAGCACGAAGTTTGGAGGCAACCTGTGAAAAGCTGAACAGGTCCAATTCTGAACTTGAGGATGAAATCCTCTGTCTAGAAAAAGACTTAAAAGAAGAGAAATCTAAACATTCTCAACAAGATGAATTGATGGCGGATATTTCAAAAAGTATACAGTCTCTAGAAGATGAGTCAAAATCCCTCAAATCACAAATAGCTGAAGCCAAAATCATCTGCAAGACATTTAAAATGAGTGAAGAACGACGGGCTATAGCAATAAAAGATGCTTTGAATGAAAATTCTCAACTTCAGACAAGCCATAAACAGCTTTTTCAGCAAGAAGCTGAAGTATGGAAAGGACAAGTGAGTGAACTTAATAAACAGAAAATAACATTTGAAGACTCCAAAGTACACGCAGAACAAGTTCTGAATGATAAAGAAAATCACATCAAGACCCTGACTGGACACTTGCCAATGATGAAAGATCAGGCTGCTGTGCTTGAAGAAGACACAACGGATGATGATAACCTGGAATTAGAAGTGAACAGTCAATGGGAAAATGGTGCTAACTTAGATGATCCTCTGAAAGGAGCTTTGAAGAAACTGATTCATGCTGCTAAGTTAAATGTTTCTTTAAAAAGCTTAGAAGGAGAAAGAAACCACATTATTATTCAGTTATCTGAAGTGGACAAAACAAAGGAAGAGCTTACAGAGCATATTAAAAATCTTCAGACTCAACAAGCATCTTTGCAATCAGAAAACATATATTTTGAAAGTGAGAATCAGAAGCTTCAACAGAAACTTAAAATAATGACTGAATTCTATCAAGAAAATGAAATGAAACTCTACAGGAAATTAACAGTGGAGGAAAATTACCGAATAGAGGAAGAAGAGAAGCTTTCTAGAGTGGAAGAAAAGCTCAGCCGTGCCACTGAACAGCTGGAGACCTATAGAAAGCTAGCCAAAGATCTTGAAGAAGAATTGGAGAGAACTGTTCATTTTTATCAAAAGCAGGTTATTTCCTACGAGAAAAGAGGACATGATAATTGGTTGGCAGCTCGGACTGCTGAAAGAAACCTCAGTGATTTAAGGAAAGAAAATGCTCACAACAAACAAAAATTAACTGAAACAGAGTTGAAATTTGAACTTTTAGAAAAAGATCCTAATGCACTTGATGTTTCAAATACAGCATTTGGCAGAGAGCATGCCCCGAATGGTCCCGCACCATTGGGTCAGCGTTCATCTGAAACGAGAGCTTTTCTCTCTCCTCAAACTTTGTTGGAGGATCCACTGGGACTCTCACCTGTGCTTCCGGAGGGAGGAGGAAGAGGCCCAAGAGGCCCAGGGAATCCCCTGGACCATCAGATTACCAATGAAAGAGGAGAACCAAGCTGTGACAGGTTAACCGATCCTCACAGGGCTCCTTCTGACACTGGGTCCCTGTCATCTCCGGTGGAACAGGACTGTAAGATGATGTTTCCTCCACCAGGACAATCATATCCTGATTCAGCTCTTCCTCCTCAAAGGGAAGACAGATTTTATTCTAATTCTGAAAGACTGTCTGGATCAGCAGAACCCAGAAGTTTTAAAATGACTTCTTTGGATAAAATGGATGGGTCAATGCCTTCAGAAATGGAATCCAGTAGAAATGATGCCAAAGATGATCTTGGTAATTTAAATGTGCCTGATTCATCTCTCCCTGCTGAAAATGAAGCAACTGGCCCTGGCTTTATTCCTCCACCTCTTGCTCCAGTCAGAGGACCATTGTTTCCAGTGGATACAAGGGGCCCGTTCATGAGAAGAGGACCTCCTTTCCCCCCACCTCCTCCAGGAACCATGTTTGGAGCTTCTCGAGGTTATTTTCCACCAAGGGATTTCCCAGGTCCACCACATGCTCCATTTGCAATGAGAAACATCTACCCACCGAGGGGTTTACCTCCTTACTTTCACCCGAGACCTGGATTTTACCCCAACCCCGCATTCTGAAGGTAGAAGCGAGTTCCCTTCAGGATTGATTCCGCCTTTAATGCTACTGAACATCCAGGACCACAAAAGAAACCTGACAATATTGTTGCTTTCTTCAAAAGTAATTTTGACTGATCTCATTTTCAGTTTAAGTAACTGCTATTACTTAAGTGATTGCACTTTTGCTCAAATTGAAGTTTAATGGAATTATAATTCTCAGGATAGTATTTTGTAAATAAAGATGTTTTAAATAGGAATCTTATGAGTAAATCATTCCATTTTATTATTCTAGATCATATAACTATTTTAATTTGGTGAATTAATCCACTGTTATAGAAACAATAATGGGAGTTTTATATATGTAATCTTGCAGGTGGGGAGGCTTTAAATTCTAAAGGTTGTGGTGTCTTCATGCCAAGAACTGTATTCACTGTGGTTGTAGATAAATGTGAAAGTAACTTTATGCTTAATTTAATAAACTTTAGTTGATTTTTTTTTTAAAAAGAAAACTGCCAGAACTGAAAGTAGGTATAGATGAATCCACAATTATAGTTGGAAATTTTCTCTTGCGTTTTTCAATAATGGATAGAACTAGACAGAAAATCAGCAAGGAGTGTTGGCTTTGGCAGCACTTTCTAAAATTAGAATGACACAGACAAGATTAACACGTCTCCTGCATATAGATTACACAAAATTTTGTGAAGCGTTTCATATTTTAAAAGGGGGGGAAAAAAAAGAAAATCAACAAGAATATAAAACAACTCAAAATGCCATTAACCAAAAGAATCTATTTGGCATTTACAGAATATTCCACACAACAACAGCAGAATACACATTTTTTTTGAGTGCTGACGAAACACATGGCAAGATAGAGCTATCCTAGGCCCTAAAACTCACCAGAACAAATTTAAAAGAGATGGTAATCATCCAGAGCAGGTGAAAACCAGAAACCATTGTAGGGAATCCAATTGGAAATCAGCATAAGAAAGATATGAAAATTCCCAAACACTTGGAAATTAAAAAAACACACTTCTAACTAATCTATCGGTCAAAGAAGAAGTCTCAAGGAAAAATTTTAAAAATACATTGAACTGGATAAACATGAAACTGTGACATATCAATGTACTGAGAAGGAAACTTATAGCAGTAAATGCATGCATTAGTAAAGAGGAAAAGTCTCGAGTGAGCAATAGATTTCCACCTCAGGAACCTAGAAAAAGAAGAGCAGAATAAACTCAAAGCAAGTAGAGGGTGGAGATTAATGAAGATAAGAAAAGAAAACACTTATATTTAAAAGAGAAAAAATAGTTAAACCAATAAAACAAAGGGATAGTTCTGTTAAAAGATTAATAAAATTTAGCAAACTCAAACAGAAATTAAAAGGAAAAGAAAAGGCATAAATTTTAAATACCATAATGAAACAGGTGATATCACTACAGACACCACATATAACAAAGGACAATCAAGGAATATTACAAACCACTCCACACACATAAATTAGACAACTTAGACAAAATGGACAAAATGCAGTGTTCCTCCTGCAACACAAGCAAACTCAACTCACCACGCATGAATAGATCATTTGAATAACTCTATAACCATTAAGAAAATTGAATTCATAATTTTAAAACTACCAGAAAAGGAATCTCTAGGTTTAGATGGTTTCACTGGAGAATTCTACCATGTTTAAAAAAAAAAACACCAATTCTACACAATCTTTTCCAGAAAACAGAAAAGGAGAGAACACTCCCCAATTTATTTTTTGAAGCTATTATTACACTGATACCAAAACCAGGAGAGAGAGTGGGTGTGTGTGTGTATATGTAAAGATATGTATAACTTAATATTAACAAATAGAGTTCTACAGTATATTAAAAAAATGTACCCCATGTCCAAGGGGGGTTGTTTCCAGAAATACAAGCCTGATTAAGTCTCAAAAAGTCAATCAAAATAATCCACCATGTTAACAAACAAAAGAAAAGTTACGTTGCATCAGTTGATGCATAATAAACATTTAACAAATTTAACACATTTCAATATCCATTCATGATAAAATCTCTCTATAAAGCAGGAATAGAGGAAACTTTATCCACTTGATAAAAAGCATCTACAAAAAGCTAACATTATACAGTCATGTGTTGTTTAACGATGCGTTAAATGATATGTTCTGAGAAATGTGCTGTCAAGTGAATTTGTCATTGTGCAAATGTCGTAGAGTGTACTTACAGAAACCTAGGTGGTATATATAGTAGCCACTATACACCTTGGCTATATGGAAGAGCTCATAGCTCCTACGGGACAAACCTGTGCAGCACATTAGTGTAGTGAATACTATAGGCAATTGTAACACAGTAAGTGTTATGTTTATGGTAACAATTTGTAATAGTCACCAACTGTGGTATTTATGTAACTAAGTATATCTAAATACATGAAATGTACAGTAGAAAATATAAAAGATTTTTAAGATGGTACACCTGTATAGGGAACTTACAATAAATGGAGCTTGCAGGACTGGAGTTGCCTGGGCGAGTTAGTGAGTGAGTGGTGAGTGAATATGAAGGCCTAGGACATTACTGGCTGTGGGTTTGTCACAGATAGCTCTTATTATTTTAAGATGTGTTCCATCAATACCTAGTTTATTGAGAGTTTTTAGCATGAAAGGCTGTTGAATTTTGTCAAAGGCCTTTTTTGCATCTATTGAGATAACTGTGTGGGTTTTGTCATTGGCTGTGCTTATGTTACGGATTACGTTTATTGATTTGCATATGTTGAACCTGCCTTGCATCCCAGGGATAAAGCCAACTTGATGGTGGTGGATAAGCTTTTTGATGTGCTGCTGGATTCTGTTTGCCAGTATTTTATTGAGGATTTTTGCATTGATGTTCATCAGGGATATTGGCCTGAAATTTTCTTTTTTTGTTGTGTCTCTGCCAGGTTTTGGTATCAGGATGATGCTGGCCTCATAAAATGAGTTAGGGAGGAGTCCTCTTTTTCTATTGATTGGAATAGTTTCTGAAGGAATGGTATCAGCTCCTCTTTGTACCTCTGGTAGAATTCAGCTGTGAATCCATCTGGTCCTGGGTTTTTTTTGGTTGCTAGGCTATTAATTACTGCCTCAATTTCAGAACTTGTTATTGGTCTATCCAGGGAATCGAGTTCTTCCTGGTTTAGTCTTGGCAGGGTGTATGTGTCCGATAATGTATCCATTTCTTCTAGATTTTCTAGTTTATTTGCGTAGAGGTGTTTATACTATTCTCTGATGGTAGTTTGCATTTGTGTGGCATCAGTAGTGATATCCCCTTTATCATTTTTATTGTGTCTATTTGATTCTTCTCTCTTTTCTTCTTTATTAGTCCAGCTAGCAGTCTATTTTGTTCATCTTTTCAAAAAACAAACAAGCAAAAAAACAGCTCCTGGATTCATTTTTTTAAAAGGGTTTTTCGTATCTCTATCTCCTTCAGTTCTGCTCTGATCTTAGTTATTTCTTGTCTTCTGCTAGCTTTTGAATTTGTTTGCTCCTGCTTCTCTAGTTCTTTGAATTGTGATGTTAGGGTGTCAGTTTTAGATCTTTCCCACTTTCTCCTGTGGGCTTTTATTGCTATAAATTTCCCTCGAAACACTGCTTTAGCTGTGTCCCAGAGATTCTGGTACGTTGTGTCTTTGTTCTCATTGGTTTCAAAGAACTTATTTATTTCTGTTTTAATTTTATTATTTACTCAGTAGTCATTCAGGAGGATGTTGTTCAGTTTCCATACAGTTGTGCAGTTTTGAGTCAGTTTCTTAATCCTGAGTTCTAATTTGATTGCACTGTGGTCTGAGAGACTGTTTGTTATGATTTCCCTTCTTTTGTATTTGCTGAGGAGTGTTTTACTTCCAATTATATGGTCAATTTTAGAATAAGTGTGATGTGGTGCTGAGAAGAATGTATATTCTGCTGATTTGGCATGCAGAGTTCTGTAGATGTCTATTAGGTCCACTTGGTCCAGAGCTGAGTTCAAGTCCAGAATATCATTGTTAATTTTCTGTCTTGTTGATCTGTTTAGCATCAACAGTAGGGTGTTAAAGTCTCCCACTATTATTGTGTGGGAGTCTAAGTCTCTTTGTAGGTCTCTAAGAACTTGCTTTATGAATCTGGGTGCTCCTGTATTGGATGCATGTATATCTAGCATAGATAGCTCTTCTTGTTGCATTGATCCTTCTACCATTTTGTAATGCCTTATTTGTCTTTTTTGATCTTTGTTGGTTTACAGTCTGTTCTATCAGAGACTAGAATTGCAACCCCTGATTTTTTTTTTTTTTTTTTTTTTGCTTTCTATTTTCTTGGTAAATCTTCTCCCATCCCTTCATTTTGAGCCTGTGTGTGTCTTTGCACATGAGATGGGTCTCCTGAATACAGCACACCGATGGGTCTGGACTCTTTATCCAATTTGCCAGTCTGTCTTTTAATTGGGACATTTAGCTTGTTTACATTTAAGGTTAATATTGTTATGTGTGAATTTGATCGTGTCATTATGATGTTAGTTGGTTACTTTGCCTATTAGTTGATGCAGTTTCTTCATAGTGTTGATGGTCTTTACAATTTGGTACATTTTTGCAGTGGCTGGTACCAGTTGTTCCTTTCCACATTTAGTGCTTCCTTCAGGAGCTTTTGTAACACCGGCCTGGTGGTGACAAAATCACTGAGCATTTGCTTGTCTGTGAAGGATTTTACTTCTCTTTCACTTATGAAGTTTAGTTTGGCTGGATATGAAATTTTGGGTTGAAAATTCTTTTCTTTAAGAATGTGAGGGCAGGGATGCAGCTGAAAAGCTGGCGGCCCAGACAGAAGTCTGCCCCAAGCAGCCTGAGCCCTCAGGCACCCCCCAGCTCCCTGGGAGCTCCCCTCCACCTGCCAACGTCAGTGCCACACTGGTGTCTGAAAGGAAAAACAGGAACAGGACAGACTAACCTTTTAAATGACGTGAAAAAATCAGAGGTGAAAATTGTACATTTGGAATGTATTTATGTAAATTTTGTTGAAATTTAGTGTAAACAAAGATTTTCTCAGTGGTCTAGAAAATAAAAAAGAAAAAAAAAAGAAAAGAATGTGGAATATTGGTCCCCACTCTCTTCTTGCTTGTAGGGTCCTGCCAAGTCTGCTATTACTCTGATGGGTTTCCCTTTGTGAATAACCTGACCTTTCTCTCTGGCTGTCCTGAACAGTTTTTCCTTCATTTCAGCCTTGGTGAATCTGATGATTATTTGTCTTGGGGTTTTTCTTCTCAAGGAGTATCTTTGTGGTGTTCTCTGTATTTCCTGAATTTGAATGTTGGTCTGTCTTGCTAGGTTGGGGAAGTTCTCCTGGATAATATCCTGAAGTGTGTTTTCCAACTTGGTTCCATTCTCCTGGTCACTTTCAGGTATACCAATCAAACGTAGGTTTGGTCTTTTCATGTAGTCCCATATTTCTTGGAGGCTTTGTTCATTCCTTTTCATTCTTTTTTCTCTAATCTTGTCTTCATGCTTTATTTCATTAAGTTGATCTTCAATCTCTGATATCCTTTCTTCCGTTTGATTGATTCAGCTATTGATACTTGTGTATGCTTCACAAAGTCATCGTGTTGTGTTTTTCAGCTCCATCAGGTCATTTATGTTCTTCTCTAAACTGGTTATTCTAGTTGGCAATTCCTGTAATGTGTTTTCAAGGTTCTTAGCTTCCTTGCATTGGGTTATAACATGCACCTTTAGCTCAGAGAGGTTTGTTTTACCTACCTTCTGAAGCCTACTTCTGCCAATTCATCACTCATTCTCCATGCAGTTTTGTTCCCTTGCTGGCGAGGAGTTGTGATCCTTTGGAGGAGAAGAGGCTTTCCGGTTTTTGGCATTTTCGGCAATTTTGCACTGCTTTTTCCTCATTTTTGTGGATTTATCTACCTTTGGTCTTCGATGTTGGTGACCTACAACATCGAAGATGAAACCCCATGAAGATGGGGTTTCAGTGTGGATGTCCTTTTTGCTGAAATTGATGCTATTCCTTTCTGTTTGTTAGTTTTTCTTCTAACAGTCAGGCCCCTCTGCTGCAGGTCTGCTGGAGTTTGCTGGAGGTCCACTCCAGACCTTGTTTGTCTGGGTATCACCAGCGAGGGCTGAAGAACAACAAAGATTGCTGCCTGTTCCTTCCTCTAGAAGCTTCATCCTAGAGGGGCACCTATCAGATGTCAGCCTGAGCTCTCCTGTAGGAGGTGTCTGTCAACCCCTAATGGGAGGTGTCTCCTAGTCAGGATGCACTGGGTTCAGGGACCCACTTGAGGACACAGTCTGTCCCTTAGCAGAGCTTAAGCACTGTGCTGGGAGATCCACTACTCTATTCAGAGCTGGCAGGCAGGGACGTTTAAGTCTGCTGAAGCTGTGCCCACAGCCACCCTTTCCCCCAGCTGCTCTGTCCCAGGGAGGTGGGAGTTTTATTTATAATCCCCTGACTGGGCTGCTGCCTTTGTTTCAGAGATGCCCTGCCCGGGGAGGAGGAATCCAGGGAGGCAGTCTGGCTACAGTGGCTTTGCTGAGCTGCTAGCTGCAGTGGGCTCTACCCTGTTTGAACTTCCCAGCAGCTTTGTTTACCACCTATTCAAGCCTCAGTAATGGCAGATGCCCCTCCCCACACCAAGCTCCAGCGTCCCAAGTCAACTTCCAATTATGATGCTCATAATCAAATTATGATGGAAGCGTGAATCTGGCACCAGCTACTTTGGTGTCAAGTAGCCAAGTCACGTACTAATTTATTTTTAATGTAAAGCTATACAACCTTCTTTCTATACTTAAAATTTTAATTAAAATATTACTAAAAATTTCTTAATGATTTTATTTCATGGTGAAAGAGACTCAGTCTGGAATGTAAAGTATGTCTTACAAGTATTTCTCATTTTGCAGGACATTGTCTAGGTGTCCCTCTCCCATGGATGATCATTAGTGTGGTTTATCTTTATGCTTTGAGAAAATAAGTCTGTAGTATGTTATTATATTCTACTATATAAAGATACTCTTCAACTTATGATAAGATCATGTTTCAATAAACCCATCATAAGTTGATACTATTCTAAGTTGAAGATGCTGTTTTTTTTAAACAAAATGTAGACTCTTGCCATGTTGCCCAGGCTGGAGTGCAGTGGCTATTCTCACGTGTGCTCATAGTGCACTATAGTCTCAAACTCCTTGAGCTCAAACAATCCTCCTGCCTCAGCTTCCTGAGCAGCTGAGACTATAGGCACAAACCACTATACCTGGCTTGAAGATATGTTTAATAAACCTAACCTACCCAACTTCATAGCTTAGCCTAGCCCACCTTAACCGTGCTTAGAACACTAACATTAGCCTACAGTTGGGCAAAATAATCTTACACAAAGCCTATATTATAGTAAACTGTTGAATATTTCATGTAATTTATTGAGTACTGTACTGAAAATGAAAAATATAATGGTAGCATGAGTACTTGAAATATGGTTCCTACTCAATACGTATCACTTTCCCACCATCATACAGTTGAAAATCTTAAGTGAAACCATTGTAAGTTGGTGACTGTCTGTATTTGTTTATTTATTTTACTACTTTCCCTTTTTCTTGTAATAGTTGAAAGGCATGATAAGGTAAAATATTATTGCCTAAAAATACTCTGCCTCTCTGGAAAATAAAAAAGACAGAAGTTTCCAAGAAATCTTTCAAGAGATATAAAAATCGTATGAAAATGAGATAATTAAAGAATAAATCTGTAATTATGCATGTTGTAAAATACAAATGGGAGGCTGGAAGAGAGACTGTAGATGAGCCGTGAAAATGAAAGCAGAAATAAAGTAGGAATGGAAGCATTCATATAGGAATTGTGAGATATAGTATCTTATTTTTGTTCAACACTAAATAGTTTTCAAGTCTAGCAGAGGACTTGGAAATTTTAAGCTACTCAACAGTGAATCTCAGAGATTTCTTCATTCATCTCACAGTTGGTCTTATATAAATATACAGCTCTGTAATGATTATATGTATCAATTTTTTTTCCAGTCAAGGAGTTTCCCTCCTCATGTTCATTTCTCTGAAAAATACCACTTGGTACTAGATGATGTGAATGGCTGTGATTGAACTGGTTAATTAGGGTAATAGGCTGACATCTTGTTTCAGCAATTAAACAATAAAAAAGATGTTCTTTATTAAGATACGAATCCATTTCTTAAACGAATTGGTTCCATAGATTTCCATAGCATTAACCATGTTGATAATTCAAATGCTTCATCACTGAACAAAAATGCTCAACCTCAGAGACTATCCTTGCATATAAATTTTTTTATTTTCAGTTGAGTATTGGCCAACTCATATCAAACATTGTTCATAGATTTTTTTTTCAAGATGACAATTAGAAGCTTTTAGCATGCCACAGCCACTTGGAAATAGCAAGGCAGTGCATAAAGATAAATACTGTGAGCTTTAATTCAAGAAGGAAAATGGAGATCCACTGGAATTGTGAAGAACACTCCAGATCCTGAGAAGGAGAATGCTGGCAAACAGCCACCATAATGCTGTCCAGCTGAGAAAAGTGAATGAAGTCCCAGCACATGAGAGGTAGAAGCTTCCCTCTGTGACTCACGTTTCCACTGAGGATCAGAGAAATCCAGGCTGAGAGACAGCACTTTGTTTCTCCCAAATCCTGGAGCTAACTTCAGGAGAGGCTTGGAGATGCTGATAGGGACAGACACTGGATAAAGCTACAGGCATTTTCCCAGTCCCAGGACAGAGAACAGGATACCATTTTTAATTTGGGTGCATCTAAAGTCAGCCATTCTTTGGCAACCCAGCAGTGTGGCCATGCAGGCATTTTAGTATTGGGGTAGAGAATGGAGCACCTGCTCTGGATCAGGGTAGGGTCCTCCACAGCCAGAACCATGGAAAATACCTCAACAGTAGGCACGGGAATTGTGCTTTCCCCAGTCACAGGCCTTGGGCAAGAGGAGAGCTGCTATGGCTGTGGTTTCTCCTGGGCAGTGAGACTTTCAGCCAGGGCCAGCCTGATGAACTAGAACTGGTCTGTGTGTGTTATTGCTGGGTGTCCCAGCCTACTTTCCTGAGACTGTGGTGTAGCAGGGCCTTCTCCATTCTACATATAAGCAGATCTCCAAGCATTTAAAGCACCCGCTCTCATGGGCTAGCAGCCTGGGTTGCCCCTTCCTTCCTGTGCAGAGATCCTTGTGCAAGGGGGCCATCTCCACTTCTTGCCCAGGCAGATATCCAGGGATTCAGAGTGCCCATTAGCGTGAATCAGCAGTCTGAGCTGCTCCATTCTTCTGGTGCAGAGATTGCGGTGCAGTGGGACCCTCTCTGCTCCACAGATTTCCAGGTATTTGGAACACCTGCTTGCCTGGAGCAGTAAGTAGCTTGAGCCACCCCATCCTTCCTGCGCAGCGATAGTGGTGCAAGGAGACCCTCTCCACTCCACAACCAGGCAGATCTCCAGGCATCTGGAGCAGCCACTCTCCTGGATTAAGAGATCAGGCTGCCTCTGACACTCCTATGCAGAGAACTTGGGGCCAAGGAGGTTTCCTACCTCCATGCCGAGGCACGCCTCTGGACACTTGGTGGCTGCCCACTGGACTCTCCCTCAGAGCTGGTGCTTGTGCCTATCATTGGGGGACCTGTAGATGGACTTGCCAGGTCCAGCCCTACCCAGTGTTTTTCCAGTAAAGGAGGATCGAGTATATACCCAGCCCCATTGGCTGCAACCTGCTATTACCCATAAGCCCCCATCTACTGGCTTGTAGGTCAAAGTACCCAGCCCAATATAAAACCTGCGGACAGAAGTGCATAGGGTTATGGAAGCAAAGTCAAAAGACCCTACCCAGCATTATCCTCAGTCACATCCTCTAGGGAGAGGAGGAAAGGGAAGGGGAAAGAAACAGAAAAAAAATATATAGGGAAAGGAAGAAAAATAAAAAATCCGAGCTCCGGCTGGCAAGATGGCCAAATAGGAAGAGCTCCAGTCTGCAGCTCCCAGTGAGATCTATGCAGAAGATGGGCGATTTCTGCATTTCAAACAGAGGTACCCGGTTCATCTCATAGGGACTGGTTGGACAGTGGGTGCAGCCCACAGAAGGCGAGCCAAAGCAGGGTGGGGAGTCGCCTCACCCGGGAAGTGCAAGGTGTTGGGGAACTCCCTCTCCTAGCCAAAGGAAGCCATTAGGGACTGCACTGTGACAAATGGTGCACTCTGGCCCAGATACTGCACTTTTCCCACGGTCTTCACAACCCACAGATTGGGAGATTCCCTCCAGTTCCTATGCCACCAAGGCCCTGGGTTTCAAGCACAAAACTGGGCAGCCATTTGGGCAGACACCAAACTCGCTGCAGGAATTTTTTTTTTTTTTCCCATAACTCAGTGGAACCTGGAACACCAGTGAGACAGAACTTTTCACTCCCCTGGAAAGGGAGCTGAAGCCAGGGTGTCAAGTGGTCTGGCTCAGTGGGTCTCACCCCCACAGAGCCCAGCAAGCTAAGATCCACTGGCTTGAAATTCTCGCTGCCAGCACAGCAGTCTGAGCTCTACCTGGGACGCTCAAGCTTGGTCGCGGGAGGTTCATCCGCCATTGCTGAGGCTTGAGTAGGCGGTTTTACGCTCACAGTGTAAACAAAGCCGCTCTGAAGATTGAACCGGGTGGAGCCCATCACAGCTCAGTAAGGCCACTGTGGACAGACTGCCTCCTTTCTGGGCAGGGCATCTCTGGGAAAAAAAAAAAAAAAGCAGCAGCCCCAGCCAGGGGCTTATAGATAAAAAACCCCGTCTCCCTGAGATAGAGCACCTGGAAGGAGGGGTGGCTGTGGGCGCAGCATCAGCAGACTTAAACATCCCTGCTTGATGGCTCTGAAGAGAGCAGCGGACCTCCCAGCACAGCCTTGAACTTCACGCTCTGCTAAGGATCAGACTGCCTTCTCAAGTGGGTCCCTGACCTCTATGTCTCCTGATTGGGAGACACCTCCCAGTAGGGGCCAACAGATACCTCATACAAAAGAGCTCTGGCTGGCATCTGGCAGGTGCCTTTCTGTGACAAAGCTTCCAGAGGAAGGAACAGGCAGCAATCTTTGCTGTTCTGCAGCCTCCGCTGGTGATACCCAGGCAAAGAGGGTCCTCCAGCAAACTCCAGCAGACCTGCAGCAGAGAGGCCTGATTGTTAGAAGGAAAACTAACAGACCAAAAAAAATAGAATCAACATCAACAAAAGGATGTCCACTCAGAGACCTCATCCGAAGGTCCCAACATCAAAGACCAAAGGTAAATAAATCCACGAAGATGGGGAGAAACTAGCACAAAAAGGCTGAAAATTCCAAAAACCAGAATGCCTGTTCTCCTCCAAAGGATCACAACTCCTCACCAGCAAGGGAACAAAACTCAATGGAGAATGAGTTTGATGAATTGAGAGAAGTAGGCTTCAGAAGGTGGGTAGTAACAAACTCCTCTGAGATAAAGGATCATGTTCCAACACAATGCAAGGAAGCTAAGAACCTTGAAAAAAGGCTAGATGAATTGCTAACTAGAATAATCAGTTTGAGAAGAACATAAATGACCTGATGGAGCTGAAAAACACAGCACGAGAACTTCGTGAAGCATACACAAGTATCAGTAGCTGAATCGATCAAGTGGAAGAAAGGATATCAGAGATTGAAGATCAACTTAATGAGATAAAGGCAGAAGACAAGATTAGAGAAAAATGAATGAAAAGGAATGGACAAAGCATCCAAGAAATATGGGACTATGTGAAAAGACCAAATCTACGTTTGATTGGTTTACCTGAGAGTGACACAAAGAATGGAACCAAGTTGGAAAACACTCTTCAGGATATTATCCAGGAGAACTTCCCTAACGTAGCAAGACAGGCCAACATTCAAATTCAGGAAATACAGAGAACACCACAAAGATACTCTTTGAGAAGAGCAACCCCAAGACACAGAATTGTCAGATTCACCAAGGTTGAAATGAAGGAAAAAATGTTAAGGGCAGACAGAGAGAAACGTCAGGTTACCTACAAAGGGAAACCCATCAGACTAACAGTGGATCTCTTGGCAGAAACTCTACAAGCCAGAAGAGAGTGAGGGCCAATATTCAACATTCTTAAAGAAAAGAATTTTCAGCCCAGAATTTCATATGCAGCCAAACTAAGCTTCATACATCAAGGAGAAGTAAAATCCTTTACAGAGAAGCAAATGCTGAGAGATTTTGTCAGCACCAGGCCTGCCTTATAAGAGTTTCAGAAGGAAGCACTAAACATGGAAAGGAACAACCAGTACCAGCCACTGCAAAAACATACCAAATTGTAAAGACCACCAACACTATGAAGAAACTGCATCAACTAGCAGGCAAAATAACCAGCTAACATCATAATGACTTGATCAAATTCATACATAACAATATTAACCTTAAATGTAAATGAGCTAAATACCTCAATTAAAAGACACAGACTGACAAATTGGATAGAGTCAAGACCCAGTGGTATGCTGTATTCAGGAGACCCATCTCACTTGCAAAGACACACATAGGCTCAAAATAAAGGGATGGAGGAAGCTACCCAGAAAAAAGGAAAGCAAAAAAGAAGCAGGGATTGCAATCCTAGTCTCTGATAAAACAGACTGTAAACCAACAAAGGTCAAAAGAACCAAAGATGGGCATTACATAATGGTAAAAAGATCAATGCAACAAGAAGAGCCAACTATCCTAAATATACATACACCAATACAGGAGCACCCAGATTCATAAAGCAAGTTCTCAGACACCTACAAAGAGACTTAGACACCCACACAATAATAGTGGGAGACTTTAACACCCTACTGTGGATATTAAACAGATCAACAAGACAGAAAATTAACAAGGATATTCAGGACTTGAACTCAGCTCTGGACCAAATAGACATCTACAGAACTGTCTACCCCAAATCAACAGAATATATATTCTTCTCAGCACCACATTGCACTTATTCTAAAATTGACCACATAATTGGAAGTAAAACACTAGCATGTCCTTTCAATTCTCTTTTTCTCTCTAAAGGAAAGTGGTGGCATAGAAGCTCCTACTGTCCCTTGTAGGACATTTTTCAGTCTACAGTGATCTCTGTATGTTCACAAAGTCATCAGAGATGCATAGAAAAGAACGCCGTACAAATGGTCATACTCTAAATGCCCAAATGCTCCCATAAATTTGGTTTGAAAATACCCTCACGAAACCTGAATTGACCAGCCTTATAAATTGATGCTATCCATGCCCCCTTCAGTTTGAAAAATGGTGAAGGGATATTAGACACAAAAGAGACTTGGTTGTAAGTTTATTTATAATAAGGATCTTGCACATCCTTGGAGGTCGTTGCTGGTTATTGCTGGTTATATGTTAGGCATATATAGAATCCTAATTATAGGTTTTAGGTCAGAATCAATGCCCAGGCATGGTGGGGTGAATGTATTTACCTAACTCCTGCTTTGTACTTCTTACTATATGCTTAGCCATATATACTAAAATTGTTTTAACTGATTTTCACAAAATAGAACTTTTTAGAGAGTGAGTACAAGTGGCAAAATATGCTGTTTTATAAGAGAGATTGCCAAATCACAATTGTTTTCTTTTCCTTTTAATGAACATTTTTCCTTTTTAATTTTAAAATATGTGCTTCTTGGGAAAAAAGTAAAATAATTCAGAAGCATACAAAGTAAAAAGTGAAAGATCTTTGTCCTCCACCTCATCCTCTGCCTCTTGCTAATTCTTTTCTTCCCCCCTTCCAAAGAAATGATCACTGCTAATGGTTTGGATGGTATCTTGTCTGATGTTTTTCCTACATTTATGTATTGGGGTTAGAGTTGGGAGAGCTGGACTGGTAGAAAGAGACACAGAGAAAAAGAGAGAGATCTGCAACTTGCTCTTTCACTGACTATATCCTGAGCGTTTTTTTCATATCCCTGTAAAAAGATGGGCATCATCCTTTTGAAGAGCATCTTGCATTCAGTTGGATTGTCCTGAAATTCATTTAACCATTTGCCTATTAGCACATTAATGTTATTTCTATTTTTTCTTATAAATAATAATACAATGACTATCTTTTCGCTACCACCCCTAAGCTTGACATACACCTCTTCATTTTAAAGACTTGGTAATTTCCTTTTAGAAACATCTTATTTTGGAAATTTTCAAACACGTAACAGAAATAGAAATAGAACAATGAGCACATGTACTCATCACCCAGGTAATGGTATCAAATCACACCCCACCCACTCCTTAACCTTTCCCGTTTGTTTTGAAGCCAATCTCCAACAGTGTGTCATTTCACCCATAAAATAGTATATCTCCAAAAGATAAAGACAAAATTTTAAATGTAGTCACAATACTGTTATCCCATTTTTAAAATTATCACTATTTTTCTGTCCTAACAAAATGTCAAAAACCATATCATTTTCAAGAGGATTCCATAAGTGTCATCTGTTATGTACCTATATCTGTACTTACCCTTTAGATCAACTGATTATATAATCAGTTAAGTCATGGAAA
Organism: Homo sapiens; assembly: GCF_000001405.40. NCBI lineage: Eukaryota > Metazoa > Chordata > Mammalia > Primates > Hominidae > Homo > Homo sapiens. The sequence continues at coordinate 208,028 of NW_018654714.1, forward strand.
TATAAATAATATATTTATATTATATATTGATCTAAAGGATAAGTATAGAGATGTATATCACAATTGTTTCATACTCTCAGTGTGATTTTAGAATTGAATTTGGCTTTTGCTTTATATATTTCAAAGCTATATTTTAGGTTTATAAAAACTCATGACTTTTTTATGGCTCATACATTTTTGTCATCTAAAATATTATTTCTTGCATTTAGTATTTTTCATCTTTATTTTGTCTAATATTAATTCTGACTCCTACTTTGTTTTACTTGTTGATCTTTTTATTCTTTCTTTTGCTTTTAAAGATACATCTCTTAGTACAAATCTGATTTTTTAACCCAATTGAGGGTTAAAAATTTATATAATTAAGGACATTGATGTTTTTATATAATTAAGGACATTGGTGTTTTTCTTCTAGTTCCATCATCTTATTTGATGTTCTTTGTTAAACAGTCTCGTTGCTTCTTTTCAAATTTTCCTTTGCTGCCTTTAGCTTGATTGATGGAGTTTCTTTTCCCCTTCTCTCTGTTTAGAAGTTATACACAATTTTTGTATCATTATTATAGCTACCTTTAATTTTTCCCAGCTCTTTCTTTCAAATTTTTCACACTTAAGGAAAAGTTGTCAGAATAACATAATAATCACCGCACCCTTTACCTAGATTCACCAGTGGTTACATTTTGCCACATATGCTGCATAAGTATACATACGAAGAGATTATTTGGCCTAGCCATTTGAGAGTAACCTACAGATCTCAAGAATGAAGGAGGCAGGTGATGGATATGACACTTCATACCTGAATACTTCAGCCTGTATCTCCTAACAAGGACATTTTCCCATATAACCACAATACAGTTATCTCACTCAAAACATGTAACATTGATAGAATGTTGTTATCTAATGTCCATGTTCAAACGTCTCTAATTGTTCAAAAAAATCCCTTTTTTAGATTTTTTAAGATATAGGATCTAATCAAGTTTCCATATCATATTTCTTTAGTCTCCTTTAATCAAAATAGTTCCCTAGCTTTTTTTTAAATCTTTCAGGACATTAGTATTTTTGAAGTATGCAGTCCCGTTGTTTTATGGAATGCCCTTCAGTTTGGCTTTGTCTAATTGTTTTTTTTTTCATGATTACACTCAGTTCACACATTTTTGGCAAGAAAATAATTTATGTTGTTTTCATCACAGTGTCACAAATTAAAGGTGCATGAGGTCAGTTTGTCCAATTACTGGTGATGTTAAAATTGGTCATTTAATTAAACTGGAGTTTGCCAGATTTTCCTATTTTACTGATTTTATTTATTATATTTTATTTCTACTTATTTTATTCCTTTCCCCCTTTTTTAAAACTAATTTAGTGTGTGACAATTTGAGATCTGTATGAATATCCTGTTTGCCAACAACCTTTCACCCAGTGGTTTTAGCTTTCATTGGTGATCTGTGCCTGAGTAAATATTTATGAAAGTGGCTACTTCTACCACTTCAGCCACTTCTGAACCTTTCTTCAAAATTCATCTCAGGTATCACATCTTTAGAAAGCTGTCCCTTACTCCTCTCCTCTCATTCTGATATAGATGAGTCTTTTGTGCTCCCATACTAACCTAACATCTTAGCACTTACCTCAGGCTAAGTGTTGGTTTACTTGTAGATTTCTATAAGAACTGATTGACATCCTTTGGTAAATAAGACCTTCGCTTCCCCACCTTCACATTTACTGTTAGGGTTGTTCTTCTTTTTAAACGTTTGTTTTAGTATCACCCTATACTCATGGATCCTTTTCTTTTAAGATCGAATACATTACAATCCATTTATAGTCAGTATTTTTTGAAGGCTAAGTTGTCCCAAATTTGGCAAGTTAAAGCCTCGTTAAGCTGTCTCCTGAGCCCATCAGTTTTTTTTTAGTATTTACTTAGTTTCTGACATAAAAAGATGTTGCAAGGTTACCTTGTACTTTTCTGGTTCAAAACCTGGATTCAGCCATTTCCTCAAGGAATGCTAGTTCCTTTTAGTGGTGAACGGTATTTAGAAACCAAGATCTAAAGCATGCTCAGTGCTATGGTGTCATCATTTCTGGGTTCTGAGAGAGCCATATCTTTTAATCATACATTCACACTGATACCCCCAATTTTACTTCAAAACCACAGGATTCTTCTTCTCTTTCACTCATTCCATATTAGTATTTTTCTTCTGCCATAGTGAGAATCCTGGTTTCAACAGCTTCAACATTTACCTATTTGCTCAGTCCAATAATACACACAAACGAGTTTCATGATTCCTATACCCATACTATTGCCAATAACAAACTTGATAAGTTATTTTTGCCTTCTGAATACACCACACTGAGCATATAGAGTCCAGCAAGTACTATATTCAAAAGTATTCAAATTGCTTTTTACATTTGGGCCTGTTTTTATTCCATGTGGGGTTTTCTCCATATTTGTTTATTTAATTTTATTTTATGAATGCTAACAGCATGGCTACAATAGCAGAATACACATTCTTTTATGTGCACATGAGATAGTCATGAAGATAGACCATGAAGATAGACCATCTGCTGTGCTATAAAATAAGCCTTAGCAAGAGTAAAAGAATTGAAATCATACCATATATGTCCTCATCACAGTGGAATTAAATTAGAATTCAATAACATATCTGAAAAATTCCTAAATATTTGTAAATTTAAAAATGTTTCTAAATACTCCTTAAGTCAAAGCAGAAATTACAAAGGAAATTAGAATATATTTAGAACTGAATAAAAATGAAAGCATAACATGTCAAAAATTGTGCAATTCTATTAAAACAGTGCTAAGAAAGATATGCCTTTAAATACTTTTATTAGGAAAGAAGAAAATTTGAAACTCAGTGAACTATGTTTCCATATTAAGAATCTAAAAAAGGAAACTGAATTAAACCCAAAATCTGTAGAAGAAACGAGGAAATAATAGAGCAGAAATCTGTGAAACAACTTTAAAAAAAAAAGTAAACAGTAAAACCAAAAGCTGATTAGTTGAAAAAAAATCATTAAAAGTGATTAACCTCTAGATAAGCTATGAAAATAGGAGAGATAACACAAATTATGGATTTCAGGAATAGAAGAAGGAATATTAGTACAGATCCTACAGACATTAAAAGGATAGTAAGGGAATATTACAACTTTATGCCAATAAATTTGACAATTTAGATGAGATAGATAAATTTCCTGACAGCCAAAAATTACCAAAATGGATACAAAAAGAAACATGAAATATATGCTAAATAAATTGAATTGTAATTTTAAACATTCCAACACTAAATGCAATGTGGTATCCTGGATTGGATCCTAAAAGACATTGGTGTGAAGAGTGATGATATTTATATAAAATCTGGAGTTTAGTTAGTAGTGTTTGATCACTGTTGACTTCTTAGTTTTGACAAATGTATAATGGATGTTTTACTATATTGCAAGTTTTCGATTTTCTTACATTTTAAAATAGAAATTGTATTTAAAATCAACAACGCAAAGAAAATTCCAGGCCCAGACAGCTTCATTGATGAATTTTATCAAACATTCAAGGAACAAATAATACAAATCCTACATAAACTCTTTTTAAAAATAGAAAAGGAAGATTTTCCAACTTGATTTATTAAAACAGCATTTCTCTAATACTGAAACCAGAAAAGGACATCGTAAGAAAACTACAAAACAATATCCTTCATGAATATAGATGAAAAATTATTAATAAAATATTAATAGAATACGGAAATATATAAAAAGAAGAATACTTCATGACCAAGTAAGGCTATCCTAGGATGAATGACTGGTCTAACATTCAGTAATCAGATTAACTCACCATATTAATAGAATGAATGAGAAAAACCATGTAATTCAAGGCTGGGCATGGTGGCTCATGCCTGTGATCCCAGCACTTTGGGAGGCCAAGGTGAGTGGATCATTTGAGATCAGGAGTTTGATTTGAGACCAGCCTGACCACCATAGTGAAATGCTATCTCTATTAAAATACAAAAGTTAGCTGGGCATGGTGTTGTGTGCCTATAGTCCGAGCTACTGGGGAGGCTGAGGCATGAGAATCATTTGAACCTGGGAGGCAGAGGTTGCAGTGAGCTGAGACCGTGCCTCTGTACTCAGCCTGGGCAACAGAGTGAGACTGTCTCAAAAAAAAAAAAAAAAAAACCAAAAGAAAAATAAAAACCATATAATTCAATAATACACATACAAAATATTGACCAAATTCAATACCAAATCATACCAAATTATGATAAAATTTCAGCAAATGAGAAATAAAAAGGAACTGCTTCAACCTGATAAAAATGTCTACGAAAAATATATAGTTAAAAATATTCTTAAAGGTGAATACTGAACATTTTCCCCTAAGACTGAGAACATGACAAGGAATAATACCTGCTCTCACCTCTTCTATTCAACATTGTGCTACAGGTCCTACCCAGTGTAATAAGGCAAGGAAAATAAGGCATAGAGATTGGAAATTTAAAAAAATATATATATGTGTGTTTTGTTTTTCTAGAACACTGAGCCAAAAGACAGGAAATGTTTGAATCTTGGTGTTGGAAAACAAATTTAAAAGAAAAAAGTATTTTACACATTTAGAAGATTTTTAAATGACAAGATCCATTTAAACATAAAGTTAGAGCATTTCCTAGAATGGAATTATTTTATTTTTAGAAGTATTTGCAAAAAGCATGATCATCTATGTAAAAAAAAATCCTAAAATATCTACAGTAAAGCTATAATAATTAATTTTAACAAGGTTGTAAGATACAAAATTCAATTTACAAAAACCAATTACTTTTTTAATATATTAGCAACCAGCAATTGGTAATTACAATTTTAAAATACAACATTTAAAATAGAACCCAAATTATGAAGTAGTAAGTGTTAAATTTAACAAAATATGTCATGAGACCTGTATGGTGAAAACTACAAAACATCTCTGAGAGAAATTAAATAAAACCTAAAGAAATGGAGAAATATACCATGTTGATGGATCAGAACACTTGATATTTTAAGATGTCAGTTTCCCCATTAACCTACAGATTTAATGCAGTCCATAGTTCAAACCGATTCTAAAAATATACAAATGAAATGGAACTAACATAGGCTAGTTTTAAGACTTTTTACAGAAATGAAGTAGTCAAAACACTTTGATATTGGCATAAAGATAGACATGCAGATCAATGAAACAGACCAGATAGTTTAGAGATAGACCCACAAATTTATGGTAAATTGTTTTTTGACAGAGTTGCTCAGCTAATTCTATGAGGAAATTACAGTCTTTCCAACATATGGTTCTGGAACAACTGGATACCCTTATGGAAAAAAGGTGAATTGTGACCCTCACCCTACTCCATAAAAGCAAATATTTAAAAATAGATCTAGACCTAAATGCAAAAGCTAAATTTTAAAAACTTCTAAATGAAAGCATAGGAGAAAATATCTGTGACCTTGACCTTTGCAATTTTTGCCTACATAGGACACAAAAAGTACATGAACCATAAAAGGAAAAGATTAATAAATTGAGCTTTATTTTTAAAAAGTAAATAGCTCTGCAGTTCAATAGACAGTATTAAGGAAACAAAAAGGCAAGCCATAGACTGGAAAAAAAAATATTTGCAATACTTATATCTGACAATGGACTTGCATTCAGAATACATGGAGAACTCTTATATTCCAATAATGAGACCACCTATGTTTCTTTGTTTTTGTTTTGTTTTTTGAGACAGGGTCTCCCTTTCTGTCTCAGGCTGAAGTACAGTGGCACGAACATGGCACTCAAGCAATCCTTCCTCCTCAGCCTCCTGAGTAGCCAGGACTACAGGTGCACGCCACCACACCTGGCCATTTTTAAAATTTTTTGTAGAGATGGAGTCTTGCCATGTTGCCCAGGCTGTTCTCAGACTCCTGGGCTCAAGCAGTCCTGCCTTGGCCTCCCGAAGTGCTGGGATTATAGGCATGAGATACCACACCCTGCAAGTTTTTTTTTTTTTTAAGCCAAAATAGTTTAACACACTTCACAAAAGATAAAATATAAAAGGCCAAAAAGCCCAAATGATTCTCACTATCATTAGTCATCAGAGAAATGCAAAAAACTAAAATCACAATGAAATGCCCTATGGCCCCATAAAAATGGCTAAAATTAAAGACTCGCTATATGAATTGCTGACAAGAATGTGGTTTTATACATTGCCAGTGGGAATATAAAATGACACAACCACTTTGGAAGACGGTTTGGCAATTTCTTATAAAGTTAACTGACAATTAACATACAATTTTGCCATTTCATCACCCTTTATCCAAGAGAAAGGAAAACATGTCCACACAAAAACTTGTACATTAATGTTTAGGGCAGCAAGCCCAAACCAAAGACTACCCAAATGTCCATCAACAGATGACAGGATAAACAAAGTGTAGCCTATCTCCAGAATGGCATAATACACAGCTGTAGAAGACGATGCATTACGGATAGATGCCACAGTATGGATGGTTCTCACAAAGTTATTCTGAGTGAAAGAAGCCAAACTCAAAGGAGTACATACTTTATGATTACATTATATGAAGCTTTAGAAAAGAAAAATGTTTATGGATAGAAAGCACATCAGTAGTTGCCTGCGGTTGTGTGTGGGACAGTCTCAGCTCACTGCCAGCTCCACCTCCCAGGTTCATGCCATTCTGCTGCCTCAGCCTCCCGAGTAGCTGGGACTACAGGCGCCCACCACCACGCCTGGCTAATTTTTTGTATTTTTAGTAGATGGGGTTTCACAGTGTCAGCCAGGATGGTCTCGATCTCCTGACCTCGTGATCCGCCCACCTTGGCCTCCCAAAGTGCTGGGATTACAGGCGTGAGCCACCACGCCCAGCCTAATCAATAATCTTTTAGAGTAGCCTGTCCCATTTTTTCACGAGAGAGGTAATATATCTTCTTAGAACTTTCTGATGATATGCAATACCTACTTAGAACGTTCTTCTCCATTTGTTGCTATTGTTCCCTTGGGAGTTTAGTTGGGTGCTTCTCTTTCATGCTGTTAATTTTCGTCAGATATTTGGTGGTTCTTGTCTATTTACATTTTAAATTACATTTAAATCCTAGGTTGATCATTATTGGTTACTGCAGAGCATTTTCTTGGGACAAATGATAATCTTTGGTCCTTTGTTCCCCTGATCTTCTCTTTCACATGTACGCAGTTAGATTCTTCTGTTCTCATGGCTTTCCAATCAATCAGATACCATTTGATTTATATTTTTTATAAATGTCCCCACTATCTCAGTTTGTTGATGGCACCCTTCTCAAAATCCAATGCTATTATGGATTTACTGAGTTTCACTCTGTCGCCCAGGCTAGAGTGCATTGGCATGATCTCAGCTCACTGCAACCTCTGCCTCCCAGGTTCAAGCAATTCTCCTGCCTCAGCCTCCTGAATAGCTGGGATTATAGGCACCCGCCATCATGCCCCGCTAATTTTTGTATTTTTGTAGAGACAGGGTTTCACCAGGATTTATTTTTTTAAGTAACTTTTGTTTCACTTCAGAAGAGGGTAAGGAAGAGAAGTAAAATCCAACTCATTTTTTCAACACATGAAAGAATTACTTAGCCCCTACTGTATATAAATCGTGGCTGTTGGAACTAATAGACAGATGCCTCCGAGGGTGCCCCCTGGCTAAGCACTGAGCAAGACCTCATGTAGTCTCATTGTTCAGATGAAGTTCTAATAACTCAGTGTCTGAATCTCAGCTTTGTAGGTTTAATTTCTCTCATCAGTAGGCTCATGTAGAAATCCTGAAGCTGATGTATTCACTTAGAGCACAGTAGCCCACCTCTTCACTGATTTTACTCTTAAAAAAAAATAATTGCATGAACTTCGTAAACAAGGCCAGGTGCCATGGCCTATAATCCCAGCACTTTGGGAGGCCGAGGCAGGAGGATTGCTTGAGCCCAGGAGTTCAAGACCAACCTGAGCAACATAGTGAGACCCCCCCTTCTCCATTAAATTAAAAAATCAAAAATAAAAGAGAAAAAAATTATAAACAGAACTCTAATTATAAGAACTAAAACACATTTTTCATTAAATTTTGTATACATGTTTAAAGGACTACAATTGAAAATGAATTTTAAAAAATTTTAAGAGTCACCAAATTAAATACAGACTATCCAAAATGTTGCTTGAATAAAATAAATAAATGTTACAAATCTAGAATATTCTGGTTGGCCTAGCCAGTGACTTCTTTCTCTCATTAGGCAGGTGATCATGGAAAGCAGTATTACAATCACAGAGTTGTTTGGTAAGCCTCGAATCAGAGCAAGAAGAGATAGTTGAATGATGTTAATGATAGTTCTTTACCGAGTTAGAGAGTCATCCACCAATTAGTATGGTAGTAGCTTTATCTTTAGTAAAGGTTCATACTTGCTAAGAGGACCATAGCTTTCCCATCAGTAGAGCTCTGCCAGCCATAGAGAGTACAGCACGAACACTGCAAATTTGTTGTCTACCTGACCCCCATTTTTTGGTGTTATCTTACAGCTGCATCCTACTATACTATAGTAGCTGCATCCTACTATACTTTACCTAACAAAAGTGACAGAACCAACTCTGGAATCTCAAGCTCAGAGAGGCCACTCTATTCCTTAACTCCACCTTATCCAGTGTTCCATCTCATTTTGGATTTATGGGCATCTTGAGGGCTTCTAGGGCTGGATTACCCACAGACAGTAAACAGATGGTGCTGAGCAAAACCTTACAGCATGGATGTGCATCACTCCTGTTGGGCAGGCAGTGAAAAAGTGGAGTTCTAGATGCAGACAGTAAAGTCCTCTTGGGCTCAGGTAACCAGAGGGTCTCACTAGAGTTGAGGCCAGTCAGTTCCCCTACCCCACCTTTTGAGATAATAATGATTCTTCACTAGCACTACTGACTTGTCCTTCCACAGACTTTATTTGTAGGAAATTAGCTGCAATTTCCTGCAATTTATAAATAAGACTCCTTATAAGGAAAAAAAACATGATTTCCCATTTTTTTATATGTATTGTTTAGAGGGTTGAAATAACCATGAACTAAAATCTGGAGTATTTAAGACATGGTACTGGATAAACACAGCAGGGCTCCCTTTGCAATTTCCATTGGAGAATTTGTGCTCTAAGAATGAGCAGAGCAGAATTAATGCTGAGTCCCTCTGCCACCCCTCCAACAAGTCTCCATACCCAGTGAGGTCAGAGCTGTCCATTTTGTTCTCCCAACTTTCCCCTAAGAACTAAAAATAACAATATTAGCAAAGCTAACACATCTATAGCGCTCACTGTATGCCATCCACTGTTCTAACAGCTTTATATAGAACTGTACCTCTAATAAAGAATGCATGTGTCTTTTGCAGTTGTGAAGATGACCTCTCCGACGACAGAGAAGAGCTTCTGCATGGGATTTCAGAGCTGGACATCAGCAACTCGGATTGTTTCCCATCCCAGCTGCTAGTGCATGGGGCTTTAGCCTTTCCTCTAGGGTTAGATTCCTACCATGGCTGTGTTATAGCGGCTGCCCGCTATGGCCGGGGCCGGGTGGTTGTGACTGGCCATAAGGTATTATTCACTGTTGGTAAACTGGGCCCCTTTCTGCTCAATGCTGTCCGCTGGCTGGATGGGGGCCGCAGAGGCAAGATTGTGGTGCAGACAGAGCTGAGAACCCTGAGTGGCCTCCTCGCCGTGGGGGGCATAGACACCAGCATCGAGCCCAATCTGACCAGTGATGCAAGTGTCTACTGCTTTGAACCCGTGAGTGAAGTGGGGGTCAAGGAACTGCAGGAGTTTGTAGCAGAGGGTGGCGGGCTATTTGTTGGAGCCCAAGCCTGGTGGTGGGCCTTCAAGAACCCCGGAGTGTCCCCTTTGGCTCGATTCCCAGGAAACCTCCTCCTCAACCCCTTTGGCATCAGCATTACAAGCCAAAGCCTCAATCCAGGGCCCTTTCGTACTCCTAAAGCAGGGATAAGGACCTATCACTTCCGCTCCACCTTGGCCGAGTTCCAGGTTATAATGGGCAGGAAGAGAGGAAATGTGGAAAAGGGCTGGTTGGCAAAGCTGGGACCAGATGGTGCAGCTTTCCTGCAGATTCCCGCAGAAGAGATCCCTGCCTACATGTCTGTGCATCGACTCCTGAGGAAGCTGCTAAGTCGATATCGGCTTCCAGTAGCAACCCGAGAGAACCCTGTTATCAATGACTGCTGCAGAGGTGCTATGCTTTCCCTGGCCACAGGGCTGGCCCACTCTGGAAGCGACCTCTCTCTGTTAGTCCCAGAAATTGAAGATATGTACAGCAGCCCCTATCTGCGCCCCTCAGAATCTCCTATCACCGTCGAGGTCAACTGCACCAATCCAGGTAAGGAACAAGGGTTGGAAGCTCAGTATTATGGGAATGGGGGAATGGGGACAGGCTGACATCAGCAGTCCATTTCAGGGACCCGATCATGTCCAGAAGGTGGTCTCCATTTTTTACCATGAACTTTGAAGAAGATAAGGGTTGGGATTTTAAGTACTGTTTGGAAGAGTTGAGTCAAGGCAGCATGTAGGGGAAGATACGTGCTTACGAAGGGTCTCTGGTGATGCTGGGTGGAGGTGGCATCATGGAGGAGGGATAAAGTCTGCCTACCCCTCCTGCTTTTGGCAGGCACCAGATATTGCTGGATGAGTACTGGGCTCTACATACCTGGAAGGCAAATTATAGAAGTCTCACTGCCTGAAGCTGCTGCCTCTGCCGACCTGAAGGTAAGGCCATGCCCCACCTCACCATGTAACATGGAAGCCAAAGGCTCTTCCTAGCACAGTCAGTATCTTATTTGATTCTCACAAAGCCCTGTTGGTAATACAGAGCAGGTGATTTTACCCTTGTTTTAAGGATGAAGTAACTAAGGTGCAGAAAAGCTGATTGATTGATTGATCGATTGAAATGTATAGAGCTAATACAAATAAGTGCCCAGGACTCAAACCTAACTAATTTCTGGCTCTTAAGTTTTGTGCTTTTGACCTACATCCTAGAGTAGGGAATAAGAGGTATCAAATGGAAGGTAACCTAGCACAGAGTAGGCATTCAGTAAATCTGAGTTCACTGTTCATCTCCGTATCCATTCCCATGGTAGCACAAGGTCTTTCTGACTTCAGCTTCTTCCCCATGACATCCAAGACCATTCCTCAATTGCCCAGTTCACCTTCCCTCTGTCACTTTCACATAGAACCCATTTGCAAAGTTAGTTTGCTGTCCTTCCCTATCCCCCTTGGGGGTCACTGTGATGGTTAGCATCTATTCTGTGCCTGTACCTATCCTGGAACTTGATTAGCATAAACCCAGGGAAAAGAATCCTAGGACTCTACCAAGTACCTGCCCAGGAAGAGGGCTTGGAGAAACCCTCCACTATCTTAGCCAGATCACACCACCTCCCACTGGGCCCTCTCTCTGATCAGCAAAAGGCAGGGTTCCCTCTGCCCCATTCCAAATGCCAGAATCACCACCATGAGATAGGCGATCAAGTGTTCTATTTGTTAGCAACACCAGGAGACCGGGTGTGGGAGTCAGCCCTCCTCAGAATTGGCCTTACAGGTTACACCTGGCACTTCTCACATTAATGTCTATCTAACATGACCCATTATGGAGCTGTTTGAATGCTTTGGGAAAATATTTATATATACTTCAGTCCATATGCCCCAAGGAATGCTACAGTTTCTTGGGGTATCACACATGGTTCATCTGTGGTGGGAAGGCTGGGCTCGCTTGGGTTCATGGCTGAATGACCCATCCTGAGTCCCTTGCTGGGCTCTCTTCTTCCACCCACTCGTGCCCCATGGTGACTCCTTGAGGGGGGGATCTTTCTGCTCCAGATACAGATTGGCTGCCACACAGATGACCTGACCAGGGCCAGCAAGCTTTTCCGAGGCCCACTCGTAATTAACCGGTGCTGCTTGGACAAACCCACAAAATCGATCACGTGCCTCTGGGGTGGACTCCTCTATATAATTGTGCCTCAGAACAGCAAACTGGGTTCTGTGCCTGTCACCGTGAAGGGGGCTGTGCATGCTCCATACTACAAGCTGGGTGAGTGGGAGCTCTGGGTGCCCCTGAGGGAAGGGGAAGAACTGAGATGAGGATTCCAGAGAGCATGGGAGTCCAGGAGGTGACTAGAGTCTGTTTGGTGCAGAAGGAGAGAGACACGGGCTAACAGAGGAATAAGGGTCAGCTTCCTTAGATTCAGCTTTGGGGTTGTACAGATAAAGACCAAACCACATCCTTGGAGACTTCATAGAAGGATAGAGAAAAGGGATATAGCCTCAGCAAACTAACACAGGAACAGAAAACCAAACACCACGTGTTCTCACTTGTAAGTGGGAGCTGAACAATAAGAACACATGGACACAGGGAGGGGAACAACACACATTGGGGCCTGTCAGTGGGGTGGGTAGCGGGGGTGGATGGAGGGAGACCATCAGGATAAATAGCTAATGCATGCTGGGCTTAATACCTAGGTGATGGGTTGATGGGTGCAGCAAACCACCATCACACATGTTTACCTATGGAACAAACCTGCACGTCCTGCACATGTATCCCGGAACTTTACATTTTTTAAAAAAGAGGAGGGATATGGCAGTTCATGATTTTGTTGTTCTCTTCCTGGAGTCTAAGTTGTATGTTGTAATTTAAGGGATTTGGGAAAGGATTTCAAGCTCCATGGTCTCTCTTCCTAGGGGAGACCACCCTGGAGGAGTGGAAGAGGCGTATCCAGGAGAATCCAGGGCCCTGGGGAGAGCTGGCCACGGACAACATCATTCTGACCGTGCCGACCGCAAATCTTCGTACTCTGGAGAACCCTGAGCCGCTGCTCCGCCTCTGGGATGAGGTGATGCAGGCTGTGGCGCGACTGGGAGCTGAGCCCTTCCCTTTGCGCCTGCCTCAGAGGATTGTTGCCGACGTGCAGATCTCAGTGGGTGGGTGCTCCAAGCAAACCCTCTGTGCATGCTGCCTCTGAGCGCCTTCCTGTCTTTCATCAGCCATGCAGTGGGCAGCCAGTAGGGGAAACATATTTTGCTAGCAAGACATATAGATGTATCCTTGTTATTTAAATGGGAAGGAAATATATATAATATATAATATATATTATATATTATATATATAATATATATTATATATATTATATAATATATAATATATATTATATAATATATATTACATAATATATATTTGTATATATGTATATGTGTGTATATATATATATGTATATAAAACAGTTTAGGTCAGCATGTCAAGGACATCAAGAAATGCCACCTGAGCTTTCACAGGTATTCATCAGGGACTTCAAGCCGGTAAAAATGGCAGAGGGCCGTGACCTAGGTCAGAGTTGTTGGGTTGGAAAAGGGAATTTTACAACTTTAAGAACACACTGAATAAAGCGATCTTTGCCTATGGTCAAGGAACATGAAAAGTGAGGGAAATATACAGACATTAAAGAACCATGGGAATTTCTCTGGACCCTCATTTTCTTTCTTATACGGATGTTCACTGTAAACTTGTGTTGATATGGCAACTCCATATCTGAACAATGAGAGAGGAGCTACCCTTAAAGAGCTCTGAATTTTGAGAAAAGGTTATAGTGACACAGATTCACATGGATAAGGCATCCTCATCAAAATAGAAAAATTGAATGGTAACATGAACAGCTCCTTATATATAAGCTGCATCTCCTTCCATAGCCACACTATTCTGGGTCAGAGTAGAGATGAAGGAATTCTTCCAGAATGAAAAGAGGAGAAGGAACACCTAGCAGGGTCTTGGTTTGGGTTGCTTTTCTGAGTATTATGGTGTGCTGGAATTTGGCTGGGGTTACTGAGTGTTTTGGAACACACACAAAACATAGAAGAATATTACGACTTAAATGGGGAGGACCCTAACTCTCTCTTCCCTCCTTCTGCATTTTCCAGGCTGGATGCATGCAGGGTACCCCATCATGTGCCATCTGGAGTCAGTGCAGGAGCTCATCAACGAGAAGCTCATCAGAACCAAGGGGCTGTGGGGCCCCGTCCATGAGCTGGGCCGCAACCAGCAGCGGCAGGAGTGGGAGTTCCCACCACACACCACCGAGGCCACCTGCAACCTGTGGTGTGTGTATGTGCATGAGACGGTCTTGGGCATTCCTCGAAGCCGTGCCAATATTGCTCTGTGGCCCCCAGTTCGGGAGAAGAGAGTCAGAATCTACCTGAGCAAGGGTCCCAATGTGAAAAACTGGAATGCATGGACCGCACTGGAAACGTATTTACAGGTACTGGGCAAGAATGGCGGGTGATGGGGGACCCCTACTGCGGGGACCATCAGGGCAACTATCGGATAATGTTCTAGTGGCCCAGAAGACCACCCATGGCCCCTGTCTCCCACACTGGGATATGGGAGGCCCTGACAAAGTCCAACTGTGACAGTCGTATTGATGATGTCTCTTAGTGCATCGCCTTGCATGACCCTCAAGTGGATTTCATTGCCTGAGCCTCACCTTCCACCCCATAGAGATATATGATAGTAAATAGAAAGCACTGAGAAAGGTTAAAAATGGTAGAGACAAATAAAGTACTATACATATATTCACTCTCTCTGGCTTTAAAGCCAGACATACCTGAGACTGAAGCCAAACTCTCCTACTTAATAGCTATCTAAAACCAGTTCCCCCCAACCATACACATAATCCATAGGATATGACTTATTTTTTTTTTCCTTAGATGAATGTACCATCTTCTCACTATGCCTTGGCCGTGCCTCAGAGCCCCCATTATGTAGGCAATCCAAGAGTCCTCACTGACCTGGACAAGGAGGTGGCCTTGCCTTTGACCAGTTGTTTAATGCCTAGTTCCCTCCCTGCAATGCCTGGATCAGTTCCTGGCATGAGACTGGAGAGTTTCATCACCTTGAATTTCAGAACTCAGTCTCAGGCCAAGCATGCTCTATTCTGGTTCTTCCACCTGCTGGAGGCTCTCTTATTCATTCCCACTGCCGTGAGAATTATGGGAAAACCAAGGAGGCTCCACTTTAACCTTGTTATGGCTGCTTTGCCCCAGGAACACCAAGTTTCTCATTGGTGAAATAAATGTGAAGTTGGTCTGGGGAACTGCTCAAGTGCCTCATAATTCAAGCTCTGTAACTCAACAGCCTCAAGATGGCTGCCTTTTTCAAAAATTACAACTTATTCTTAATTCTAGTTACCCAGACAATCTGCAGTCTTCTACTTCTATCCAACTCACTTTTTTTCCCCAAAAGCCATTTTAATACCCTTGCACATTGACAAAGATCTATGATTAATGAGGATTTCTTTGTGCCAGGATGAGGTGGAAGTTTCCCTATTGTTGAGGTTTCACTTTTCAACTCTTGAGAAGAGGATTTTTCCAATTCTGCCAATTTTAAATCCTTGTGTAATATCCTATCTCTATTTGCGTGATCTAGTGGGATACGTGGGTAATGATACTGGTAGAAAATATTGATATTAATCATTGCAGTTGTTACCATGGCCCTCACTGATTTAGTATCCACTTGGTGTTGAACACCGTGCTGGTCCCAAGGCCCTTCCTAAGATTAGAATGTGGAAGAGCAGGGCATGAGGCCAGGAGGCAAAATGGAGGAGAGCAGGTCGGTGATAGACGTGAAGCTGATGGGTAAGGGGTTACATATACTAAGTTCACTTATTATAGTGGTTGTTGTTGGACCCTTTTTTATTTCCAAATCTGATCTGTATTTTTCTTTCTTTTCCCAGCTCCAGGAAGCCTTTGGTTGGGAGCCATTCATCCGTCTCTTCACCGAGTACAGGAACCAGACCAACTTGCCCACAGAAAATGTTGACAAAATGAATCTGTGGGTCAAGATGTTCTCCCACCAAGTGCAGAAGAACCTGGCTCCGTTCTTTGAGGCCTGGGCCTGGCCCATCCAGAAGGAAGTGGCTACCAGCCTGGCCTATCTGCCTGAATGGAAGGAAAATATTATGAAATTGTACCTCCTCACACAGATGTAAGGAGTGCCCATCGAGGTGGCAGGTAGAGAGGTTTGGGGAGGTAGGCAGAGGTGGGGATTCACTCCTCTACCTCTGCCTCCCAGGGTCTGGCCTTGTCCTCTTAGTTCATTGCCCTATACCTTATTACCGACCTCTGTCTCTAGGAAGTGGGTTCAGAACACAGCCAAAAGTGGAATCAGAATTTCTCAGGTGCAAGGGCTTCTGTTTCTGCATCTTGTTCGTCTGCTTTCAGCTGTCACATTCCCTCCTGACCCTGCACTGGCCCAGTTCCAAGAGCTTTGGCACCTGCTTCTATATCAGCCCTGGATTCACCATCATAGGTCATAGCCCAGAGGGGGTAGTTCTCATGTTGGCATCCTGAAGACTCCCTTTGGGCTTTTGTTTTTGAACAGTTGTTCCAAAAACTTGACCATAAAACTCAACTGGAACACAAATTTACCGTGAGACCCAGATAGCTCTTGGATGGACTCATATATTTTGTGACTTGAGTAGTTTTCAAAGTAGACAAGCATTCTGGTATAGTGGGAAGAGCCCAGAACTAGGTAGGGTTAGCTCTCGGGAAAGTCATTTCAACTTGGTACTCTCATTTCCTGTGTGTAAAATGGGGATAAAAATTCCCAGTTCACAGGGTTGTCGTGGAGGTTCAGAGTGATAAATTCTGAAGAGGCTTGTGAGGTCTGCAGAGCATGTCATCTAAGGGGATTTTCTATTTTATGCTGGTCCACAGGATAATGAGCTTACTACTTTCCATCCTGTCTCCAGAATTTAGAGGTTAGGATAACTCTCTCTACAAGTAGCTTCCCTGTGTTCAAATCCTGGTTCTTTCACCTACGAGTTGTATAACCCTGGCAATTTCCTTAACTTCTCTGTGATTTAGTTTTCTCATCTATAAAATAGGATCTATCTCATAGGATCATTGTGAGGATTACATTTTATAATACCTTTAAAAAGCAATGAGAACCGTCCCTGGCAGGTAGTAGGTGTTGAGAAAATGTCTGCTGCCATTATTATTATCTAATTGACTCAATACTCTTTATGAGCTAGACTTTATTTTTAGATGACATTTACAGAGGCAGTTGTAGTTAATCCTAGCCCATCTTGCACTTTATACAGCAACTTCTGAAAGGATTCTGCTATGTTGCCTTATGAATCTAAAGGAAGAACTCTAAATTCACAATGGGTTTTTTTAAATAGCTAAAAAATTTTGTTTCTTTTTAACTTAGATTTGTAAAGCTATTTATAAGAACCTCATTGTGAATTTGGAGCTCTTCCTTGGATCTCCTTATCCAATTGTATTTTACAGATCCAATTCCTTCTTTGATTAAATCAAGAGTAGATGTCTTGAAGAAACCAGATCAATTCCATAATGACATTTGTCCTTAGCAAACAGAGGGTATCTGGTTTCATGACAGTGTTTTTATTTCTGTAACACAGATTCAAGACATAGTGCCTGTCAAGAGTTACTCAACAGTTTGGCAGACGAAGTCCACACACATAGAGGACTTTACTCTGAAACAAGATGATTGGATAGAGTTGACCCAAACTTATTTCTTTTTAATTTTATTCAGAATCCCCTATTTCTTTACAGTTTTAACTAAAGTTGGGTCCTTTTGGTTGATGTCATATACATCCAGCCAGTTTTTCTTTAGCTCACTTTTTATTTTAGTTATTTTAATATATCATTTTATTTGCTTAATTGGTAATTGGGTAGATATGTAGACTGTAAGATTTGACCTATAGAGTTTTTTCTTTGGATTTTTGTTTGTTTGTTTGAGATAGCGTATCAGTCTTGTCACCCAGGCTGGAGTGCAATGGCACCGTCTCGGCTCATTGCACCCTCTACCTCCCAGGTTCAAGCGATTCTCCTGCCTCAGCATCACAAGTAGCTGGGCTTACAGGTGCCCACCACCACACCCAGCTAATTTTTTGTATTTTTAGTAGAGATGGGGTTTTGCCATGTTGGCCAGGCTGGTCTCGAACTCCTGGCCTAGGTGATCCACCCACCTCGGCCTCCCAGTAGATTTCTTTGTCATGTTATTTGTCGGTCCTAGGATTATTTCTCCTGATTGCACAAATATCCATTGCCTAGGTGCTTTAAACATGAGACATTGGATATTTGTTCAACATTTAAAATAATTGTTATCAATTATTGGGTGTGTACCAGTTATTGTAGTGATTCCTTTCTATAGATTGTTTCATTTAATCTTCACAATAATCTCATGACATGGCAACCATTATCACTCCCATTTTATTTTATGAACGAGAGAACTGAAGTTAAGGAAGATAAGGTAAATTATCTAAGGCTATATTGCTAATAAGTGGTTGATCTGGGATTTGAATTCAGGCATTCTGATTACAGAATGGGCATTCATAACTACAGTGCTTTGAATGACCCCATCAATGGGTAAATAAAGAAGCCGACCAGCAAACCAAAGGATCATTATGTTCCTACTTGCCAGAGCTTTGGCTGCATATACTTACCTATCATCTACTTTTATCAGAACAAAAAATCATTTTGTTTATCCCAAATGACAATTCAAAGAATTTAAGGTAGGCTCCTGAAGTGCTTCCCAATAGATAGTGCTGGAGTGAGCCCTTTAGCATCAGCCAGATCTTTTAGGTTCTGCATTACTCAAGTTTCAGTTATTCTTTCTAGGGTACCATGAAAGTGTTCTCTAGTTTGTTGGATTTTGAATGATGGACTATTTCAGTGAAGTGCCTGACTCCCAGAGATCCCAAACACTGCATGTTCTCAGAGAGGAAATTAGATCCTCCATCTTTGAGAATATGTGTATCCATCCTTGCCCTCTTTAATATATTTTTAGCAGTACATCCCGGGGATATATTTAAAATATAAAGTTATCCATGTTACTTCCGTGTCTAAAAGCCTCCACTGGAATTTCTAATTTGAGATAATGGAGTAAACATAAGTTTACCTTCCCTCCCTCCCCAGGCCCCACTGAAATTGAAGTCAAGAAATGCAAAAAGGAACTGACACATCTCAGCAAAGAAAACTGAAGGGATTTGGTTATAAGTGGAGAGGATCTCAGCATATTTCTGGAAGATAGAAAGTGGATGAAGCATGATAATGAAAGAGTGAAGAACCTTTCAGATAAAATGTAAGCTGATCTGAACAACATAACCCCAAAGAGACTTGCGCACCTGAAAAGCTTGTCTACTGAAGAATTACTCCAGTTGTAAGATTGAGCCCTCTCCTACTCTCCCCCAACTCTTATGCACAGAACACAGGCAGTCTCCACTATTGATACCAGTTAAAAATTTCTTGTTATTGTTGCTGTTGTTGTTTGTATAAAGGAATTGAACAGGCTGCTTGCAGAGAGATAAGAGTTGGTGCTCCAGAAAAAAATTTCTCTTCTAGTGGAAATAAGTGCCCCTACCCCCAGCCGGTCAGCTAATTCTCTACTGACAGCTGAGACCTCCTACTCAAGTGCCTGTTGCCTTCAGGTATAGAAGAGGTTTCCTGAAGAAACAGACCTAACTGTACAACAGCAGAGGAAACCCATGCCAACTGTTATACAAGTTAACAGTTATGTTGATTCTTAAATGGGAATGGTGAGTTAGAAATTCCCAGACATGGGCGATGGGGAGGGAAGAGGAATAAGAAAAGTCACGAGGTAGAATTAGGGGCCTTGAAAATATGACAAACTCTGAGGGAAACAAAGACAATGTGGAAAGAATAACTTAATTTTAATTCCATCTCCAGAGAGATTTGAGGTGTATTTAAGATGAAAAACAGGATACTACAAAGAAACGGAAAACTCAGGAGTTCAAGACCAGCCTAGGCAAGATGGCAACATCCCGTCTCTACAAAATAATTTTTAAAAATTAGCCAAGCATGGTGGCATGTGCCTGTGGTCCTAGCTACTTGGGAGGCTGAAGTGGGAAGATCACTTGAGCCCAGGAGTTCAAGGCTTCAGTGAGCCATGATGGTGCCACTGCACTCCAGCCTGGGGGACAGAGTGAGACCCTGTCTCTTAAAAAGCAAGAAAAGAAAGAGAAGACTGAGAATAAGAAGATCTCTTTGAAAATAAAATAAGACTGCTAAAAGTATTTGGTATACAGTCTGGAAAATAAAGTTGAGGGAATCTCTCCAGATAAAGAGCAAAAAGAAATAGATAGAAAAATATAAAGAAAGAAAAAAGACATAGACAATCAATATGTAATGTTAGGAGTTCCTGGAAGAGAGAACAGAGACAGTGTAGGTGAAGAAATAAAAAGAAAAAGAATTGAAGAACAGAGCAAGCTAAGTCTCCAGATTGAGAGGGCCCAATACAATCTACATCTAGACACAATATTGTAAAATTTTGGAATATTAAGGATAGAAGGAAGATATTAAAGTGGCCAGGGAGAAAACAAATGAGGTCATCACGATTAGCTCAACACAAAAATGGATGAGAAATAGACTGCTAACAGATTTGTCATCAGCAACACTGAATGCCAGAAGTCAATGGATCAACATCTTCAGAGCTTAAGGAAAATTTTTGTACCTAGAATTTCATAGTAAGGCAGACTGTCAAGAAGAACATCAAAGTGAAGACATTTTCTGTCAGGCAAATTTTCAGAAAGTCTCCTTTGCACCCTTACTGAGGAAGTATCTTGAGGAAATTCTCCAGCAAAATGAGGATGAAAACCAGGAAAGAAGAAGAAATGGGATCCATAAAACAGTGGACCTTACTTAGGATGTCTCATTCTAGAGTGACAGCCAAAAGGGTATCTCACCCTAGAGTGACAGCTATCCAGCAGACTAATTTCAGATG
Organism: Homo sapiens; assembly: GCF_000001405.40. NCBI lineage: Eukaryota > Metazoa > Chordata > Mammalia > Primates > Hominidae > Homo > Homo sapiens. The sequence continues at coordinate 228,826 of NW_018654714.1, forward strand.
AGAGCATACTGTCTCGGGCTTTCTGGGAAGAATGTGCATTCAGTGCCATAGATAGTATCATTGAAGAGCTGGGATGCTTGAGAAGATTATTTAGTCAAGAAAAAAGAAAGACAAATCAACAATATGTCAAAAAATTCAGGTCCAATTATAGAGCAAAATAAAATGAGGCATGATTTTGAGTTATTCATGAAGAATAAGAAGAGGCTTGATAGGTACATTTCCTTTTCTATGGCACAGGCATGATGATATTGGGTGTGTAGGGAAGAAAATATCCTAGCTTATACTAGGCTCCCAGTAAGAAGTATTTAAATAGCCAAAATAATGTGGATATCATTTATTAGTATTCAATGTTCAGATCAGCCTATTAACAAAGTGTGAAAGGTTTCATTTTTTATTCAGAACTGAAGTTGAAAGTAATTAATGCTGACAAAGGGAAAGAAAGCAGAAAGAGATTGAGAATTAGAGGAAGAGAAGTGGAATCAAAGGTAGAGATACTTATATATTCAAAGTGGGGATGAAAAGATCTTCAGTTAATGGAACAAGAACTAGAGGATTAGTGTATTGTTCAAAGCTATAAAATCAAACCAATAGATGTATTAAAAAGTGATGTAACTATCAGACATTTGGAGAGAGATGGACAAAGGAAAGTGGCGATAGTGTAAGTTAAATCCTTATCTTTTGTAATGGGGAATTATTAAAGATGTTGTAAAGTCAGTAAGTCAAGAAATTATTGCTCAAACATATTATTTAAAGTTAGAAAGTTACCAGACGATCTAAAATAAATATTGTTAAAAGCATTACCTCTAGGGAATGGGATTTAGATTTAAAAAGGGTGGGATGGGAAACTGTGTTTTTCATTTTAAGTCCTTCTGTACTATTTAATTTTTTACCTTGTGCATGTATTACTTTGAAAAAATTTTTAATAAACCCAAATAAAAATCTTCCAGTGACTTCACATTGATTAAGATGCAACCCAGCTAAAGCCTTTAAAATGGTTTTCAAGGTCCTCAAGTATCTAGGTCCACTTGATGTGTCCAGGCTCATGATATCTCCCCACAAGTCTCTATTTCCAACCAGATTAAGTATCTTCCAGTTATTAAAACACACTTCACATTCTTTTGTTTGTATAGGTGTTCCACAAAAAACAAAGCCTACTGCTGATCTCACCATGTCTGCTGAGTAAGCTTACCATCTAGTGGGTTTTAATATTTGTTGAATGAAGGAATGTCCAATACAGCATTGAATGAAGTTTGCCAACTTCATTCTTTTCCAAGAAGGCCTTTGATGTTTGCCCCTGTTCTGGGAAACATTTCAAGAAGGACCATCCAGGGCCCTAAGCTTTCCTGCACTCCCCTTCATTTGACAGCTTTAATAAGTTTTAGTCTTATATGAGGCCAGCTAGTGTCAGAGCATTTCTGTCCATCTGTCAGTCTCCCTGGTGTACTCTTTGCTACTTTCCCTGAACATCGTAACCTCTTTTCAGCTATTTTTAACCCTGTACTTGGGAGAAACAGCCAACTATCTAGTGGAAATCTTTAGGCCACCAAGTTTCTTTTTTTTAAGTTTTATTTTACTTTTAATTGACTCATAATAATTGTACATATTTATAGGGTATAGTGTGATGTTTTGATACACGTATATATTTTGTGATGATCAAATCAGGGTATTTAGCATATTTTTCACCTCAAACATTTATCATCCCTTTGTGGTAAGAACATTCAAAATCCTCTCTTCTAGCTATTTTGAAATATACAATATAATATTGTTAACTATAGTCACCCTACTGTGCAATAGAACACCAGAACTTATTCCTATCTAACTGAACCTTTGTACCTGTTGACCAGTCTATCCCCATCTCCCCTGCCCCACTACCCTCCCAAGCCTCTGGCAACCACTATTCTACGCTCTGCTGCTATTAAATCAACTTTTTAAATTATAGAATCCACTTTTGTGTGAGATTGTACAGTATTCGTCTTTACATGCCTGGCTTATTTTACTTAACATAATGTCCTCTGGGCCCAATTACGTTGCCACAAATGACAAAATTTCTTTTTATGGTTGAATAGTCTTCCATTGTATATATACACCACATTTTCTTTATCCATTCATCCACTGATGGACACTTAGGTTGATTCCATGCAACTACTGTGAATAATGCTGCAATAAACATGGGAATGCAGATATCTCTTCCACATAACTGATTTTATTTCCTTTGGATATATACTCAGTAGTGGGATTCTGGATCATATGGTACTTCTATTTTTTAACTTTTTTAGGAACCTTCATTCTGTTTTCCATCATTGCTGGACTAATTTACAACAGCATATGAGACTTCCTCTTTCTTCACATCTACCCCAACATTTGTTATTTTTTGTCTTTTTGATAATAGCCATTCTAACTGGACTGAGGTGATATGTCATTATGGTTTTATTTGCATTTCCCTGATGATTAGTGATGCTAAGCATTAGTATGTCTTCTTTAGAGAAATGTCTATTTAGGCATTTTGCCCATCTTTAAATGGAATTATTTATTTTTCTGCTATTGAGTTATTTTTCTATATATTCTAGGCATTAACCCCTTGTCAGATGCATAGTTTGCATATGTTTTCTCCCATTCCTTAAGTTAACTTCAATCTGTTTCCTTTGCTGTACAGAAGCATTTTAGTTTAATATAGTACCATTTCTCTATATTTGCTTTTGTTGTATGCTTTTGAGGTCTTATTCAAAAAATTCTTGCCGAGACCAATGTCATGAATTGTTTCTCCCATGTTTTCTTCTAGGATGCTTACAGTTTCAGGTCTTACATTAAAGTTTTTAATCAATTTTGAACTAATTTTTACATATGGTAAGAGACAGGGGTCTAATTTTATTCTTCTACATGTGGATATTCAGTTTTCCCAGTGCCATCTATTGAAAAGCCTCTCCTTTTCCTAATGCATGTTGCTGACACTTTTGTTGAAAATCAGTTGGCTGTAAGTGCATGGATTTATTTCTGTTCTGTATTCTGTTTCAGTTATCTATGTGTCTATTTTTATACCAGTACCATGTTGATTTGGTTACTATAGCTTTATAGTATATTTTAAAGTCAGGTAGTGTGATGCCTCGAGCTTTATTTTTGCTAAGGATTACTTTGGCTATTTGGGGTCTTTTGTGGTTCCATAGAAGTTTTAGGATTTTTTTTTCTATTTCTGTGAAGAATAGGGATTGCATTGAATTAGTAAATTGCTTTGGATAATATGGACATTTTGACAATATTAATTTTTGCAATTCATTATTATCTTTCTATTTATTTGTGTCCTCTTCAATTTATTTTATCCATATTCTATAGTTTCCACTCAAGATGTTTCACCTCCTTTGTTAACTATATTCCTGGGTATTTATTTTATAGCTATTGTCAGTGGATTGCTTTCTTGATATCTTTTTTTAGGTAGCTTGCTACTGGCATATAGAAACACTACTGATTTTTGCATGTTGAGTTTGTATCCTGCAACTTTATTGAATTTATTTATTCTAACAGTTTTTTGTGGAATCTTTAGGATTTTCTATATATAAGATAATGTCATCTGCAAACAAGGACAATTTGACTTCCCCCTTTCCTATTTGGATGCCTTTCATTTCTCTTGCCTAATTGCTCTGGCTTGGATTTCCAGTAGTATGTTCAACAAAAGTGATAAATGCGGCATCCTTGTCTTATTGCAGATCATAGAGGAATAGCTTTCAACTTCTTCAGTATGATGTTATCTATGAGCTTCTCATTTATGGCCTTTATTGTGTTGAGGTATATTACTTCTACATCTCATTTGCTGAGAATTTTTATCATGAAGGGATGTTAAATTTTATCAAATTTTTTTCTTTGTCTATTAAAATGATTATGTCATTTTTGTCCTTCATTCTGTTAATGTGATGTATCACATTTGTGATTTACATATGTTAAACCATCCTTGCATCCCTGGGATGAATCTCACTTGATTGTGGTGAATTATTTTTTCAATATGCTGTTGAATTTGTTTCACTTATATTTTGTTAAAGATTTTTGCATCTATGTTGATAAAGGAGATTGGCCTGTAGTTTTCTTTTTATCAAGTTATCCTTGTCTGGTTTTGATAATGTTGGCCTCATAGAATGAGTGTGGAAGAATTTGCACCTCTTCAACTTTTTAGAATAGTTTGAAAAGAAGTGATATTATTATTTACATGTTTGGTAGAACTTAGCAGTAAAGTCATCAGTTCCTGGGCTTTTCTTTGACGGGAGACTTATTATTACTGATTCATTCTTGTTACACATTATTGGCCTGTGTAGGTATTTTATTTCTTCATAGTAGTTCAACTTTGGTAGGTTGCATGTGTCCAGGAATTTATTTATTTCTTTTAGGTTTTCCAGTTTATTGGCATATAATTGCTCATAAAAGTCTTCTATGATCCTTTGTATTTCTGTGACATCTCCTTTTTTAGCTCTGATTATATTTATTTGAGTCTTCTCTTTTTTGTTAGTCTAGCTAAAACATTTGTTTATCTTTCAAAGGACCAACTTTTTGTTCTACTGATTTTTATATTATTTTCAGGCTCTATTTCACTTATTTCTGCTTGATCTTTATCAGTCTTCTCTTCTAGTAGTTTAGGGTTCAGCTGGCCCTCGTTTTTCTCATTCCTTGAGGTGCCACATAAAGTTTTTATAAAAGATTCTTATACTTTTTTGATGTAGGCATCTATTGCTATAAACTCCCTCTTAGAATAGCTTTTGCTGTATCCCATAGGTCTTGGTACATTATGTTTCCTTTTATTTGTCTCAAGGAATTTTTAAATTTTCTTTTTAATTTCTTTATTGATGCCCTGGTTTTGTAAAAACTTGTTTTTAGTTTTCACATATTCGTATATGTTCCATAGTTCCTCTTGGTATTCATTTCTAGTTTTTATTGCATTGTGGTAAGAGAAGATACTTGATAAGATTTTGATTTTTTTGATTGCTTGAGATATGTTTTGTGGACTAACATATATTCTATCGTGGAGAAAAGTTCCATGTGCTGTTGAGCAAAATGTACATTCAGTAGTTATTGAGGGGAATGTTTTATAAATATCTGCTGGGGCTATTTGGTCTAGAATGTAATTTAAATCTGATAATTCTTTGTTGATTTTCTATCTAGATGATCCATCCATTGCTGAAAGAGGGTGCTAAAGTCCTTTTTTATTTTATTTTAATTTTTCTCTCCCTTTAGATCTCATAATATTTGCTTTATATATTTACTTTATATATTGGGTGTTCTGGTGTTGTGTGCTCATATACTGACAACTGTCCTAACCTTCTGCTGAACTGATTTCCTTATCTTTCTTTATATAATGACCTTCTTTTCTCTTTTGACAGTTTTTTACTTAAAGCCTATTTTGTCTGATGTAAGTATTACTACCCCTGCTTTGTTTTGGTTTCCATTTTCACAGAATTTCATTTTCTCTTCTTTCACTTCAGTCTATGTGTGGCCTTATAGGTGAAGTGCCTATCTGGTAGGCAGCATGTTGCTGAATCTTGTTTTTTTTTTTTTTTAATTTAATCCATTCAGCCACGGCGTATGTTTTAATTGGGAATTTATTTCATTTACATTCAAAGTTATTATTGATAGGTAAGGACTTCTGCCATTTTGTTCATTATTTTCTGGTTGTTTTGTTTATCCTTTGTTCCTTTCTTCCTCTCTCATGTTTATCTCTGTGGCTTGATTAGGGTATTTGTTGTGTTAAGCTTTGATTCCTTTCTCTTTCTCATTTGTATATCTGTTGTAATTTTTTCTTTGTGATTAGTATTGGGGTTACATTAAAAATCTCTCATACTTATAATAGACTATTTTAAGCTGATAACAAGTTAACTTTCATTGCATACCAATACTCTAGACTTTCATTCTGCACCCAAATTTATAATTTTGTTGCTTTAATATACATCTTTATATATTGTTTATTCCTTAACAACTTATCATTGCTATAATCATTATTACAATTTTCACTTTTTGGCATCCCACAGAGCTGCATTTTTTTAATTATTATTATTTTTTAAATGGGGTCTCATTATGTTGCCCAGGTTGGACTCAAACCCCTGGGCTCAAATGAGCCTTCCATTTCAGCCTCCTAAATAACTGGGACTACAAGCACATGCCACAGCACCCAGCTGTTTTGGCCTTTAACCTTCATACTAGAGGTTTGAAACATTACATATCACCATTGCAGTAATGAAGCATTATGAATTTGATAATGCATTTATCTCCAGCAGTGAGATTTATACTTCATGTTTTTTTATGGTAGCAATTATCATGAAAACTTTTTTTTCCAATAGAAATACTCAAGCATTTCTTGTAAGTCTGGTCCAGTGGTAATGAGTTCCCTCAACTTTTGCTGATCTGGGAAAGACTATTTCTCCTTCATTTCTGAAGCAAAGATTTGCTGGTATAGTATTCTAGGCTAGCAGCTTTTTTTCTTCTAGTATTTTAAATATATCATCCCATTCTCTCCTGGCCTGCAAGGTTGCTGCTGGGAAATCTGCTAATAGTCCAATGGCAATTCCCTTATATGTGACTTGATGTTTTTCTCATGCTGCTTTTAGTATTTTTTTCTTTGTCTTTGACTTTTGACAGTTTGGTTATATGCCTCAGAGAGGACCTCTTTGAGTTGAATCTTTGTGGGATCCTTTGAACTTCATGGATCTGGATGTCCATATCTCCCCAAGACTTGGGAAGTTTTCAACTATTACTTTGTTAAATAAGCTTTCTTTGCCTTTCTTCATCTCTTCTTCTTAAGTTGCCAAAATGCAAACATTTGTTCACTTATGGTGTCCCATAAATGCCATAGGCTTCTTCATTCCTTTTTTTTTTCTTTACCTCTGACTGGACTATTTCAAAAGGCCTGTTTTCAAGTTCAAAAATTCTTCTGTTTGATCTATTTTGCTGTTGAAGCTCTCAATTGCGTTTTTTTATTTCATTCATTGAATTTCTTGGCCCCAAGATTTCTATTTTGTTCTTTTTTATGATATCTCTCTCTTTGTTGAATTTCTCATTCAGATCATGAACTGTTTTTCCCGATTGTTGAATGATCCGTTTGTGTTCTTTCATGTCTCACCAAGTTTCCTTAGGCTCACTATCTTGAATTCCTTTTCAGGCAATTCATAAATTTTTATTTTTTTATTGGGGTCAGTTACTAGAGAATTATTGTGTTTCTTTGGTGGTGTCATGTTCCCTTGCTTTTTTATGTTTCTTGTATCCCTGCACTGGCATCTGTGCATCTGATGGAATAATCACCTTTTCTAACTTGGTAGCATAACTTTCAGCGGAAAAGACTTACACCTGCAGATGTGTCCTAGCATGTTGGTTGGGTAAGGTACATTTGTTTTTGTTCTGGGTGGATGCAGTAGTGTAGTCTCCATGCAGCTTCTTTAGCTGTAGTTAATGTCAGTGGTGCCTGCAAGTACCTCAGTGGCCTTGGCTGCAGAAGTTTGTGTGGCTGGTATGCCCACTCAGCTGCTTGTCCCCTGAAGGCTGGGCACTTAGCTGGTCTGTTTTCTGAGGATCCATGGCTGGTAGGTTCTCCTTCGGTGCTTATCTCTTGGTGGCTGCATAGTGAGCTGGTCTGTGCTCTAGGGAAGTGCAGGGCTGGTTGTCCAGTAGCTCTGCTCAGTTGCTGCTCCTCTGGAGGCAAGGCACCAGACTGGTTCATACTCACTACCAGGTTACCAGGTTTTTTGTGTCCTACTATCCCTAGTTTCTTGGTAACTGTTCCTTCTCCATCTTCATTAACATTTCTGTCTGAAGGTAAATATTTGTATAATACAAAGACCTTTTCTTACCTGAATTAGCATCTGTCCTATTTTCCATGTATCATAATAGAGATTTACCCTCACAAATGGGAGTAGTTTCCAGATTGCCCATGTTATCACAGAAATAACCCAAATTATTTTATCTTCTGCCACACCACTGAGTCTGAATTTCTGTAAAGAGAAATTGAGATATGTCATGAGTTTACTTTCCTCTGTTGTCTAACTCCCATAGTCAACTGGAGCTCTCTGATGAGTATTGGCCTTGCAGCCAATCTTCAAAGCAGTATTTATCAGAAACACTTCCTATCTCCTCTTCACGGGATTAATCTGATCTATTTAGTGCTTAAAGCAATGTCCTCACCCAAGGTCAAAACCTCACCTAATATATGTACCTAACAGGCCAACAGGTAACTAGGCCTTAGATGTTGACTCTTTTTTGCCAACAAAAGTAGCAGACTCTATCCCTTCTTTCAAGACTATTTCCCTCCTCTGTTCTCTACTCCTTACAAAGCCTTTGTACTCCTGCTTGGCTTCTACTCTTAAAATGATTTCTTTCTTTGACCCACATCATTGCAGTCAGTCTTCAATAGGGAGTGGGCAGAAGGTGATCTTCAACTTCTCAGAGATCTTTCTTCTAACTACACAAAAAAACAACTTACCTCACAATCAAGACAACTAAGAAATGCTTCCTATGCATTTGGATTCTTGTGCATTTCAGTGCTATAAAGAAGCATTTCTTTGATAGGAAAGCTTGAGTAGCTTAAGTTATTGATGTTCTAGTCTGAGACTGGGTGCGTTTCATAGGTGCTCATTATATTAGAAATAAATAGAATAAAGGGATGAGTAAATAAATGAAAGATAAATAGAGGTTGGGAAGCAACTGCAACTTAAAAAAAAAATGTAGTGACCAATGATGACAGTTAGGAACCAAGGTTTATTTTAATACAAATATGTGTACCTGAAGGTCATTAAAAAGTTACTTCTATTCTTAGGAACTCAAATATACATAATTGGTTAAGAAATCTGTACATGTAGGTACTAAAAAAATATTTCCATGAATCGCTTAGTGACATAAAATTCATTTTTCACATACTGCCAAAATTATTTAGAATATTTAAAGTCTGAGATAGTGCCCAAAGGGGGTTAGGGGAGGACAAAATGATCAAACATACAATATAAAAACAATCTATAAAAGAGTCTAGAAGAGATCTCACAGGTTTAGAGAGAAGACCCCTCTTCTTCCTGAACAGACCCCGTAGGCCAGGGCCCAGCAGGCTTACCTATTGTCTGTGGTTTCTGTGCTGCAAACAGGAGCCTAAAACCTGCAAATAGGTTATAAACCTTTTCTTGACCCTCCACCAAGGTAGATAGGCAAGTGGAGCTTTAATAAAACAGAGTTTTTCCTTTTCTTCTTGCTGCTTGTGTAGCCTTGGAGCCGACCTATTCCAAAGGAGAAAATAATAAGCCTTAATTAAGGCTTTTGACATTTAACCACAAGACAACTGGCACTATGAGCTTGTTGCTCTCAACACCTAGAGCAGAGTTAAATCTCAGATCCTCATAGAAAACTCTGAGATAAACTATTTCAGCTGGCAAAAGCATTAAAAGACAAACAACTGACTTGTGTCCGTAATGTTAGAGTGACCTTTAGCAGAAAGCCTGGTGGATCTCTAGCACTGGTAAAAGTACTTTTGGCTATAGGGCATTATTAATGTTATTAACGCACTAATAGTACATAATATTATTAATGCCCTACAGCCAAAGACCAATGGAAACACACCTATAATTAAACAAGTTGAATCTGTTGTTCATTGCAGCTAGGGAAAATGCACACCATAGAGAACTGTGGGTATATCAGTAAAAAGGTGTCAGAAAGAACCTATTATAGGCTGTGGGCTTTGGTTGGATAGTTTTGGGAAGTGTCTGAAGAAGGGAGACTTTGTTTTGGATGACATACTGTCAAGAACCAGAAACAATTCTACAACTACGATCTCAATACATATACAAGGAGAGCTGACTAAAATAAGCATAAAGGCTGGGCGCGGTGGCTCACGCCTGTAATGCCAGCACTTTGGGAGGCCAAGGTGGGCAGATCACCTGAGGTCAGGAGTTTGAGACCAGCCTGACCAACATGGAGAAACCCCGTCTCTACTAAAAATACAAAATGAGCCGGGCATGGTGGCGCATGCCTGTAGTCCCAGCTACTCAGGAGGCTGAGGCAGGAGAATCGCTTGAACCCAGGAGGCTGAGGTTGTGGTGAGCTGAGATTGCACCATTGCACTCCAGCCTGGGCAACAAGAGTGAAACTCTGTCTCAAAAACAAACATAAATAAAATGAGAATAAAGCTGCGATTGGTTTCTAAAACGTGCAATTACTCATTTTAGATAACAGAAGGATGATCAGTATTTTGTGGGTTGCATGGTGATCGTGTATGTGCCTTACTTTATGACGGTCTCTGAGTGACCTTATCTGATGTTGATGTTTTCTGAAATTGTTTTTGTACAATGGGAGAACAATATGGCCTCGCTGTTAGCGCCAGACAAGTTTCTGGATGGCAGGAGCTGCTGCTTTTTTTTTTTTTTTCTCAGTTCAAAGGTTTAAAAAGGGAGAACCTTTGCTCTTCTTATAGAGATTGAAGTCTGCATTTCTCTTGATTGACCACAAGGGACAGACTGAAAAAAAAATAATAGCAGAAAGTATGCATGATGTACCTTGGGAAAGGATAGTTCCGTACAGATCCCCTAGACTTGGTGGAAGTCTTGGGGCAAACCAAAATGAAATTAAGACTACACGTCTCAATATATAGTGAAAAGCCTTGAGAAGGAATGATCTTGATGTCACAGGAACTTTGTAATTAGTCCACTGGGAAATAATTGTTTACATTTTCAAATAAGTAAATAAATAGACAATAATAGTCGCTGGTCCCATAGGAGTAGGGATTTAGACTCACTCTCTGTAGGAATTTTCTTATATAGTATTGACCTACTATGACCCTCAATTCCCATACACTATCCCCCGGCATATTGATATCTACAACCCTTGTGGGATTGTGAATGAAGACATTTATATTACACTGATGTAGGTGCAATTAAAGAAAATTGGATCTACTGAGCACCTGTCCAATGAACCTGATATTTCAAAGGCAGAAAGAGAAAAAGGACATCCACTCTCATTCTTGGGCTAACTCAGTTCCACTGGCTCCAAGACAACTGAAATCTTCAGGACAAAATCAAACTTTATGTCTGGTCTGGTGGTGGGAGAAACAGTTTATAAATGTAAGAATATCTCTTCTCACCCCCACCCCAGCCATGTTCCTTACTAGAGGAAGAAAGTTTCAGTACCTCTGGAGTGGCAGTGATGTGTTCCAAGACATCCTCTGTGATTGGAATATAACTGGCTCTTACCACGTATGTTTCACACACTTATGATCCAAACAGAAAAAAAAAATGTATGCCCAAGTATATTTTACAGATATGCCAAAAGCAGAATATGAAAACTTTTATAACTCTGAATTAGGGCTGGCCGCTTGTCAAGAGAAGCAACAAACTCCCCCATTGCTTCAAAGTTCCACTGTTTTCAATGAAGACGCAGGCAGGAACTTGCCCTTGGAGATAGGCCATGCTACAATTGGAATAAAAGTTATTATAAATGTACTAAAGAATGAAACTTAATGGGTGAGTGTTTCATAGATACTCTCAAGTTAGTAACCTTGCTTTTTACTTCCACTACAACACAATTTTAGTAATTACACTTGAGAGATTTAAAGTGAGGAGATATAATTATGACAGTACTTGTGTTATTCTGGGTCCTCCAAGAAGCAAAAGCCAAGACAGGATCAGATATGCGAGAGATTTATTAAAGGAAATGCCTGTGAGAGAAAATGTCGAGGGAGCCAGAGAAGGCCGGGAGAGCCACCATTAGACTGCAATGTAGGTTTAACCCTTGGGAAGGAGACAGCAAAGGAAAGACAGGCTTCCACTGAAGTACAGGTCTCAGAGAGTTTCTTTCAGGACCATGAGGAGTCCTTGAGCCAAACTCACCTATCGGGAGAGTCCCATGTCTTCCAGGAATGGGCCTGCCTGAGGATCCTCACTACATTTGATCACCAGCCTGGAGAAGCCCCTGGCAGCATGGCCTTGGCGCCAAGGATTCCAGAGCACACCAGCTGGGGCCATCTGGCAATTTCATACCCACCCCCTGCAGTTGGACATCTGAGAGGAACATTTTCATCACCACCATAGTACTCATTCTTAAGGCAGCTGTAGACACCTGTTCTGGATCATCTTAAATAGTGACTTAGTGAACTTCCCCAGTGACTCATACCAGTAAATGTCCATAGGTGGATTCATCCATCTCTGTTCCTAAATTAGAGTGTGGCTAATTCTTCCCAGATTCTTAAGGTCCTTAAAAGAAAGAATATATGGTACCACATTAAGTTAAGCTCATGACTGAAAATAATTTAAGAAGGAGGCCAGTGACTATTAATAGTAGCCCACAATTAGAAGGCATATGTATGAGTAACCCCTGCATCTGGCTTAGTGATAAACTGCAATTACTGCAGCAATTGCTCTCTATTTGACAAAAAATGGACTCATGTACCACTGGTAAAGATAATATTTCTGATTTGTGTTTGCCTCTTGTATATGCTGGACAATGAAGTATAATATTGTTTATGTATATTTATTACGTATAACCCAGAAAGAGTCTGTCATGGAAGCACAAGAAGTATGAGTTAGCCTGCCTGATTTAAGCTAATACAGATCTATCCTTGGAAATGGAGATGAATTCATTGTCCCCTGAATCTCATAAAGGAGAGGTGGATTATCTGATTTAAAAAAAAAATGGATTTGGTTAGAAAGGACAATAGGGGTAGTGTAGGGAATAGATGTTGAGGAGGCAACCACAGTGTTTACTAAATGGTGCTTTTAAAAAATCTTCCTCCACACTGTAGAATGGAATCCAAACTCCCTAGTATGGCAGCCAAAGTCCCTCTAAACCGAGCCCAAACTTCTCTTTAGAGCTAGCACTATGCAAGTTCTGCTAACAAGTTTCAGTCACTATGAACATTTTGTCTTTCTCAAATTAAGCCTTTCACATTCATATCTCTGTGCTTTGGAATCTTATACAGCCTCACATTGTAATACCTTCCCCTTTATCTCCCCGCAAATATACATTTTTCTAAGCTGAGTTTCTGTGTCACCTTCTGTGCACATTCTTCTCTAATCCTTTGATCAGAAATAATTGCTGCTTCTTTTATGTGCCCTTGCACCTGATTCGTAGCCAATTTTGGTATAGTTGTTTTCTTGTCTTTTTTCCTCTCTAGATTTACTGACCATAATAGCATTTCTATCTCCCAGAGTGCCTCACAGAATAAGTGTCCAGTAAGGATATGTTGACTTTCACTGAATGGCGTCTGTTTTCTCCCAAGTAAAAGGAAAGATCTGGGGCCTGCACCTTTGCATAAGCAGTAACCATTTCGAAGCTTATCCAACCCACCTTATTTTCGTTGTTGTTGTTGTTGTTCCGTTTTCTTTTATTTTAGGTTTCTAGCTGCCTGAACTCACGGTTTTTAGTTTCTGTCTCTAGTGAAAGGGGAAAAGAGGGATGAGGAAGGGGTTTTACTCGCCTAACCAAAAACAGAAACTAAGAACCCATGACTGTATTCTCTCTCGGACACCCTTTAGTCAGAACGTAAATGCTGGTTACCATCTTTAATCTTTTTTTTCTTCTTTTTTTTTTTTTTTTTTTTTTTAGGAACCGTTATGCCGTTCCTATGTTGTTAGGTTCCATTCCTCAGGCAGCTCCTGCTCCCAAATGGCAGGTACTTTCTGCTCTCTGACCCTGGAAAAATCACCTTTGTTTAAAGCCCCTTTCTTCTATTAGAGCAACACCAAAATACTCTCAGGAGTTAATTTAGAACAATAGTAGTACTTTACCATGAGGAGTGAGGTTGATGTAGGTGGAGACTGGTTAAAACCTAAGAGTACAAACACACAAAAGATACCGAGCCAGCTTTTTGTTGTTGTTGTTGAGACGGAGTCTCGCTCTGTCGCCCAGGCTGGAGGGCAGTGGCATGATCTCTGCTCACTGCAACATCCGCCTCCCGGGTTCAAGCAATTCTCCTGCCTCAGCCTCCCGAGTAGCTGGGATTACAGGCCTGTGCCACCACGCCCGGCTAATTTTTGTATTTTTAGGAGAGACGGGGTTTCTCCATGTTGGCCAGGCTGGTCTTGAACTCCTGACCTCAGGTGATCCACCCACCTCGGCCTCCCAAAGTGCTGGGATTACAGGAGTGAGCCCCCGCACCCGGGCCTGAATCAGCTTTTAACGTGGAACTTTACTGACCCACTTTCTTTGATGTCCATCTCCCACTTCAGCTCCCAAAGGTCAGTTGTTCCCTGATATGAAGCCTAAGAACTCAACGTACTTCACCGCACGTTGGATTTCTAGCCGGAATTATTCCAAATTCTGGCAAGTCTTATCCACAATTTCTTTTCTGTGTAAGTTTCTCCTTGCTCTTTATTTCTGAAACCTGAATGTATTTGGTCCTCTGCCAATCAGATTTCCACTAGTCCTCCGAAGAGTCAGTTATTAACTCACTAATTCGACAGATATTTTTGGACGTTCACTATATCCTTATTTATTTAGCATATATTTAGTTATTTATTAAGAAACTAAAGCCTATTCTATGTCAGAAATGAAAATAGGCAATGAGGACTCAATGGTGGGCAAAATGCAGACAGACTACTTTTTTCCCCTCATTCTAGCACAGTCATCACTTTCCTAGGTAAGACGTTCCTAAACTCCAGACTACACCAAATCCTCCTCCTGACCACACCCTTCCACCTTGATTTTCACCTTCTGACCTCTCTTGCGTAGAAATTCGAGCACCAGCCACTCTATAGCTTTAGCTTAATTTCTCCAGCCATGCACGGACGAATCTGTGTTAGTGATGCCACAGGCACGTTTCCCTCCCAGCAAGAATATAACTTGCTGGGCAGCATTTCTGTGGATACTTTGAGAGAAAAATGCCCTAGTTGAGCACCCCGCACCATGGCCATAAGCATCCACCGGGCTCGAAGTGCATGGCCCGCCGCTGACCACTAGGGGGCAGCCCTCCACGCAGAGGCTCGAGCGACGGAGGCGACGCGGCGGCTACCGGCTCTGCTGAGCCCACCCCAAGATCGGAGGGAAGGGAGCCTGATTCCACGCGGGGCCTCCCCCGTGGCATACGTTGTTGTTAGGGAACTATTCGCCCCAAATATGGTTTATTGGAGACTTAGGGTTTGCTTTTCTTATCAAGTGCGACAGCAAACTGGCTGGGTCCCCTCTCGCATCCAAGAACCCGCAGAGACCCTGAGGGAGCCGGTTTGGGGCCCCATGCAGGCCAAAGCATCCCTCCGGGAAGGCGGGGTCGCTCACCTGGTAGGCGCCCCGAGAGCCCGCAGCACGGCCCGAGGTGGGGTCCACCGATGGAACGGGAGACCACGGGCGTGGCTCAGGGAGCGGTAGCCGCGCCCCGGGCCCGCCTCAGGGTCGGCTCCGCCTCACCCCAGCCTGTGCCCCGCCTCCGGGACAGCCCAGTTTCCGAGACCTCCTAGCCTCCAAGACAGCCCCGCCGCCAGAACAGCCTCTCCTCCAGGACCGGCCAGCCTACGAGAGAGCCCCGCCTACGGTACAACCCGCCTCCGGGACCGCAGGACTCCACCTCCGAGACAGCTCAGTCCCCAGGACAGTCCCGCCTCCGAGACGGCCCCGCCTCCAGGACGGCCCCTACCTCCGAGACCGCCCCGCCTCCGGGACCGCCCCGCCCCGCCTCGCCTCCGACACGTCCCCGGGCGCCACTGCAGAGCCTGTCCGTCAGTCCCTAGGTATCCGCACTGCTCAGGGGTGAGTTTTCCAATCCCAGCGGGTCCTGGGGTGGGGGCGGTAGCTGAGCACCTAGGGCACTGGGGGTCGCCGCAAAGTGCTGGAGGCCCCAGACCATACCCGGCGTCAGGGGGTGTCCCTCCCTTCTTAGGTCTAGGTCTTTGGTTTCATTTCGTTTTGTTAGTCTGGTGCTATTTGCAGTTTGTCTCAAAACACGTTTCTCCCTCCTATTTGAACTTGTAAATTACGAATTTGACAAAGATGTGCATGGTGTGTGCGTGCACGAGGGCACATTTCGTTGCGGAATGCTGGGTCAGCTTTCCGGGACATATTACTCATCTGAGGTTTTTTGTCTGTTTTTGTTTATCCTGTCAAACTGGTACTGCCCCAGAAGTGAAAGACGTCGCTTGTCTTCTGGGAGGTAGCTAGCACGATCTTGAGCTCAGGCTTCCGGATCTCTCTCGGCTGCTTTTTTCCACTGGTAACTTCTGAGGCTGAGATCAGGTATCCGCATTCTCAATGCTCTGCCGAGTATTGGCTCTCTTTTGTGAATTTCTTTCCCGCGAGCAGTATTAAGAAAAAGGTGGCGGATAGGAAGGGAAGAGGGGAAGAGATGGAATTCTACAGGAAATGCAGGGCATGCTCAGAATGCCAACCTTTCCGAGCTTGGAGAGATTTAGTGGAAGAAAGTAGCAGGAAAAACGTCCAGTAATCACTGGCATGCCAGACCCTGGAGAAGCCAGGCTGAGGCGCTCTGCAAGTTTCACCTTAGAGAGAGTGGACGAAATGTAACGGTTCTTGTTAGAGTTCTTGTAGAGGACGATTGTGGATGAGAATACATCCTGGGGACTAAAACCATATTGGTTTAGTCTGGAATGATTGCCAACTAAAGGGACTGATGTTTGAGAGAGATGGTGAGAGATTAACCAAATGAGGTGGTTGACTGCATATAGAAGCAGGAGGGAGAGAGGAAGGAGGCACTTGTGGCTCAAGGGCTTGGTGTGTGTTTTAGTTTAGATTCTGCCCTAAAGCAAAGCCTTATGCAAGGGCTTACCTGCAGGTAATTTTTTGGGGGTAAGTGAGACCAAAAAGCCCAAATGAGGAAGTGGAGAGAATGAGACAAGGAAAAAAGGGAAAGCCAGGAGGAGCATGTGGCTGAGGGTCTTCCACATGGCGCTCCTTTCCTCCGGGTGCCTTCCGAGGACCTCTGATGGGCACCTCGGGAAAGCCACGGGGCACTCTTCTGTGAATCCCCGCTCTACTGGGCGAAGCTCACCCTAGTGTCAACTCACCGCTACTTCAGGGCTGCCTTGTGCACCTGCAGAGGTGAGAAGCCATCAGAGCACAGAGGAAAGTCCCTTACAGTGGGCTCGTCAGAGACGCGCAAAGGGAGGCGGCACAGGCAGCCAGGGGACTACTGCACTACTGCAATCTGCAACGCTGCCCTCGGCAACCCGGGAAACTTAAAAGGACAGCAAAGGGACAGACACTCTCGTTTATTCCGTGCTCACTGTATGTGTACCAACCCCAGACAAGGCATTTTTAGACATATTCTTTGCTTTATTTTATTTTACTTTACTTTATTTTATTTTATTTTATTTTATTTTATTTTATTTTATTTTATTTTATTTTATTTTTTGAGGCAGAGTCTTGTTCTCTCGCACAGGCTAGAGTCCACTGGTGCGATATCGGCTCACTGCAACCTCCGCCCCCCACCGTCAGGGTTCAAGAAATTCTCATGACTCAGCCTCCCCAAGTGGCTGGGATTACAGGTGCACGCCACCATGCCCAGCTATTTTTTGTAGATTTAGTAGAGACAGGTTTCGCCATGTTGGCCAGGCTGGTCTCAAACTCCTGAGCTCAGGTGATCCACCGGCCTCGGCCTCCTAAAGTGCTGGGATTACAGACATAAGCCACTGCGCCTGGCCTATCCATATTCCTTTAATCTTCAAAAACAATCTTCCCATGGCTGTATTATTCTCTTTTTGTAGATGGGGAAACTGAGACTGAAGTCATTTATCCAAGAGGGGCTGCTTAAAGGGACAAATAGTCTCAGTGTTAGGCACAGCCAATTTTAAAAGACCTCCGGAAACTGCATAATGCTACCAAATAGAGGAGGGTCCTCTCCATTAGGGCAGATTTGATAAATTAGGGGGCACTTTCCAACTTAGCAAAGCTGTCAGAAGAAAGGCATGTTTTGACAGGTCTATGACCTTTCTGTTCAAAAAAATCAAGCACTGTGTCCACTCAGGCACACGAACTTAACTATCACCTTGATTTACTGGCCCTGCAGGATCTAGCCCGTCCCTCCCTCCTCCTGGGGTCCTGCTCCTCCCTGCTCCTGGCTCTCAGCCACCCCAAAGTGGTCTCGTTGCTGGAATGCCCTTTGCTCACTGCATTTCAGGTTTCAGCTTCAATGCCACTTTGTCAGAGTCCTTTCCTATCACCCAATCTAAAGTAGTCTTCCAGTTCCTCCATGTCACATCATTGTGTTTTATTTTCATCATAGTGATTGTTGCATTTTATTTATCTGTTTATCTACCTATTTATTCATTATCTTTCTCCTTCTAAAATATTCAAATCACGAAAAGGGAAACCTTATCTGTTTTGTTTCTTGCTGTACTCCCAGTGCTAGAACAGTGCTTGGCCCACAATGGGGAATCCAGTAAAATTTGGAGGTGAATGCATTTAGTTGTTTGCTTTTTTCACCTGTTCCTTCATCTGTTCTGACCAGCAGTGCTTATCAGTATCTCTTAAATACATGAAAGTCTTTGCTTCCCCCTGCAGCAGCTGATAGAACCATGGCGACCATTGCTGCTGCTGCGTTTGAGGCCCTCATGGATGGAGTGACATGCTGGGATGTCCCCAGAGGCCCCATCCCCAGTGAACTCCTTCTTATTGGAGAAGCCGCCTTCCCCGTGATGGTGAATGACAAGGGCCAGGTGCTCATTGCTGCCTCCTCCTACGGCCGAGGCCGCCTCGTGGTTGTGTCCCATGAGGGCTACCTGTCGCATGCTGGCTTGGCTCCATTTCTCCTCAATGCAGTGAGCTGGCTCTGTCCCTGTCCTGGGGCTCCCGTGGGAGTGCATCCATCCCTGGCACCTCTAGTAAACATCCTACAGGATGCTGGGCTTGAGGCACAGGTCAAGCCAGAACCAGGAGAGCCCCTAGGGGTTTACTGTATCAATGCCTACAATGACACCTTGACTGCAACGCTGATCCAGTTTGTGAAACATGGAGGGGGCTTGTTAATCGGGGGCCAGGCCTGGTACTGGGCCAGCCAGCACGGCCCTGACAAGGTGCTCTCCAGGTTCCCTGGGAACAAGGTGACAAGTGTAGCCGGAGTGTACTTCACTGACACCTATGGGGACAGAGACCGGTTCAAGGTCTCTAAGAAGGTGCCCAAGATCCCACTCCATGTCAGGTGAGTGTTTGTTCCCCTCTTAGGGAGTCTGACTCAGGATAAACAATAGAGTTGGTTCCCCTCTTCAACAAGCTTCCATTGCAATACAGGTGATTTTCCACTCAGTTTGGAACCACCACAAATCAAAAGCAGGATGATTAAAATGCACCAAGACACAAGAGAGGCTGGGCCCTCACTGCCACTCCCTCCTGTGGCCAAAGCTGAATAGAAAAGCTTGTCTTACCACTTTATCTCCATGTCTAGTAAATAGAACCTAGAGAGTGCTCATCAGTACCTCTTAAATGCATGAAAGAATATTTGTTTGTTTGCGTGAGCACCGATTGTTGATCATGCTGCATTCTGGACAATGGGGGTCTAGCAGAGATCGAGGCAGGCAAGTCATGCCATCATGAGGTTTGTATTCCAGGGGAGAGATAGGTATTAAGGAAACTAATATATATGTGCTCTATCAGGTATTGCTAAGATCCATGAAAGATGATAATATAAGTGGATAGCATGACAACAGGAAGGCTGATGGAGGCTATTTTATTTAAGACGTTCAGGGAAGTCCTATCAGTCAGACCAAGTTGGATTGGTCAGGATTTGTTGGCGTTGCTAGCAGAAGGGATTTAGTATGGGGAATTGACTATACCCATGATAGAGGAGCTGAAAATACACACAGGGGACAGCAAGTAACCCAGAGATCAGCAACAGCAGAACCAGCAGAGGGAGATGGTGGTATTACTGAAGTCCAGGTGCTGCGGCCACCTGGTAGAAGCTGGAGCCATGCTATGCCTTCCCAGCAGGAGCTGGAACCACAGATGAAAGGTCTGTCTGCTAGAAGCTGGAGTCTCAGAGAAGACACTGTGGTTACCAGAAATACAGCCTGAAGAGAGAAGCAAACACTTAAACTCCTTCCTTCTTCCTTCCTGATTTCAGTCTTCTACCTCTCTCTCCCATGGGCTGAACCCACCAGGATCCAGGGAACAGGAGAACCAAAGAAATGCAGTTTTCTGCAACACGGAGGATGACCAAGATGAAAGGGGAATAGAGATGAGTGCAAACAAGCTCATGGCCGGCTTGGAAGGCTGGTCTGGTAGGTAGCACTTGAAAGGAGACCTCAAGGAAGTGAGGGAATGAGCCATGTGGGCATCTGTGAGAGGAAGATTCCAGGCAGAGTGAGGAGTGAGGGTGAGAAAACCTGGAAGGGAAGCCTGCTTAGTATGTTCCAAGGGAAAGGGAGTGGCCCTTCTATAAGGTCGGAAGGCTCTGCAAAGCTCCAGGGGAGAATAGCTGAAGGCAGCTGTTCTGTGACCCTGAGGCAGAGGGCAAGGAGTAGGTACAAGGGAGTGTAGGAGAATTTGTCTTGATCAAGCCTGTTTGTTTGAAGTTGTCCAGGAGCTGACATTTGAACATCCGCACACATGATGTTCTCTGAATGAGGAACAATAAATGTTAGTCATTTACAGATTGTGTAGGCTCCAGGCTTTCGGCATTATGCCTGCAGTAAATAAAAGCAAGCAGCTTCAGCTTCTCGGGGCTGCTCTCTGGCCACTACAGCCAGGCAGTCACCTAGCTGTTCTTACACTGCATACTTGTGTCTGAGTACTCATTTCATCCATTGGCCAGGGACACACCTGGCAATCAGGGAAGCCAGAATGATGGGAACTCAGTGAATGATAGCTCAGGTCATGTAAGAACTGACAGGCCAGGAGTAGAACTTTAGACCTTATTTGCAGTGAGATGGGAAGACATTTTGTATTCTCTACAGAAGATTGCTATGATGTGACTTAAATTTCAAAAGGAACCCTCTGATTGATGGTGGAGAACAGACTGTGGGAGGCAAAGATTGAAGCAGCAGACCAATCGGGAGGCCACTGAAGTAGACCACAGGAGAGATGGTGGTGGCCCAGACAAGACTGATAGAAGCTGTGGAGCTACTGAGAACAGGTTCCATTCTGGACACACCTCAAAGGGAGAACCCAACAGGCTTGGCTGATGGAGTGAGTAAGGAAAAAGAGGAGTTGAGATTTTTGGTCTGAAAAAGACCAAAAATTAAACACAGGTGCTGCTGTTTAGTGATCTGTGAAAGGACAATGAGAAGATGGATTAGAGGAGATCAGGAGTCTCATTTTGGATGTTTTAGGTTTCAGATATTAGTGACTACTTACTTATGTTTGGCCACATGTAGCAGAAGCCTTAGTATAGCAGATTAACCATGTAGCAGTTTATTTTTTCTATGAAACATGAAGTACAGGTAGGTAGTCCAGCTCTGGGGCAGTGACTCTATGATGTCCCATGGTCAGTCTCTGTCTCCCTGTCACTGCCTGACCCTGTCATGGTGTGTTATTTTATCCTTATGGCTACAAGTTTGCCACTACTACTCCAGGCACCATAATTACACCCATGCAATAATAAATTGGAATGGATACACCTACTTTTAGTTTATAAAACCATGTATTTCCTGGAAGCCCTAGACTTCTATTTATATTTTAACGGCCAGCCTAGTTAAATCAGTAGTCCCTAGCCTTTTGGTACCAGGACCTGTTTTGTAGAAGACAATTTTTCCATGGACCTGGCAGGAGTTTCAAGATAATTCAAGTGCATTACATTTATTATGCACTTTATTTCTATCATTAGTACATTTTAATATATAATGAAATAATTATACAACCCACCATAATGTAGAATCAGTGGGAGGCCTGACTTCCAGACCTAACTACCAGGAGATCTGAAGGGCTGGCTATTTTTAAATGGGCACTGGCGTCTCTGAAGAAATCAAGATGCTGTACAAAGAAGAAGGGGCATACAGATACTAGTGAGCAGCTGGCAGTGCCCTGAACCCTCAGCCCCAAGCTCTGGACCTCTTTGAATTCCTTCCCTTCTGAGAGATTTGGGGAGGGGATGGGTTTACTCAGAGACATTGGAGTGGATCTGATTCGCTTCAACTTTTTTATTCTAATGCGAAGGGACAAGCAGGTGAAATCTCATCACTATAATGCCTCTTAATTGCCCCAAGGGATTCTCCTCTCTAGCTAACTCAACCTGTTTTTCTTCATCTATATCTACATTTTTAATCCCTGCCACCGATTCTAAGGTATATTTTGTGTGTTTGTTATTTTAATTCTTAATTACTGAAAATATTAAACATATGCAAAAGTAGACAGAATAGTACAATGAACCCCCATGTAGCCATTCCCCAGTCCCCAAAATAGTCAACTCCAGGTCTGTCCTATTTCACCTGTAGCCCCACTCTTCCCCACCCAAGATTATTTTGAAGCAAACAGCAGACATCATGTCTTTTCATCTGTAAGTATTTAAATATATATCTCTAAAGGTATGAAGTCTTTTAAAAACATAACTGCAAGTCATCATTATCACACCTAAAAGAATAATTCCTTAGTGTCATCACTTATTTCCATGATTGTCTTATTTTTCAAAATGTGTTAACATTGGGCCAGGCATGGTGGGTCATGCCTGTAATCCCAGTCCTTTTTGGGAGGCCAAGGCAGGTGGATCACTTGAGGTCAGGAGTTTGAGACCAGACTGGCCAACGTGGCAACACTCTACTAAAAATAAAAAAATTGGCCGGGTGTGGTGGTACGCACCAGCAGTCCTAGCTTTTTGGGAGGCTGAGGTAGGAGAATCACATGAACCCGGGAGGTGGAGGTTGCAGTGAGCCGAGACCACGCCATTGCACACCAACCTGGGCAACAGACTGAGACTCTGTCTCAAAAAAAAAAAAAAAAAAAGTGTTAACACTGAAATTTAAATAAAACCCAAATATTTTGATTTCTTGATACAAATTTTATATCTCTTTTAAGATACGCGTTTCCTTTCCAACTTTCTATTTCTTGCAGTTTTGTTGCTGTTGTTGAAGACACCAGCTACTCTTTGTTGAACAGTTTACTTCAGTCTGGACTTTGAAAGTAGACCTCAAGGAAGTCAGGGAATGAGCCATGTGTGCATCTGTGGGAGGAGGATTCCAGGCACAGTGAAGCGCAATGGTGAAAACCTGGAAAGGCAAATTGATTGCCTTCCTGTGGTATCATTTAATATGGGGGTACCAGTCCATGGCCTGTTAGGAACCAGAACACACAGCAGGATGTGAGCAGCGGGTGAGCAAATAAAGCTTCATCTGTATTTACAGCCACTCCCCATCACTTGCGTTACCACCTAAGCTCCGCCTCCTGTTAGATCAGTGGCAGCATTAGAGTCTCATAGGGGCACGAACCCTATTGCAAACTGCTCATGCAAAGGGTCTAGGTAGTGTGCTCCTTATGAGAATCTAATGCCTGATGATCTGTCACTGTCTCCCATCACCTTCAGGTGGGGCTATCTAGTTGCAGGAAAGCAAGCTCAGGGCTCCCACTGATTCTACATTATGGTGGGTTGTATAATTAGTTCATTATATGTTACAATGTACTAATAATAGAAATAAAGTGTGCCATAAATGTAATGCACTTGAATTATCCTGAAACCCCTGCCAGGTCCATGGAAAAATTGTCTTCTATAAACAGGTCCCTGGTACCAAAAGGTTAGGGACCACTGATTTAACATATTCATCTTTTGCTTGTATTTTCTGTATAATACAAATTAAAAGTTAGATCTCGATTTTAGGTCAGGATTGACAAACTGAGGCCAGCCCCTGTTTTTGTGAATGAAGTTTTGTTGGAGCACAGCCATGCCCATTCATTCACAAACTGTGGCTGCTTTCAAGCTACAGTGTCTGCCATTGTTGAATAGTTTCAGCAGAGACCATATGGCCCATATTTGTCTAAAATATTTGTCGGACCTTTTAAGGAAAACTTTCTCAGCTCCTGATCTAGAGGTTTGATCAGATTCATGTTTGAATTTTTGACCTATTTTATAGGTGGTAGTATGCACTTCTACTGGGTAGAGCACAATGGTCTGATTTTCTCTCTTACTGTGAGGTTGGCAGTCCTTAATAACCGTTGCTTAGCCCTAGACCCATTAATTTGTGTTTATAAAATGATGGCTTTAAAATTTTAATATTCCTTTTATTTGTTATTTGGAATAGTTTTATAAAACACACTTTCCTTCACCAATTACATACTCTATGGTATAATTTATATAGAAAAGGCAAAATAAATATTTAATTCTCTCTTTCTCATTTTAAAACCAGTTTCCAATATTGAGTTGTTTCCCTAGCATCTTCCAGAGGTCACCAATGTGTTTAAATTTTTCTTAGAATTATTATGAAATCATGATTGGAAACACAATGTGTTTCATTTATTATCCTTATTGATGTTGAAATTGTCCTGTTTGGCCATTGGGAGCCAATTCAAGATGATTCCTGAATCTTTTCCACCCAACCTTAATGGGCTTCCTGGTTTTTTAATATAACAGGAGGTTTCAATTTCATCTCATGTATTTCCTGCTCAGGCCCAGAACTGCCATTTCTCCAAAAAGCCCTATTTTTTTCTTCCTTCTTTTTTTAACGTACAGCCCATATTTCTGGGAGTCCTAATTTGCATTTAGAAACTCCAGTCCGGGTGTTAGAGTTGTGCATTGTTTGATCTTTGTTTCTAGGCCTTCTAAATAGGCACAGCTAAGAAATAGATATTTTTGGTTTATATTTTGATACTTCGGATCAGATTTGGGGCTACAGGGTTTTAATTTGATTTCAACAATCTTACCTCTGTATCTCCTATCTCTCATGATGAAAAATTCCGGTTCTATAAGACACCAATGTAACGACTCATTTGCTCTATCCCAAGATATACAAACAACAGTTGCAAAATATGAATAATAGCACTACTACCAGCAATATGATGATTATTGTAACAAAGATTACTTGCAGTTCTTTTTGTCCCAATGATATATTTTATTATATACATATATAAAGTCAAAATACTATCTTTAAAGTCACTTCCAATACTTCCGCTCTTTGTGGTTATACCGCTAAACAGATGTACATGTCAATTCATTGGTTATTTTATTTTTTAGTTTTGGAATTGCTTGTGTAATTTAATTTTGTTTAAAATTATGTAAAATAGTAATCTGGGTCCAAAGTAAGATCTTAAGAAACCTATATTCTGTCCCTGTTTCCTTCAAACAATTCCCTTCTTCCTTCTGTGCATTTTTTGTGGTTTAATTCTCCACAAACACACACATATTAGTAGTCTTCTCTTCACTGGATAAGGCAATAACATACTCTATACATTTTTTCCTCCTTACTTTTTTTCACTTAACATTATTTCCTGGATATGGCCTGATAGTAATGTATAGAGATACACTGTATACTCTATTATACCATGGTGTATGGATATGATATTGTTTATTCAATAAGTCCCTTATTGACAGGCACTTGAGTTTCCAGTATGTGTTATTTTTCTGGTACTTCTACTGTTACACATGTGCTGCAATGAATACCTTTGTGCACGTATCCTTATATTTCGCGCTATCACTGGAAATGGGATTTCTGAGTCATGGGGGAAATTCATATGTAATTTCGCTAGGCACTGCTAAGTCCCCCTTGTTGCAGCTTGGGTTACTGGGAATCTGACTCAGAGATAGAGATACATGTGTGGGAGGTTTGTGAGGGCATGCTCCCAGGATCAGCATCTGTGGAAAGGTGAAGGAAGAAGCACTGGAGACAGGGAGAAGCCGGGCTATGAGGCAAATATTTTTTAGCAATATTTTCACTGTTAAGTGGAACACTGGAAGAAACGTGTCTGTAATAGAAGATTGCTTAAATAAGGTATAGCATATCCTAGAGTGATTGAGTGAGTAATTTTGCAATCATTAAAAATTCTATGTTCAAAGACTTCTTAAAGGAAATGAAAAATATTCATGATAAAATAGACAAAATTAAGATATAAAGCTCTGCATTAAAATGATGCTAAATTCATTAAAACAATATATGTATAGCCAGGAAAATAAAACATTAGAAGAAAATATAATAAAATATTAGTAATGTGTCTCTGGGGCTAAGTTGGTAATTGGTTTCATCTTCAAATATTTTTGTCCTTTCCGAATACTCTATAATTATAAATTGACAAAAAAGACATTTTTAATATTACCTCTTTGCCTTTTCAGAACCCTTAAAAAATAAAAAACCTCTCCCCAGATCACATTAAGATATCTTTCTTTGACCTGATATCATTTATAGTTTTCATTGATTCACCAACAAAAAGGAGAAAGGAACAAATTTTCTTAACATATCAGTTTTTTTCCCTCTTTCTAGTATCTTGTATCCATGTTTTAATTTATCTAAAATATGTGAGTGCCTGTTCTAGACACTATTCTAGGCACTGGAATTCCCACAGCGTTTAAGTCCATATTTTAGGACTAAGAGAAGCGTAGTGAAAGTTCAGCTAATACTGTATAAAAATAAATTCCCACATTGTTAGTTTTGATTAATTAAAACATTTATTGAGAAAACAATGACACTAAAGTATTTGAATATTTGTAATTTCTGTAATGTCCTCAACCAAAATGTTTATGCTTACATATCTTCTATCTTTGCATATCTTTACAAATCAATACATCATTTTTGCTAGCTATGATTACATGCTGCTATTTTGTATTCTCCTTAAAAATATTTTCCCATTTTTATATATGATATTTTTAATGATAATTTTTAATCATAAGTTCTGTAATTTGTTTTAACTATTTCCTCTTTGTTGCATACTCAGATATTTTCTAGTTGAGTATCGGGGGGTTGGCGATAACATATATTATCCATACACATCTTTAAAGTATTTTAGAACTGTCCCTCAATGTAAAGACCACAACATGTAACATTAGATTTCTTGTTTTATAAAATATCAAGATATTTGTTCCTATTCTGCACTTTCTTTCAGCTCTTGAAAATCCAATTTATTCTTCTTAATTAGTTTCAACTCAAACACCCTCCTCAGAGCAGTCTTCCCCAGTGGCCATACTGAAATTTGGACTGTCCATCCAGTTTCACTTCATCACATTTCTCCATTTATTCCTTAAACATTATCACTCTCTATAACTATCTCCACTGTTTCTTGCTAGGGCCTGTCTAACCAACCAGAATATAGAGCTCCATGATCTTGCCTGTTGCGTTTACTGCTTTATTCTCAGTGCCTGGAGTACTTAACATTAGAGATCAACAAATATTTGTAAACTATATAAATTAATGAAAAAATATGAATGAATACACATCCAAAACCATAACAAGAGAAAAGACAGCCTCATATACTACTGTTAATCCTGCAGACAACTTCCTACTATGGAATATAGGGCTGGGGGTTGCGCCAGAGCCTTCCAGCCTCAGCCAACAATAGAGCCAGAGGGAACCAACTCCTTGAGAGTCTCAGAAGGTCAGAGTCTGAGTCTCTGGCTCAGATTCCTCCCGCCTTCAGAGCAAGTCCCATTAGAGGTTTTCAGTGAACATTCCTGCCACAAATATTGGTCAAAGGCGCTTGGACTGACCCAGCAGGTTCCTTAACTTTAAATCTCGGCTGGAAGGCCCTGGAGCTTCTTAAGAGAATTGATTGCTGGCCTGCCCCAACTCTGCCTGCCAAGGAGTGGGGCAGTCTCTAAACACCAACAAAAGCTCCTCTCACATCCTATCCCCAAGGGCACACCTATGTTTATATAACAGGAGTATACTGCAGTTGCTTTAATATTTAAAAGCAAATCCAAAGGCACTTGCTACCTTTATACCATGACAGAAGAGTCTGGAAGAAAAGTTAACCTCAGATACTAAGCAGCCACCCATTACACTTACACACGGTATAATCTACAAGCTCTAAAATATGTTAGCAGCTGCCCATATAAAAGTAAATATGTAACTGGGCATGCTGATGCACAGGTACTCACATACTCGAGAGGCTGAGGTAGGAGGCTCTCTTGAGGCTGGGAATCCAAGGCTGCAGTGTTCTGTAATTGCACCTGCAAATACGCATTGCACTCCAGCCTGAGCAACATAGTGAGAACCTGTCACTATTTGGTAAGTAAAAATTGTAAATATGTACTAGTGGCTTAGGTTTATGACTGTCTTGAGAATTATTTATTTTCTCTGTCCTCAACACAGTCCTGTAGAGTAGGAAAGTCTTTGTCCAAGGAGTTCCAAGTTACAAGCACCACATACCTTTGTGTATGTATCATTATATTTTGCCATATCACTGGAAATGGGATTTCTGAGTCACGGAGGAAATTCATACGTAATTTTGCTAGGCGCTGCTAAATTCCACTTGTTTCAGCTTGGGTTCCTGGGAATCTGACTCAGAGACAGAGATAATTGTGTGGAAGGTTTATGAGGTTTATATTCAAGATCCATGAATGTAGTTTCCAGGTAAAAGCTGAAATGAGACTAGATCCCAGAATTGCTCTCTCCACCAAATCTGACAAAATGAATGAAAAATAATTAATAAATGGCTGGATGTGGAAGGTTTTTATGATGATGACATACATTGCTATGCACTGGCCAAGGAGAACAGGTGATTGATGGGTGGCCCAGGATGGAGTATCTCCTAACACCAGTCAACCTTCCATGTACAATGGAAAGAAAATATTCAAAATCACAAATTCAATAGTTATCATTAATGCTTTCTAATACATAGAAAAGTGAACAAATTGGGTGGATAGACAAGAAAAAAAGCTTTCAAGTGTAAACTCCCCATGTGAGTTCCATCTGTGGTTTGGTGGAAGTGGGCCTAGCTTATTAGGTCCCCTAAGACGGAGAAACCAGGCCTAATCAAAAATCAAAAATCTGAAATTCTCCAAAATTCAAAACTTTTTGAGCACCACCAACATAATGCCAGAAGTGGAAAATCCCACTTTGGGGACACCTTTGCTTTCTGATGGTTCAATGTACACAAACTTTTTTCATGCACAAACTTATTTAAAATATTGTATAAATTACCTTTAGGCTCTGTGTAAAGGTGTATAGGAAACATAAATGAATTTTGTGTTTAGAGTTGGGTCCCAACACCAAGGTATCTCCTTATGTGTATGCAAATATTCCATAACCTGAAAAAAATCAAAATCTGAAACACTATTGGTTGGTCCCAAGCATTTTCCATAAGGGCTGCTCAACCTGTATTATCTCCTTCAATTCTAACAATAATCTTCCAATAATATCAGAAATATAGTTTATTAAGCCAGGAGAAAGAGTAAACATTATGACATTGTTAGGAATGTTTGTGTGTTTAAGCAGGATTTTGGTCTGACATAGAAATATGAATATATCTGTGCTCACAGGTGAGTAGCATCTGTATTCTGACTATTCCAAATGAGTAATTTTTGTACCTGCAATTTGTTACAAAAGTGAGTTTTCCAAATTATTTTCTTAAATCTGACAGGTTAAATAGTTTAAATAAAATTGTGTGTCTAATAGGCATGATTGAGATCTAAAGAGATTTTACCCTGTATTTACCAGCTTAAAATAAAAGAAAAAAAATACATTTACAATTTCAAGGCACCTCTCTGATTATCAATGCCCATATTGTTCAGTGATGATGGAGACAGTTTTTAAAGTTTTCTTATTTACTATGATTTATCTGTATTTAAGAAATTAAAAATACAAAAAAAAAAAGATACTCAAGTGTTGGGGGCTGCAGGTCTTCAAAATGTTTTTTACAGCATCTGATCAACATAGTTCTCTCTAGTCCTTTTTTTGATGTTATAGATCCTAAGAAAACATCGTTTCTAGATTCTAGTATTTCTGTCCTGTTTATATTTATCAGAGAGTGAAATAAATCCAGAAGAGTATTTTTACATTCTATACAATCTCAACAGAAAAACAAAACAAGCTAAGTGAAGATGTATTTGATTACTACCAGTAGACTTCATTACTTTTATTTTCAAGAAAAAATATATAAATTGTTAGATGTTTTACCTTCAATATGGTGAAAATGACAGCAGCGCACTTCACACTTACCTTTTTATTTAGTGCTGTACCTTCCTAATTTGGCAGTTTTTTAATTGGCATTCAGAAACCTATCGCCCATGTTACCTGTCTGCTCAGATGTGGTTTGCGAACATTTCCTAACCATACCATCCCATCCCTTTCCTTTAGTCCTCAGTGGCTTCCCCTGCACTTCCAGCTCTGAAGTAACACATGCTTTTCCTTTCTTAAACACAGTATTGTTCGCACCTTTGCATCCTGTAAAGCTTCCTTTGCACAAGATATACCTGTCGAAAACCATGTACCCAGATGTAGGTTCCGTCAAAGACTCAGTAATTGAGTGAGAGAGTTCTGGTGTGTAGACAACGGTGGCTTTGGAAGCAAGCCAGCCTGGGTTTAGTAAAAATTAAAGAAATAGGAAAGAAATACAAAAGGTGGCTTGACAGTCACAGACAGGTTTAATTTAGAGAAAATAAACATGGGAGGGGCATCTGGCCGAGTTAGGTCAGAGGCATACTCCCTTACAGACTAAGAGTTTTTAAGGATTCAAGGTGGGAGAGTTTATCAGAGGCCTCGACTGCTTCTGTGTCTCTTTGTTGTGCTTATCTGAGAGGGAGAGTTGTATCTCTGTTCCCATATATCTTTCTGCAGCTGCAGGCATACCCCACTTTTAGCTTCCTATCTTTTAACTTCCCTAACTTAGTGCACCCAAAGGGAAAGGAATGTTCTTATTAAGGCCCACTGTTTAACTGGGGCCCATTGTATGAGGATGAAGTTTGGCAGTTACCCAAGAGACTTTGCTCCCTCCTCCCTCTGTGCCCGAGCTGTCTCATCTGTGTTTTACCGTTCTGCTCTTTCCGGCTGCTTGTAGTTAGAAGAGAAGTGATTTCCTGGAAATGCATGGGGCTAGAAAGGGAGCTGAAACATAAATTAGCGGTGTTTATCCAAGATGACGATGCTCCTGCTTTGTCAGGTTTGCTTCCTGTCCCTGCCAGTTATTAGCTAGGAAACGTGGGGAAAATTGCTTAGCTTTTCCAAACTCCATCTTTAAAGTGAGAATAGTAACTTTCAGGTTTATTATAATGATTGAAAGAGATAATACATATGTTAAATACCTAACATATATTAAACCTTATTAAATAGCAGCTACTTTCATTGTTTTCCACACTTAAACATTGTAAACAGATATTATACAAGATTTAAATATTGGTAACTAGCTGTCTGAGATCATTAATATTGCCCTTAGGATATTGTCAAATCAGCTGTTGAAATTTACCTGATATACTAACTGCTATGCTTACTCACTTTTCCCTCCCTCCCTCCCTGCTTCCCCCTCCCTTCCCCCTCCCTCCCTCTGTCATCCCCTTCCTTCCTTCTTTCCTCCTTTCCTTTCTTTCTTTAGTTTTCTTTTAAGAAATGCCTTTTTATGAAAATATTTCAAAAGGAATTCAAGTTTATTTTGAAAAAATGCACACCAATACAGAAATATAGAGAGGAAAATGGCAACTCATCCTCCTCACCACACCACCAGCTCCAGTCTCATGCCTCTGGACCAAGGTAGCCAATCCTAAAAGTTTGACGTGGATCATCTCAGATGCTTATCTATGTGTGTGTGTGTGCTCTGCACATTGATTTTTTAGTTAATGTATCATGTTGGAGAATGTCTGCCTTTTTACTTCATATTTTTGCAACAAGTTAGCAGAACACAACCTTCTAGGGTCTCAATGTCTTGTCTTCAGGATGCAGGACAATTGTCTTCTGGCTGTAAGTAAGCTTGTAAGTCATTCTGATCAAATCATCTCCATCCTTTTTTTTTTTCCAATGGATGCTGTGAATACATTACCATCTCCAAATGTAATGTCAATTCATATTTTTATTTTCTTTGTAGCAGTTCTTGCTTTCAGTATTGTGTTTTTGCAGGGCATAAAAATTAATAAAAATTTTATTTTTGTTAGAGTGTAACTTTAATCCATAGAAAATGTTCATTTTTAATTTTTCCTCTTTGAAATCACTTGCATCCCTTATTAATGCTGATATGTCTGCTTTTTTGTTTTTGTATTTTTTAAAATAAAACTTTGTTGATTTTGTCATTTTCAATGCTTTTATGTTTAGTTTCAGGTGTGTCTTTTATAAGCAGCTTATATCCAGATGTTTTTAACCCAATCTGACAGCTTCTGTGAGATGGAAATTCAATGCATTCATATATACTGTGATGATTCAAATGTATTTCTTGCTCTTACCCCCTTTTAATTTTATTTTCTATTTTTATGCTTTATTTCTTTTTACATTTTTCCTTGGTTGCTACTAAGCTTTATCCATTTCTTAAATTTCCTCAACACATTTGTAGATTATACATTTTACTTCTATTTTTGGAGCAGTTATCTTAAATTTTAAATTTAATGTTTGATTACCTGAGAAATATAATTGTACATTCTCCTTATTTGAAGAAACAAATTATTGAGGCAAAAGCCCTTTTCATCATCTCCTTCAATGTCAGTCCTTTCTCTCTATCTCACAATCCAAAAGAAAACACTCTTATCAGTTTATTGTGGTTGTTCCCTGACATTTTGGACACATATTGACGTATGTTTACTTTGCTTTATATTGTGTCTTCCATAAGTTGCATCACCAAGTTCTGCTATTTTTGAAATTGTTTTACTCAACAAATATGTTTTGAACATCTTTCCTTGTTAATTAACATAGGTGGACCTATTCTTATTGACTGATAAATAGTAATCCATCATATGATTAAATGCCAATTTTTATTTGCATTCATATTAGTAAATATTTAACTTCTTCATATTTTTTCACTATTACCAACAATTTGCAATGAACTTCCTAGTACTGCCTCCATTTATACTACTATAGGCTGTTTCTCTTTTTAATGTTATTGGATACTGCCAAAATGATCTCCAGTTTTTATGAAAGATTAGTTTTCTCCACACTCTTGCCAACACTTAATATTGTCAGCTTTTGAAACATTTACTAATTTTCTGGGTAAAATATGTTATTATATATAATTTGCATTTGTGTGATTATATCTTTTCAAATGCTGAATATCTCACTTGGATTTCATCTTTCATGAACTGTTTGAGAATATACTTTAAAAATATTTTCTGTTTTTTGCTTTTCTGTTTATCCTTAGAAATTACTCATATATTCTGAATTCTAATTTTGTATCTGTTCAGTCTGTTACAAATATTTGTCTCTCAGTGACCTCACCTTCTTTAACTTTATTTATGCTGCCTTTATGCTAAGAAGTTGTTGGTTTTTTTCTTTAATTCTATGTGGTTCTTGCAGCTTTTGTCAACCATTCTAGTCACTTCCTAGATTCCCAATGCTACTGTAGTTTGTGTGTGTGGGCATGTGGATGAATATATGCAGTCATTTTAATTAGCTGTGGAGAGGATATCTGCAAGTAACTGCAGCTTTCCATATTGAAGTTTTACTACCATTAGCTGAGGCTTTGCCAGGTGCCTGTGAGAAGATGCTAAGAACACTTCGAGTGGAATTTTTCATTATTAAGTCTTGTAGCTCAATGTCATTAACTCCCCAAAATATCTTGAGTTCCAACAGGTAACAAAAAGCCACAGGCAGAACTGATACCTGAACTCTATGACATTTGCCATGTGAGTCTGAAAATGGGATGACAAAACTAAGACATGCCATCTCCTCATTTTCATGCTGAAAAGAAATTAAAGAGAATCTGCACAAGAGTTACATTTTTCAATAATGTTTTACTACTGGAATAAATAAACTATACTTTTTAAAAAATATAACATTTAATTTTTAATTATAAGAGAAATAGATGTTAATTTTAAAATTCGAGAGAATAAAGTTTTATAAAGATAATTAAAATGACCTAAAATCCCACCAGCCAAGACGACCACTGAAGACATTTTTTTTAAACAAAGATATTTTGATAAATATGCTTTAGGTTCTGCTTCTATGTCTGGTTTCTTGGTTTTTTATTTTTTTTACCCCAAAATTTGGCTTATTTAGAGCATGGTATCCTGGAATCTAATTTTAAAACTTTTTCCATTAAGCATTTTTCAAATTACCTAATATTTATTTTAATCACTATATGGTTTGCAATCTATTGTTAACCATAATTTATTTAACCAACCTCCTATTGCTTGACATTTACAGTATATACAAATTGTTTTAAAAAAATTCTTGAAATACAAAGCCTTTTCTTGATTCATTACATTTTGACCATTCCTTAAGAAGAAGAAGTGAATACTCTAACCAGATCTAAGTGAAGTTTTAAAAACAGTGTGTGTTTGTATAAATCTTCAAGCGTAGTGTTAAACAATTTAATTGTGATGTGTTCCTAGATCAGAACTACCCTACGGAGAGTCCAGATTTGGTGTTTTTACAGCCTTCCTTTGCAGAAAGTTAGATCGAGAAATTCATAAGCAGTACCACATTCTCTGGGCATAATAAACTAGTTTTTCTAACTTGTTTATATGTTTAATTATTTTAAAAGTCAAGAAACTGAAGCCAAAATATTCAACACATAGTTGACTAAATGGGAGGAATTCCTGGAGGTGTTCATTTAGAAAATGTGGATTTTAAGATATGCAAGTAAGGGCACTACCTCTATAGCGTTTCCTCAAATCTATGACAAATTGATTGTGAGAAATGCCATTATTTTATGTATCACTAAGAAAGACCAGGCCGGGCATGGTGGCTTACACCTGTAGTCCCAGCACTTTGGGAGGCTGAGGCTGGCGGATCACAAGGTCAAGAGATCCAGACCATCCTGGCCAGCATGGTGAAACCCCGTCTCTACTAAAAATACAAAAATTAGCTGGGTGTGGTGGCACGCACCTGTAGTCCCAGCTTCTCGGGAGGCTGAGGCAGTAGAATTGCTTGAACCCGGTAGGTGGAGGTTGCAGTGAGCCGAGATTGTGCCACTGCACTCTAGCCTGGCGACAGAGCGAAACTCCATCTCAAATAAAAAAAGAAAGAAAGAAAGAAAAGAAAGAAAGAAAGAAAGAAAGAAAGAAAGAAAGAAAGAAAGAAAGACTAAACGTTGCCAATTAAATGATAATATGCCATCAGTTGTAAAAACAGTGAAAAAATATGCCTTAAACATGATAAAAATAAATGATATTAGCATGCTAAAATCCTAACATTAGTAAGAATGTGAAGATTGACATGAACCGTGCAATCTTCTTACCTGCACATAGATTTCTCTACTCAATGAGTTCGATTCAGTGGCTCATTAACTGACTGTAGCCTCATTGTTTCTCCTGTCTCTTCCAGGTATGGGGAGGATGTCAGGCAGGACCAGCAGCAGCTCCTGGAGGGGATCTCAGAGCTGGACATCAGGACAGGGGGAGTCCCCTCACAGCTGCTTGTACATGGAGCCCTGGCCTTCCCTCTGGGGCTGGATGCCTCACTCAACTGCTTCCTGGCGGCTGCTCACTATGGCCGGGGCCGGGTGGTCCTGGCTGCCCACGAGTGCCTGCTCTGTGCTCCCAAGATGGGGCCCTTCTTGCTCAATGCGGTGCGCTGGCTGGCCAGAGGCCAGACAGGCAAAGTTGGGGTGAACACAAATCTAAAAGATCTGTGTCCTCTCCTATCGGAGCATGGCCTGCAATGCAGCCTGGAGCCCCATCTGAACAGCGACTTGTGTGTCTACTGCTGCAAGGCATACAGTGACAAGGAGGCTAAGCAGCTGCAGGAGTTTGTGGCTGAGGGTGGGGGGCTGCTGATTGGGGGCCAGGCCTGGTGGTGGGCCTCCCAGAACCCTGGCCACTGCCCCTTGGCTGGCTTCCCTGGTAACATCATCCTCAACTGCTTTGGCCTCAGCATCCTGCCTCAGACTCTCAAAGCAGGCTGCTTCCCCGTTCCCACCCCTGAGATGAGAAGCTACCACTTCCGCAAGGCGCTCTCTCAATTCCAGGCTATACTGAACCACGAGAATGGGAACTTGGAAAAGAGCTGTCTGGCAAAGTTGAGAGTTGATGGTGCAGCCTTCCTACAGATTCCTGCGGAGGGGGTCCCTGCTTACATATCCCTGCACAGGCTCCTGAGGAAGATGCTACGAGGGTCTGGCCTCCCAGCTGTGAGCCAGGAAAATCCAGTTGCCAGTGACTCCTATGAGGCTGCCGTGCTCTCCCTGGCCACTGGGCTGGCTCACTCTGGAACTGACTGCTCCCAGCTGGCCCAGGGGCTTGGCACCTGGACCTGCTCCTCCAGTTTGTACCCCTCAAAACACCCCATCACCGTGGAGATCAATGGAATCAACCCAGGTATGAAAACAGGAGAGAGTGCCCAGAACATTAAAGATGTAGGGGAAAGTGGGATTGGCTGACACTACACAGGACATTGCAGGTACCTACCCTCAGGAAGATTGACCCCATTCTTTTTTTTTTTTGAGACAGAGTCTCACTCTGTCATCCAGGTTGGAATGCAGTGGCGCGATCTCAGCTCATGCAACCTCCACCTCCTGGGTTTAAGCAATTCTCCTCTCTCAGCCTCCTGTGTTGCTGGGACTACAGGCACACGCCACCATGCCTGGCTAATTTTTGTATTTTTAGTAGAGAGGGAGTTTCACCGTAAAGGTAAGGCTGGTCCGGAACTCCTGACCTCAGGTGATCCACCTGCCTTGGCCTCCCAAAGTGCTGGGATTACAGTCGTGAGCCACTGGGCCCAGCTGACTCCATTCTTCATCAGGTACTTTCAAGAAGATGGGGATTGGGACACTGCTTAAGGTTTAGAGGGGATGAGTCTAAGAAGTATGGATGACTTGAGATACACAGGGGAGAAGCTGTACCACTGGGAGGGGCTGGGAGGCCCCAAGTGGAGATATACTCACATAGGAAGGAAGAACTGAGCCTTCTCTGTGACTTTTGTCAGGCAACAATGATTGCTGGGTGAGTACCGGGCTCTACCTCCTGGAAGGACAAAATGCAGAAGTCTCACTGTCTGAAGCTGCTGCCTCTGCTGGCCTGAGGGTAAGGTCTGAACACCCACATCTGCCACCTCTCAAAACCGTAGAGCTGTGTCATTCTCATCCACTGTCTAGTTCCAGCTCATGGCAATGCTGCCAGGAGTACAGAGATGGATTATTCTGCCCATTTTACAGATTTTACAGATGAAGCAGCTAAATTTCAGGGCATCTAAGTGAGTGACTGAAGTGCCTAGTGTTATCAAGCAAGAGAAGCTCACTGCAGAATGGACTAGAAGCCAAAACTATGACACTTGAGTTTTTCACCAAAAAAAAAACAAAAACAAAAACAAAAGAAAACATTTTATTGCAATTTGATTAACAAGGAGACAGGAGCCCAGCTCAAATCTGTCCCATTGTACTTATTTTAAAGAGTTATTTTAGTAGAAAAGGTGTAGGGAGTGGATTCTGTGATTAGTAGGTGATTGATAGAAAGAAAAGGAAGGGCTGGAAAATCCTCGGGCATGGGCAGTTACCTCTTCATGCCTCCTCATGGGTCCCATGTGCAAACTCAGAGGGAGTTAGTATGAAACATGCGGTACAAATTTAGGCTGTGTGTCAGCAAGCTCATTCTGCACAAACTCTGGTTTTATCTCTTTATCTTGACACCTGAAGGGTGTGCATAATCCCATCACTCCCCAAAATATGCCCTACATGCAGAATTTAAATTCATCCTGCCTCCTTGACTCTGAGGGCCACTTCCTACCACAGCTAGGGTCCCTTTTCTGTCAGCATTCTTTCTGGAGCTTGCTTATATCAAACCTAAGAAAAGCAACTCCAGGACTCCAGACAAAACAGATCTCCACCCATCTGGCGGCCAGAAAGGGAAGCTCTGGGCAAAGAGGGAGAGAGAATCAACCTCACTCACTCTGGATGGGCCTCCTGTGTGTTCACAGAGGACAGAGCAGAGTCCCCCAGCTCATCCTCAATATCAGCGTCCCCAGACTGGCTTAGGTCCTGCTAGAAGAACCCAGGATTTTGCCTGGCAGAAAGACACAAGACCTTTGCCAGGATCAGCCTGGTCTCTCACCAATTCATGTCAGGTGAAGACTTATAGTGGAGCTGTTTAAATCCTTAGAAAAATGATTTTAAATGCCTTGAAGTCCAAATGACTTTGGAGTGCTAAAATTTCATAAGTTTCCATGCCTAGCACATAGAAAAGGGAAGCTGGGGTTTCATGGGCATGTTTGTCTAATACCTTCCATCTACACAACCTCACACGCACATCACAAAGCATCACAAAGACTCTAATTTCTCCAACGCTTGGTGGAATCACCTGTCCAGGTACAGATTGGCTGCCACACCGATGACCTTACCAAGGCCAGGAAGCTATCTCGAGCCCCCGTGGTGACTCACCAATGCTGGATGGACAGGACTGAGCGGTCAGTCTCCTGCCTCTGGGGTGGCCTCCTCTACGTCATCGTGCCCAAGGGCAGCCAACTAGGCCCTGTGCCTGTCACTATCAGGGGAGCTGTGCCTGCCCCATACTACAAGCTGGGTAAGTGGAGTGAACATTTAGGGAGGAGGAAGAGTGGCAGATGCCGTGGGAACTGTGGGGTGGTTGCTAAATGGGAGAGGGATGAGCTTTGGTGGAGAGAAAGAGGAAGAACTGTTGGGAGGGAACATGGAGGCAGAAGATACGGAATACCCTGTGTCCATGGAGACTTCAGGGCAGACAAAGAGAAGAGTCAGGAAGCCTTTTCTTCCCTTTACAGCCTATAGACGCCTGTGATAGTAGTTCATTATTGCAATGTTCTTCCAGAGTTCAAATGGTATTTTTCAGCTCAAGGGAAGTTGGAGAAGTGGGTGTGGTAGGTTCCATGATATTTATTCCCAGGTAAGACATCGCTGGAGGAGTGGAAGAGGCAGATGCAGGAGAACCTGGCTCCCTGGGGAGAGCTGGCCACGGACAACATCATCCTGACAGTGCCAACCACAAACCTTCAGGCCCTGAAGGACCCCGAGCCTGTGCTCCGCCTCTGGGATGAGATGATGCAGGCTGTGGCCAGGCTGGCGGCTGAGCCCTTCCCTTTCCGCCGTCCTGAGAGGATTGTGGCTGATGTGCAGATCTCAGCTGGTGGGTGCTCCCAGGGAATCCTCCTAGTCAGTGGAAACCATGTATCTATTACTTTGCCTTTTATGAATGTCCAAAATGTGTAAGCATAATTTTATTAGTAAAGCAAGGGAAAAAGATATAAAAGACATTGACCATGATGGGGATGAAAGAATGTTTACATGTGAAAAACAAATTATTGACATCTACAAGGTGAGATTTCACTGGATGGTAAAACAATCTCAGAAAACGTTGTATTGGGAATTCATAGATGGCAACCAGAGTCATTTCAAGGACAACATAGAAAATCAACTATTTTCTTCAAACATAAGCCAGAGTTGAAAATGAAAAGAGGAAATACGTAAGGAGGTTTATGGTAAGTACTGAGTGGTTAAAAAGAAAGAGGTACATAGGAAGAGAAATAAGGAACTCTGGATCCCAAATGGGGAAAGTTCTTTGGACCTCAATTTTCATACCTTCAAATAAGGACAAAAATTATCTCTGTCATAGAGTGTAAATTTGGACAAAAGTAGTATACATGGGGAAGAAAGAATGACACTGTTCTAGCCCTCAAGGATCTCAGATCCAGTCATAGGACATCATATCTCAGACTGACATGTAAAGGACACTCACACACACAAAATGAAGGTGTCGAATTACAGCAAGAATGACTATGTAAAGTATAACCAAATTCTCCAGGGCCAGATTGAGGAGGAGGCCACAACTCAGGTGTGAGAGACTAAGAAGGGGATTAGGTACTATTCAGTTTCTGACCAAGTAGGGGAAAGCTATTTGCTTTCCAATCAGCACAGAGATTCTGCAATTATTGGGGATAACCAGGATGGTGAAGAAAAGTCCAATAATGGAGAAGAATGAAGGAGATAGTTTGGGCGGACCCTCCTCAATGCTCATCTCTTCCTTCTGTGTTCCCAGGCTGGATGCATTCAGGATACCCCATCATGTGCCACCTGGAGTCTGTGAAGGAGATCATCAATGAGATGGACATGAGGAGCAGGGGTGTGTGGGGCCCCATCCATGAGCTGGGCCACAACCAACAGCGGCATGGATGGGAGTTCCCCCCACACACTACTGAGGCCACCTGTAACCTTTGGTCAGTCTACGTGCATGAAACAGTCCTGGGGATCCCCAGGGCTCAGGCCCACGAGGCTCTGAGCCCTCCAGAGCGAGAGAGGAGAATCAAGGCCCACCTGGGAAAGGGAGCCCCCCTGTGTGACTGGAATGTATGGACAGCCCTGGAAACATATCTACAGGTACTGAGCAGAAATTCTGGGAGAAGGGGATGACCAGACCCCTCAGTCATGTAGCGACCTGGATCCCAGTAGCTCTCCACCTCCTTCACCACTCCACCAGCCTGGACCTCCACCTCCCCTGGAAATGAGAGGGACTGGGCCGCAGGGTGGTGCTTCTTGGGTTATACCCCTCTAAGGCAGAGAGAATGGCACCTGTCTCACTCACCTTCTGATTTTGCAATGTAAGAGGAAATGAAAAATATTATGAAAAAAATAGAAATATAGCATATTATTCAAGGGCAGAAACTCTGTTAGACATTCCTGCAGCTGAATCACAGCTCTTGCCCTCATTGGTTTTGTTCTTGGTCTCCTAATAAGTGTTCCATAAATGGTCATTGCTTTGTTTAGTTTTGTTTTATTTCACCTGAGTTTTATGAGTCAAATGAGTTATGCTTTTTTATAATAACGGAGGGTGTCTGCAATGCAGCTGCATTACAATAAGAAGGCATTGTTGGAGACAAATCTGCTAACAAGGGTCTCATCATCCATCACCCCACTTGAAGCCAAAATGATTTAAAATGAAGAGCCAGTCAACCCAATAGTAGAACACTGAATTCATAAAGCAAGTCTACTTCCTGTGAAATAAACACAAATCCCTGCCCCCTCCCCTAGCCCTGCATTGAATGTCGATGTTTTCGAGTTGTCAATGTTGTTCCCCTTTCAGATCTCCTGCAATGTCTCCCACAGCTCTATGGATAGGAGCTGTCTGGCCCACTTTTCACAGAGGCACACACTATTTTAAAGAATTTAAGCAATCTCTCCAGTAGCCCCCATTTAAGTGAAGGACCTAGAACTTAAAATCAGGACGTAATGACAAGCCCCAGGCTTTCGCATTGCCATACCCTCTCTTAGTTTTTTGTGCCTTTCACTAATTTTCTGAAGAGTGAATGTGAGACAGTCCCAGTCAATGAGGTAACTTTGTATTGCATTCATTTCCATATCCTTAGATAGCCAGTCTGGGGGTATACAGGACCACTGACCACAATGGTAGGTTGCCCCTAAACTGTAAATTTAAGCCCTAATTCTGTCCTAGTCTGCTACCTACTCACTGTGGAGCCCCGAATATCAGTTCTCAATAGCTCTAGAGAGACCAAGTCTGAGACTTGGCCTCAGGATAAACAGGCACCTTCTGACTCCTCTTCCTGCTAGAGGGCTTCTCCCCAGCATCCGTGCCACTGCTGCCTTAGCTCAGGCCTCGTTAGTCTTCCCTCAGTGTATTCCAGTAGCCTTCTAAGTTGTCCCAGCATCTTGCCTCAATCCTCTATGATCCATCTTCCTTACACTCCTTCCAAAATAATGTTAATACTCTGTCTATCAAATGCTTACAGTGTTCTCTAGCACATATAGGGTAAAGTCAAAGCTCATTAGCAG
Organism: Homo sapiens; assembly: GCF_000001405.40. Classification (NCBI taxonomy): domain Eukaryota; kingdom Metazoa; phylum Chordata; class Mammalia; order Primates; family Hominidae; genus Homo; species Homo sapiens. The sequence continues at coordinate 270,427 of NW_018654714.1, forward strand.
GGCATAGGAGGCCCTTCATGACCAGCCTCGCCAGCACCTCTAGCTACATCTCCTACTGCTCTCACCTCCACATTTACCCTTCGGCATGCCAACCTGCTTATGGTTACGGACACAGCTTGCTGTTTTGGCTTCTGTGCCTCCCCTTGTTTGCTTCCTGCTGCTGAATCATGCTGGAACATCTTGTCCATTAGCTGTCAAGTCACCTGTCCAAATTCAGCTCTGTTGGCCCTTTCTCTCCTGGACATCGCCTCCTTGATAAACCAACAGTTTTAGCAATGTGTTTATTTACGTGTGTTTCTCTCTTTGGCCAGTGTTCTCTAGAAGGACAAGAGCTCTTAATGATGTTTGCCTAGCACAGTAGCTGGCGGTGTGTGGGTGTCTAATACATGTTAAACGTTTAATAAATGCTTAATTTATTGATGCATTGATTAATAAGTGTCAAAGAGCAAGCCAGTGAGAACAGATGAGCAATAATAAGGATACAACAGTGAGACTCTGAGGTAGGCTTGGCTTCAGTGGTGTTATCTGTCCTTGGGCTTTTATGAGCTACAGTCACAGAATGCTCATCTATTAAAGGGAGAGTGGGGATGTGAAACCCCAGATCCCCGCTAACTGGAAATTTGTATAATCTTAGTAAACAAGGGCCTTCTGCCAAGGGCTTTCCGGAGAGCTGCCCCTTATGAAGTATGAGCCACTCTCATTAGCTGCCCCTTATGAAGTATGAGCCACTCTCATTTTTAGCCCCTCGAGACAGGCTGGATTTTTTTCTTTTTCTGCCCTAAATGCAGTGTTCTACAGAGCAATTTTGTATCATTGCAGATAGCCACAGGTCCAAGATGGCTATTAAAAAATAAGGATTATTATGATGTCTGGAAAGTATGGTATTGGAGGTTCGCAGCTTTTAGAATCTCAATAGGCCAGATATGTAGGAAGTGAGGGTTTCTCATCTCAGTCAGGCCCAAACCTGTCCTGATGCTGAGGAAAACACTTGAGATCTGGGAAGACAATTGTTTAAAGATACTAATAGTGGACATTTATTGAGTATTTACCTCTATTCAGACATTAGGTTTCCCCTGAGCACCCCCACTAGATTCAGGGGGTGTTGTTTTGTGGCCAAGAGGAGGAATGAGCCAACAAGATTGCATTATTGTGCAGGGGCAGAGTGGGGAGATAGGGGCACATACCCAGGATGAAGGTAACGATTGAGGGGAGGTGATCATGTGAATGAAATATATTTAAGAACGCACATGTCACGTCACTTTTGCAAACTTGACACCTCATTCTGTTCCTTCTTTCCCTTTTCAGCTCCAAGAGGCCTTCGGGTGGGAGCCATTCACCCAGCTCTTTGCTGAGTACCAGACCCTCTCTCACCTCCCCAAAGACAACACTGGCAGGATGAATCTATGGGTGAAGAAGTTCTCTGAAAAAGTGAAGAAGAATCTGGTTCCCTTCTTTGAGGCCTGGGGCTGGCCTATCCAGAAGGAGGTGGCTGACAGCCTGGCCTCCCTACCAGAGTGGCAGGAAAACCCCATGCAAGTGTACCTCCGTGCCAGGAAGTAAAGGATGCCCCACAAGGCGGGAGAGAAAAGGCAGGGTCACGCCATCAACTCCACCATGGGGCTTTGGCCGTGTGCTCAGTATCTGGAGCCTGAATCCCGCTTCCAAGCCTGACCACTAGATGGTGGCCACGGTCATAAGAAAAAATGGAACCCCTTTCTGTAAAAGGTGCCTTGTGCTTCTTTTTATTGTTTTTCTGCCTACGCTATTGCTTTCCCCAAGAGACTCACTTCACCTCTTAGTCTTCCAGAGAGGATCTTTCATCCTGCCATCCTGAGGCTTCTATTTTTGACCAATAGCTCTAAAGACCACGGGTTCCCATAACAACCTGATATCCCTTTCTCATCCCTGCCATCCCTGAATAAGGCTTCTAATTTATTATGCTTTAACAAGTTTTCAAATAGCAAGCGAGACACGCTGGAATAGTGGAGAGAGCCCCAAACCAGCTTTGGTTCTATGGAAAATCACTCCACCTCTCTGTGTTTCTGTCTTCACATCCATGACATGAGGATACAAATCTTTTCCTCACAAAGCTGTTGTTTGATTTCTCCTGGTCCCATAGTGGACTGTTAACGGTGTCCAGTCTAGCGTGCACATCCTGGGGGCTGAATCTCACTTCATTGTTGACCCCCTTGGGGTTAGCATTCAGTCCTTGTATATTTAGAGAATGTCAATGTTTTCCCAGACATGGTATCAATAATGGTAGTTGTCAGCAGTATCTTAGCCCTTTCTACATTTTTTCTCCCACTTCTGGAAGGATTCTTGGGTATAACCTAACCCAAAGAAAAGTGGCATGTGCTGAAACTGAGTGTCACAGAGCTGTGAGGTTGGGTCTTTGGGATTAGCTTCATTTTCCAGGGTTTGCCCTTTGCCCTTCAACCAAAGGACAAAGTCATGTTAACAGCTGCTACTAAGTCTATATGCCCATTCGTTCATACCACAAAACAGGCATCTGACTCCTCTGGTCACCATGGAATCAAGGCACTGTCAAGTGGTGGGGGGTCCACAGGCACAGTGGGCTTCACTCTGGAACAGGATTACTGGGTGCAGCGGATGTAATCCTCACTTAATCAACCCACACCCCAGCATCCCCTGAGCTTTCTCTTAATCTCATTCTAGCCCATCTTGACTCTTCGGTTAGAGGGAGTTCTCATTGGAGATTTGTCTCTGGGATTAATGAGTGTATGCCTAGCTACTTTCTCCAGTTTACTTTTAGACCATATTGTTGTTTGTTTTGAATATCATTCCTTAGGCTATGTTGAGAGTAGAGTGGCTTCCCATTAGGAGAACTAATTTAGGGCATGTCTTTTGCTGAATCCCGTCAGCATATTTAACAAATTCCCAATTCTAGATAATTTCCTTTTATTTCTCTAGTACCCTTTGCCAGGGGCTCTACACATCAAAGGTGTTCATGAAGTATTTGTCAAAGGAAAGAACAGTAATGACACCTAACACATAATGAGTGATTAGTATGTTCCAGGCATTGCGTGAGCTATTTACTGTGAGTGATTTAATGTTATCTTCCCAGCAGACCTCTGAGGTAGGTACTAGTATGATCCCCATTTCGTACATGAGGAAACTGACACTAAGGGACATAAAATAAGTTTTTTGAAGTCACAAAGTGAATAAAAGGAAGAACCAGGGTTTAATTGAAGCCCATAGCAATGAAAACATTGTGGAACTTATTCTTCATGAATGGTTTACAATTTAAACAAAATGTCACCTAGAAAATAGATGAAAATATGTTCAACCAGGTCTGGATTTTTCCAATGTTTACTACTGAATTTTCATTCAATAACAAGTTTAACTTCCAAAAAGGTGTTGGTATCTGATTTTCTGCCTGCCTCAGAATGTGATTTGTCTGCCTTTGGGTAATCCAGCCTTGGGTAGAGAAGGAATTTGAACTCAGGAAATTCAACTCCAGAACTGATGTTCTTTTTTTTTTTTCATTTAAGTTCTGGGATACATGTGCAGAACGTGCAGGTTTGTTACATAGGTATACATGTGCCATGGTGGTTTGCTGCACCTATCAATCCATCATCTAGATTTTAAGCTCTGCATGCATTAGATATTTGTCCTAATGCTCTCCCTCCCATTGCCCCCAACCTCCCGACAGGCCCCAGTGTGATGTTTCCCTCCCTGTGTCCATTTGTTCTCATTTTTCATCTCCCACTTATGAGTGAGAACATGTGTTGTTTGGTTTTCTGTTCCTGTGTTAGTTTGCTGAGAATTATGGCTTCCAGCTTCATCCATGTCCCTGCAAAGGACATGAACTCATTCTTTTTCATGGCTGCATGGTATTCAATGGTATATATGCCATATTTTCTTTATCCAGTCTATCATTGGTGGGCATTTGGGTTGGTTCCAAGTCTTTGCTATTGTAAATAATGCTGCAATAAAAGTATGTGTGCATGTGTCTTTATAGTAGAATGGTTTATAGTCCTTTGGGTGTATATCCAGTAATGGGATTGCTGGGTCAAATGGTATTTCTGGTTCTAGATCTTTGAGGAATCATCACATTGTCTTCCACAATGGTTGAACTAATTTACACTCCCAACAACAGTGTAAAAGCATTCCTGTTTCTCCACAGCCTCACCAACATCTGTTGTTTCCTGACTTTTTAATGATCGCCATTCTAACTGGCATGAGATGGTACCCCATTGTGGTTTTGATTTACATTTCCCTAATGACCAGTAATGATGAGCTTTTTTTCATGTTTATTGGCCACATAAATGTCTTCTTTTGAGAAGTGTCTGTTCATATCCTTTGCCCACTTTTTGATGTGTTTTTGTTGTTGTTGTAAATTTGTTTAAGTCCCTTGCAGATTCTGGATATCAGAACTTGTCAGATGGGTAGCTTGCAAAAATTTTCTCCCATTCTGTAGGTTGCAGAACTGGTGTTCTCAACAGTGATGTTAGGGTAAAATGATGGATACTGCTGGGTTTAATAGATTGCCCTAGAAACAGAGACAATGTCTGGCTTCTTACACACACACACACTTCCTGGTAGAAGTTGGAGCCTGTAGCTCCTTGTCTCTCATACAGAGAGACTGTGACTTTGCCTCTTGTTTTTAAGTTGATAGTTAATTGTAACTGCAGTATTCTCAGATTCTTTTGTCTATTCACAGAAACTAATTTGCTGCCAGTGATAGGGATGATCCATGATTTCTGAGACATTTACTTCCATAATTTCACAGTTCTAAGTCTAGAAAAATTATTAGAAGAAAATTATTGGATGGTCTTGGAACCAACCCAAAGAAAAAAACATGTCCTGTGAACAGTAGGATAGATACTGAATCTAGCTTGTCTCACTTTGGAACTAGTGCTTATAATTTCCCTTGGACTGTATATTTTTGTCCAATCACTACTGTACAGGACATGGGTTTGGTTTGCTTTTCCCTCCCATGAGCCACTCAATTGCTTTGCTAAAAGCCCCATCAGTTTTCCTTTGGTTTCCTTTGGTACACCAACATCAACACAGAGTCCACTTGGTTTGGAAGGGGTTGGCCCACACTGTTGGCAGGAGTGGGCACAGAATCCATGCTCATCTAATTGTCCATACCTTCCAACAAGGATTGGTTCAAGTGATGGGAAGGTGGCCCTTGCCAGGGTGATGAAGTGCATACGACAGACTTTTACTGGCTGTACTGGGAAGCATACATTTTCTTTGGTACTGGAGAATTGGTAATGACAGTGCCAAATGTTGTTTGTTATTGAAGCTAAGTGAAGGGGCTCTTGAAGGATCCTTATTCAACTTTTGCCTATGTTTAGAAATTTTGTAGTAAAATTGTAATGGTGTAAGTCTACTATTTATACCTATAGAAGTAAAAGACTTTTGCCAGGTGCAGTGGTTCACGCCTGTAATCCCAACACTTTGGCAGGCCGAGGCGGGTGGATCACGAGGTCAGGAGTTCGAGACCAGCCTGGCCAATATGGTGAAACCACATCTCTACTAAAAAAAATGCAGAATTAGCTGGGTGCAGTGGCTCATGCCTGTAGTCCCAGCTACTCAGGAGGCTGAGGCAGGAGAATCGCTGGAGGTTGCAGTGAGCTGAGATCGCGCCACTGCACTGTAGCCTGGACAATAGAGTGAGACTCCGTCCAAAAAAAAGAAAAAAGAAAAGAAAAAAAGAGAAGTAGAAGACTTGTTTTTTTTAAGTTTTGAAACAATTTCTTAGGGAGAGTAGGATTGAAAGAGTAGAGAAACAGGGGAGATAAAGACAGAGTAGGGTTTGGGCAGATTCCTGTTGTTTTTCTTATAAGCTCTTTGTTAGTAATTTAGTATTGTATTTCTACCACATATGTTTTCTACCCTATGCAAGCATGACACCTTTTAAACAAGATAGATATAAACTGTATTAAAATTTACAACACAGCTTGCATGCCAACATAGTCTTCCATGATTTGGTCTCTGCGAGTGTTTCCAGATTTGCCTCCCACCTCTATCCCTTGCTTTCTTTATTCCAGCTGTGATGCACACATTTCAGCGTGAATGCGGCCCTCCTTCTCATTTCTACAGATTGTTCTGTGCTCCTGGGTCATTCCTTTCTTCCACCTGTCCTTCCCTCCACTTCACAATAGAATAGAGAAGTTTCTGATGTTTGGGCTTCCTTTTGGGTAGAACAACAACAAAAGTCAACTAGAAAAATGTCCTTTTTTAGAGTTATATTTTCAGAGTGAGGACTCATTTATCATTTATATTTATCATAAGAAATTAAAACATTTTCACTTTTTGTTTTTTCCTGTTAAATCTTTAAGTATCTTTAACCAGGACTTAATTAAACTTGAATGGTCTGCAATCTTTTTCAAATGTGAATAATTTCAATGTATATTTTCTCCATTAGCTAAATTTGGTAAAATAGTGTTTAGTGTTGTATTTTTAATAAATCAAAACCTGCCCTGTGGAGAAGGGACACACTTTGTGGACGTGCCATTTGGGTCACACACAAAGGTGGGCCACTGGGGTGCCACCACTGAGCCAGCCAGGATAGCAAGAGCGACATTCTCTAATTCACACAGAGGCATTTTATGAGCTAGTGGTGGCCTTGGAGAAGGGACGGCACTTCTCTATATTACTTTGGATTGGGGTATCAGTATTTTTAAGGTTTTCTTTTTTTCTTCAGCTCTTAACCCAGAGGTCATTTCCTCGAGCCGTGTCTCTAAGCCTCATGTTCCGATAAAACCTGTAACTTCCTTTATATATCAGTCATCACATTTGTAATTATTTGTTTAAAATCTCTCTTTCCCACTACATGGAAGCTTCATAGGGGCAGGGACTAGACCTACCCTATTCACAGCTGTATCTACAGCCCCAAGGGCAGGGCCTGTCACATATCAGTTTTGGTGTAGGGGTCTATTGTATTAACACATTACTAACAAGAGTGTATGATAATGGGAGAAGACTAGATGAGGATTTCCAACTATTGTATATGTTTGCTGTCTTTAGGTGGATCACCTGAGGTCTGGCGTTCCACACCAGCCTGGCCAACATGACAAAACCCTGTCTCTACTGAAAATACAAAAATTAACTGGGTGTGGTGGCACATGCCTGTAATTCCAGCTACTTGGGAATCTGAGGCAGGAGAATCACTTGAATCCGGGAGGCGGAGGTTGCCCTGAGCTGAGATCGTGCCACTGCACTCCAACCTGGGCAAAAGAGTGAGACTCTGTCTCAAAAAAAAAAAAAAAGAAAAGAAAAAGAAAGAAGAAGAAGAAGAAAAGACCTCTGTTATTTATCCCTATTCAAGAAAATGGTTTCACTATTCCAGAAAGAAGCTTTAGTGTGATTAGAACCATTCTCCTATTTTTAGCTTCTGAAAACAGGCTGCACTGTGAGAGTGAATTTTCCATTAATTCTTATTTCTCCTTTTCCTTGGGACTTGGTCAGTGAATAGTATAAGCTATTTTCAGGAGTTTCTGTATTTTGGTGAAAAAAGTATTTATCTGACATTTCCTGGGCCCTATTTCTACTACATTTCGATGTCAATTCCTCTCCTCTGCTAACATTTCCAGCCAAAGTTAACTACAGTGTAGATACTTTCATTTTGAATTAACATTTTTCCTGTTCTGCCATGTTATTAGGTTCTGGAACAGGGATATATCCCACAATAACAGTAATGACAAATTAAGACCCCCCTAAAAAAAATTCAAATTATTTTATATGGCCTCCCAGCTCCAAAACAAGGCAGCTGAGATGCCTATACATGGCACCTTCATACCGGTACATCTATCTGTTAGTCTCCATTTCTGTAGAAGAAAACAAAAAGATGCTATTAGCCCACTTCAAATTGTTGTTCCACTTTTGAATCTAACCTAGTTTCCTATGATAAGTTATTTCTTCAGGCCCCTAGGCTGTCTTCACCAGAAACTTTGAAATAGAAACCAGACCTTTCTGAGTATTGCTCAGGTACATCTCTGATACACTGATTCATCTAAGATCAAAAGTGCCCCCCGCTAATATGGCCTCAGCAGCACGTAGCTAGCACATGAACAGCAGGTCAGCCAAGACGTTAAATGTGGTCAAGGTTTCCAAAGAAGGAGAGCTACTTTTCAGTCAATGCTATCTCCTTATAGGCATGGCATGATTGCGTTTCTCAGGATATTATTTTCATGAACTTGTTCCTGCTGCAAGGTCTTTAGTACCATGCCTGGCTTCCATTTTGAAAAGCCTTCTTGTGCAAGATTGGTGCACTTCCCAGTTCTGGTAGGAGGACAGTTTGGTCCCGTACTCAGCTTGCAGAAGTTCCTACATTTTCTACACACAACTCTTTGTACTGATTCACTTTTCATTTGGGAAAGCCATGAGAAACTTTTTTCATAAAAAAATATAACCATCATCTCTATAAACTCTTCAAGATGATAAAGGGAGAGAGCATCATTTTGCAATGTTAAGCATAGGTTGGGAAAAATGGTGTTGAGAAAAAATTAAGATAGAAATTGTAAACTATCTCTCAAGCTGGAGATCTAGAGAACAAAGAAGTTGAGTAACAGATGGAGAGAAAAAGTCCTCACCCTGAGGAGTAACCAAGAGCTTACCTGAGGAACAGCTTCCCAGACACCACTTCAAATATCATATTACCTCATATCAAGAGGATAAACCCAAAGGCAGCCCAATGGAGCAGTTTGATGAGCCATTTCTGTTTTAAAATTCAATAAGAAAGATCCCTTTGTTTCTTTTTCCTAGGCTACCAACAAATTTATAAAATGTTCTTGAATGTATTGTCCTTTTCATCAAGAATAATCTGAAAAAAACCCAATCATCTTTATTGTGCAGTACAGATGGAAGGGGAGAATTAACAACAACAAAGCCACTGCTTTTTATTCCTAGGCCCTTAATAGCCCTAAAACAACTAACTGTCTGTATTAGTTCATTTTCACATTGCTATGAAGAAATACCCAAGACTGAGTAATTTATAAAGGAAAGACGTTTAGTTGGCTCACAATTTTGCAAGCCTGGGGCAGTCTCAGGAAACTTACAATCATCGCGAAAAGGAAAGCAAGCATGTCTTACATGGTGGCAGGTGAGTGATGAGAGAGCAAGAGAGAAACTACCAAACACTTAATAAAACATCGGATCTCTTCAGAACTCACTCACTATCACGAGAACAGCATGGGGGGGAACTGGCCCCCATGATCCAATCACCTCCAACCAGCTCTCTCCCTCAACACCTAGGTATTACAATTCAAGGTGATATTTGGGTGGGGACACAAAGCCTGGCCATATCACTCTCTGTTGCTAAAAAAGAAAAACTTAGGTGGAGATTTGGAAATTAAAGTCCAGTGTAATTGGCCCCACTGTGGAGAACCAAGCCATGCAAGGACACTCACAATGATGAAAAAAAAATTCTCAGCACTTAGGTAAGGCACTCAGTTGGAACAATGCTTTCCTGGGTCTGCAGACTGGAACCTAAGCAGCTGTGTGCTTCACTTAGATAAATACATATTCAATGCATGAGACTGATTCACCCTCACAAATGATACTTCTTTTAATAGGATCATGCAGTCTACTCCCAGCCACATAGTTTTTGTCTTAAATAACAAATCATTTGAACAGGTAGTTAAAATGAGGACCATTCAGGTTTGAATTAGTAAAGTTACATATGGGAAGATTCCGTGAATTATTGTAGCAGACGGGAGTTATAACAAAAAATATATTGTGCATTTATATAATTTCATAATCCCATTCAAGCAATGACCCTAAAAATCTATTTTCCAGACCACATTTACTCCCAAGGATATCAGTGTAAGTTAGGTGAATCATCAATAAACCGCTTCTTTTCAGAAACTGTTTTAAGTGCTTTTATATTTATTTATGCTCACAACATTCCTACAGAGTAAGTACAATTACACTCTTCATTTTGCTGAGAACTAGTAAGCTGTGAAGCCACATTTCCAACCCTAGAAGTTGGAGCCCACACTCTCAGCCAGCATACTGTCCTATGGAGTTACTGGATCTGCCATCGCCTGTAACTCTGCCTGCATTAGACTATGTGTCTGAATACTGAATCACAGAGCAAGCAGAGTCCAACTGCCAAAACCAATCAGGTTATTCCTAGTTACACAAAAAGCAGTTACTTTACAGTAAAGGTCATTCATCCAAGGAACACTTCGCTCAGGATATACAATTGATTTTTTTTCCAATACCAAGACCGTGTCCAACCTAGACTGGAGGGTTTTAAAGATTCTGCGATTCAAAATAAGAGCTTGATGGAGTCTTAGAGGAAGCAGGTCTTACACTCAAGGTTTTTATCCTTTTTAAGGATGCCCCAACTCCTCTCATTATGTCTAAAAGCATTGGATAAGGGACCACATACGTTCCCATAGGTTATTAGCTCCAATAGCTGTAAAATCTAAATTCCCAACAAACTGGAGACATTTCAAGAGGCAGAAATCACCCTAGAATACTTTAGGGAAATAATAATGGTCACTTTTAAGTTTTAAAGAAGTGGGTTTTTATTGTTGTTGTTGGTGGTGGTGGTTTTGTTTGTTTTTGAGATGGAGTCTCGCTCTGTTGCCCAGGCTGGAGTGCAGTCATGAAATCTCAACTCACTGCAATCTCTGCCTTCTGCATTCAAGTGATTCTCCTGCCTGAGCCTCCCAAATAGCTGGGTCAACAAGTGTTTGCCACCATGCCCAGCTAATTTTTGTATTTTTAGTAGATACAGGGTTTGGCCATGTTGGTCTCGAACTCCTGCCTCACATGATCCACCTAGCCTCGGCCTCCCAGAGTGCTGGGATTGCCGGCATGAGCAACAGCGACCAGCCTTAAAGATGACCCTACCTTTATTTAAAATGACCCTGCTTGTATTTCCTCCCCTGAATGCCTTAAAGTCCCTGACTTATTTGAAAACTTAGTATTTCGAAACAGTTTCAGAAAAAATTAAAGCCTTAGTGGTTGGTCACACTAAATGGGACCGTCAAAGCTCCTACTGCTCACAAATATTGTTAAAATGGAATAACACGCACTGCTAAAGGGAATTAAAGTCACTCCTATCTTGAATGAACCCTCGACATTTTAAGTTCTGTGTCCTCTGCATAGAATCTTTGTTCTTTGTCTCTCCCTTGTGGCCATTTAGAAAACCTTTCAGCTCCTGATCACCAGTTGAAACAGTGAAATTGTTCCCATTGTGGCAAACACAGTCTCTTGCCGTGGTTTTAATTTAAAAGAGATATTTATGTTACCCTTCCCATGAAGCAATTGACTGGTCAATATGCTCTCTACTTGTGTTATCCATAAAAATTTCCCAAACCAATTTACTTTTAGTGTCAGAAGATGCAACCCAACAATATTCTTTTTTTAATGAAATACACTGTGCTCATAAAAAATGTATCTAAAAGCATATGTACAATTTAAATAATAATTAGAAAGGGAACAATCAGATCAGCAACAGATTAAGAAATAGAATGTTGCCAATAATTGAAGTCCTCCATATGTTCCTCCAAGTTCATTGTCCCTCTCCTACCACCAGATGGAACACTAATCTGACTTCTGTGATCATTCCTTTTGCTCCTTTAGTTTTACTACCTATGTGCACAAACTTAAACTACATAGTTTAGTTTTAACTTGTTTTAAACTGTATAAGAATACAAGAAAGTTATATTATATGTAATCTTTTATGACTTGCTTCTTTAGTGCAATACTGTGACATCGTCTGTGTTGATTTGTGTAGCTCTACTTCATTTTTCTTTCTGCCTAATACTCAGTTATATAACTATAATACAATCAGTTAATCTATTTTGCTGCTGATTGGTTTTTGATTGTTTTTATTTGGGGCCTATCTGATACTACAAACATCCTTTACATGTATATCTGTGCGAGAGTTTCTCTGGCATACCCTAGGAAAGGAATTGCTGTATCGTAGAATATGCATAGCTTCAACCTTCTTAGATAAAACCAAGCTGTAGATAAAGACAAGTCAAAGATAAATCATATCACTTAGAGTATATGAGTTTCCATTGCTCTAGATCCTTAGGAACACTTGATATTATGAAATACTTTTTTTTCCAAAGTGATGAGTGCATAGTAATATATTATTGTGGTTTTAATTTGCATTTTCCTCATTACTAATGATGTTAAGCAGCTTTGCATATATTAACTAAACATTTGATTTTTGCTTTTATTTTGAAGTGCTCATTCCATTTTCTTGTGTATTTTTCTATCGGATTTTCTGTATGTCACAATGTTTTAGATATATAAACTTGGTCAGTTACATGTGTGGCCAACAGCTTTTCCCACTCTGGGCCAATTTTCACTCTTCTTGTGGTGTATTTTAATAAACACAACTTCTTAATTTTAAAGTAGTCAAAGTTATTAATCTTTTTTATGATTAATACTATTTGTACCATGAGTAAAAAAAATTGTTTACCCAAATTCCACAAAGAGATTTTTCTATATTATCTTCAAAGAGTTGTATAAATTTTTAAGTTTAAATGAGTTTTGGGCATAGTGAACTAGGAATACAACTGTAGTTTTTTAAAATATGGATTCCTAATTATAGCACTGTTCATTGAAAGGTTCACTCTTTCTGCCTCATCTACGGGGCCAAAAGTCTGGATCTGTGTGGATCTCTTTGCAGGCTCTCTATTCTTTTCTATTTTTTTTCTTCATCTCTATGCCAATGCTATACTATTGTAATATCTTCATAATAAATCTTGCTAATTATTCTACCTTAGTTTTTGTCAAGAACACACAATTATTCTTGGTTGTTTGTGCTTCCATTTAAATTTTTAAACCAGCTTGTTGCATTCCACTAAAACAAGTGAGTAAACAACTACAATAATGAAAAACCCTGTTGAGATTTTGATTCTAAGTAATTTTTTAAGAATATGCATCAATTAGTGGAGACTTGAATTTTTTTTTTTTTTTGAGGTGGAGTCTCGCTCTGTCGCCCAGGCTGGAGTGCAGTGGCACGATCTTGGCTCACTGCAACCTCCACCTCCTGGGTTCAAGTGATTCTCCTGCCTCAGCCTCCCGAGTAGCTGGGACTACAGGTACCCACCACCATGCCCAGCTAATTTTTGTATTTTTAGTATAGACAAGGTTTCACCATATTGGCCAGGCTGGTCTTCAACTCCTGACCTTGTGATCCACCCACCTCGGCCTCCCAAAGTGTTGGGATTACAGGCATGAGCCACTGTGCCCGGCCGAGAATTGATTTTTTAAAAATTAGTTTTCCAGAGGGGAGGAGGCAAAGCAAGATAGCGGAATAGAAGGCTCCACTGATAGTCTGCCCTGCCACCACAAGGACACCAGGTTAACAACTATCTACACAGAAAAAATACCTTCATACGAACCAAAAATCCGGTGAGCCCTCATAGTACCTGGTTTTAACTTCATATGGCTGAAACAAGCACTGAAGAGATAGAAAAAAAACAGTCCTAAATCAAGTATGCCACCCCTCCTGCACCCTTCAGCAATCATGGCGTGGTGCAGAGAGCGTCTCTAGGTGCTGGGGAAGGAAGAATACAGCAATTGTGAGGCATTGAACTCAGTGCTGTCTTGTTAGAGCAGAAAGGAAAACCAGACCAAACTCAGCTGACACCCACCCACAGAGGGAGCATTTAAACCAGGCCTAGCCAGAGGAGAATCACTGATTCCAACAGTTAGAACTTGAGTGCCTGCAAACTTCACCACCGAGGGCTATAACACTCTGTATCTCCAAGTAAACTTGAAAGGCAGTCTGGGCCATAAAGACTGAAACTCTTAGGTGAGTCCTGGTGCTGAACTAGGCCCAGAGACAGTGAACTGGGACTGCATGTGGCGTACAGAAACACTAGCTGGGGCAGCTAAGGGAGTGCTGGCTTCAACCCTCCCATAAACCCAGGCTGCACAACTTATGGCTCGGAAAGACCTCTCTTTCTTCCAGTTGAAGGTAGGAAAAGGGAGAGTGGGAAAGACTTTGTGATGCACCTAGGATACCAGCTCAGCTACAACAAAACAGGGCAACAGTCAGAGTCACGAGGTCCCCACTGCAGGCCCTAGCTTCCAGATGACATTTCTACACACACCCTGGGCCAGAAGGGAACCTGCTGCCTTGAAAGAAAGGACCCAGTCCTGGCAGCATTTATCGCCTGCTAACTGAAGAGCCCTTGGGCCCTGAATAACCAGCAGCAATACCCAAGTACTACACCAAGGGCCTTGGGTGAGCCTTTGAGGCTTGCTGGCTTCAGGTGAGACTCAGGATATTACTAGCTGCGGTGGCTCTGGGGCAAAACTTCTGCTTGAGAAAAGCAGAGGAAAAAGTAAAGGGAACTTTGTTTTGCACCTTAGGTACCAGCATGGCCACAGAAGGATAAAGAACCAGTCAGGCTCTCGGGGTCCCCAATTCTAGGACTTGACTCTTGGACAGCATTTCTGGACCTGCCCTGGGCCAGAGGAGCACCCACTGCCCTAACATGGGAGTCCCAGGACAGGTAGCATTTATGACAAGCTGACTTAAGAGATCTTGGGCTTTAAGGGAACTTTGGTGGTAGTCTGGCAGTACTCCTTGTGGCCTGGGTGGTGGTGGCTATGGGGTGAGGCTCCTCTGCCTTTGGAAAGGGGAGGCAAGAGTGGGAAGGACTGCATCTAGTGGTTAGAGTGCCAGTTCAGCTGCAATACAAGAGAGCACCAGGTAGACATCTAAGGGTTTTTACTCTAGTCCCTGACTCCCAGATGGCATTCTGGACCCACTTCTGGGGCTTAGGGGAGCTTGCTGCCCTGAAGGGAAGGGCATAGGCCTGATTGGCTTTGGCATTTACTGATTGTAGAGTCCCAAGGCCTTGAGGTAATGTAGGCAGTAGCCAGGGAGTGGTTACAGCAGACCTTGGGTGAGACCCAGTAAGCACTGGGCTGGCTTCAGGTCTAACCCAGAACAGTCATAGTGGTGGTGGCCAAAGGGGTGCTTGTGCCACTCCGCCCCCAGCTTTAGGTGGCACAGAACAGAGAGAGAGAAATTCTGTACATTTGGGAGAAAGTAAGAAAAGAGAATAAGAATTTCTGCCTGGTAATCTAGAGAATTCTCCTGGATCTTGTCCAAGACCATCAAGGTGGTACTTGTACAAGTCTGCAAGAACCATGATGTTACTGGGTTTGAGATGCCCCTCTAAAGTAGATACAGTTTGGATCACAAGACTCAAGTCCTTTCAGGCATCTGGAAAGCCTTCCCAAAAAGGACAGCTACAAGCAAACCCAGACATTGAAGACGACAATAAATGCCTAACTCTTCAATGCCCAGACAATGAAGAACATCCACTAGCATCAACACCATCCAGGAAAACATGACCTCACCAAACAAACTAAATAAGGCACCCAGGGCCAATTCTGGAGAAACAGAGATACGTAAACTTTCAAACACAGAAATCAAGATAGCTGTGTTGAGAAAACTCAAAGAAATTCAAGATAACACAGAGAAAGAATTCAGAATTCTATCAGATAAATTTAACAAAGAGATTGAAATAACTAAAAAGAATCAAGCAGAAATTCTGGAGCTGAGAAATGCAATTGACATACTGAAGAATGCATCAGGGTCTTTTAATAGCAGAATTGAGCAAGCAGAATAAAGAGCTAATAAACTTGAAGTCAGGTTATCTTGAAAAAACAAGACCCACTCATCTGTTGCCTACAAGAAACACACTTCACCTATAAAGACACACATAGACTGAAAATAAGGGGATGGAAAAAGATATTCTATGCCAATGGAAGCCAAAAAAAGAGAAGAATTCACTATACTTATATCAGACAAAATAGATTTTAAGACAAAAACTATAAGAAGGGACAAAGAAGGACACTATATAATAACGGAGGGCTCGATTCAGCAAGAGGATGTAACAATTTTAAATATGTATGCACCCAACACTGGAGCACCCAGATATATAAAGCAAATATTATTAGAGCTAAAGAGAGAGATATGCCCCAGTGTAGTAATAGCCGGAGACTTCAACACCCTACTTTTAGCATTGGACAGATCTTCCAGACAGAAATCAACAAAAAAAAATCAGACTTAATCTGCACTATAGACCAAATGAACCTATTTACCCAGTAGTCATTTAGGAGGAGATTGTTCAGTTTCCATGTAGTAGTGTGGTTTTGAGTGAGTTTCTTAATCCTGAGTTCTAATTTGATTGTCCTGTGGTCTGAGAGACTGTTTGTTATGATTTCTATTCTTTTGCATTTGCTGAGGAGTGTTTTACTTCCAATTATGTGGTCAATTTTAGAATAAGTGCAATGTGGTGCTGAGAAGAATATATATTCTGTTGATTTGGGGTAGACAGTTCTGTAGATGTCTATTTGGTCCAGAGCTGAGTTCAAGTCCTGAATATCCTTGTTAATTTTCTGTCTTGTTGATCTGTTTAATATCCACAGTAGGGTGTTAAAGTCTCCCACTATTATTGTGTGGGTGTCTAAGTCTCTTTGTAGGTGTCTGAGAACTTGCTTTATGAATCTGGGTGCTCCTGTATTGGTGTATGTATATTTAGGATAGTTAGCTCTTCTTGTTGCATTGATCTTTTTACCATTATGTAATGCCCATCTTTGGTTCTTTTGACCTTTGTTGGTTTACAGTCTGTTTTATCAGAGACTAGGATTGCAATCCCTGCTTCTTTTTTGCTTTCCTTTTTTCTGGGTAGCTTCCTCCATCCCTTTATTTTGAGCCTATGTGTGTCTTTGCAAGTGAGATGGGTCTCCTGAATACAGCATACCACTGGGTCTTGACTCTATCCAATTTGTCAGTCTGTGTCTTTTAATTGAGGTATTTAGCTCATTTACATTTAAGGTTAATATTGTTATGTATGAATTTGATCAAGTCATTATGATGTTAGCTGGTTATTTTGCCTGCTAGTTGATGCAGTTTCTTCATAGTGTTGGTGGTCTTTACAATTTGGTATGTTTTTGCAGTGGCTGGTACTGGTTGTTCCTTTCTATGTTTAGTGCTTCCTTCTGAAGCTCTTATAAGGCAGGCCTGGTGCTGACAAAATCTCTCAGCATTTGCTTCTCTGTAAAGGATTTTACTTCTCCTTGATGTATGAAGCTTAGTTTGGCTGCATATGAAATTCTGGGCTGAAAATTCTTTTCTTTAAGAATGTTGAATATTGGCCCTCACTCTCTTCTGGCTTGTAGAGTTTCTGCCAAGAGATCCACTGTTAGTCTGATGGGTTTCCCTTTGTAGGTAACCTGACATTTCTCTCTGTCTGCCCTTAACATTTTTTCCTTCATTTCAACCTTGGTGAATCTGACAATTCTGTGTCTTGGGGTTGCTCTTCTCAAAGAGTATCTTTGTGGTGTTCTCTGTATTTCCTGAATTTGAATGTTGGCCTGTCTTGCTACGTTAGAGAAGTTCTCCTGGATAATATCCTGAAGAGTGTTTTCCAACTTGGTTCCATTCTTTGTGTCACTCTCAGGTAAACCAATCAAACGTAGATTTGGTCTTTTCACATAGTCCCATATTTCTTGGATGCTTTGTCCATTCCTTTTCATTCATTTTTCTCTAATCTTGTCTTCTGCCTTTATCTCATTGAGTTGATCTTCAATCTCTGATATCCTTTCTTCCACTTGATCGATTCAGCTACTGATACTTGTGTATGCTTCACGAAGTTCTCGTGCTGTGTTTTTCAGCTCCATCAGGTCATTTATGTTCTTCTCAAACTGATTATTCTAGTTAGCAATTCATCTAGCCTTTTTTCAAGGTTCTTAGCTTCCTTGCATTGTGTTGGAACATGATCCTTTATCTCAGAGGAGTTTGTTACTACCCACCTTCTGAAGCCTACTTCTCTCAATTCATCAAACTCATTCTCCATTGAGTTTTGTTCCCTTGCTGGTGAGGAGTTGTGATCCTTTGGAGGAGAACAGGCCTTCTGGTTTTTGGAATTTTCAGCCTTTTTGTGCTAGTTTCTCCCCATCTTCGTGGATTTATTTACCTTTGGTCTTTGATGTTGGGACCTTCGGATGAGGTCTCTGAGTGGACATCCTTTTGTTGATGTTGATTCTATTTTTTTCGGTCTGTTAGTTTTCCTTCTAACAATCAGGCCTCTCTGCTGCAGGTCTGCTGGAGTTTGCTGCAGGACCCTCTTTGCCTGGGTATCACCAGCGGAGGCTGCAGAACAGCAAAGATTGCTGCCTGTTCCTTCCTCTGGAAGCTTTGTCACAGAAAGGCACCTGCCAGATGCCAGCCAGAGCTCTTTTGTATGAGGTATCTGTTGGCCCCTACTGGGAGGTGTCTCCCAATCAGGAGACATAGAGGTCAGGGACCCACTTGAGAAGGCAGTCTGATCCTTAGCAGAGCGTGAAGTTCAAGGCTGTGCTGGGAGGTCCGCTGCTCTCTTCAGAGCCATCAAGCAGGGATGTTTAAGTCTGCTGATGCTGCGCCCACAGCCACCCCTCCTTCCAGGTGCTCTATCTCAGGGAGACGGGGTTTTTTATCTATAAGCCCCTGGCTGGGGCTGCTGCTTTTTTTTTTTTTTTCCCAGAGATGCCCTGCCCAGAAAGGAGGCAGTCTGTCCACAGTGGCCTTACTGAGCTGTGATGGGCTCCACCCGGTTCAATCTTCAGAGCGGCTTTGTTTACACTGTGAGCGTAAAACCGCCTACTCAAGCCTCAGCAATGGCGGATGAACCTCCCGCGACCAAGCTTGAGCGTCCCAGGTAGAGCTCAGACTGCTGTGCTGGCAGCGAGAATTTCAAGCCAGTGGATCTTAGCTTGCTGGGCTCTGTGGGGGTGAGACCCACTGAGCCAGACCACTTGACACCCTGGCTTCAGCTCCCTTTCCAGGGGAGTGAAAAGTTCTGTCTCACTGGTGTTCCAGGTTCCACTGAGTTATGGGAAAAAAAAAAAAATTCCTGCAGCGAGTTTGGTGTCTGCCCAAATGGCTGCCCAGTTTTGTGCTTGAAACCCAGGGCCTTGGTGGCATAGGAACTGGAGGGAATCTCCCAATCTGTGGGTTGTGAAGACCGTGGGAAAAGTGCAGTATCTGGGCCAGAGTGCACCATTTGTCACAGTGCAGTCCCTAATGGCTTCCTTTGGCTAGGAGAGGGAGTTCCCCAACACCTTGCACTTCCCGGGTGAGGCGACTCCCCACCCTGCTTTGGCTCGCCTTCTGTGGGCTGCACCCACTGTCCAACCAGTCCCTATGAGATGAACCGGGTACCTCTGTTTGAAATGCAGAAATCGCCCATCTTCTGCATAGATCTCACTGGGAGCTGCAGACTGGAGCTCTTCCTATTTGGCCATCTTGCCAGCCGGAGCTCGGATTTTTTATTTTTCTTCCTTTCCCTATATATTTTTTTTCTGTTTCTTTCCCCTTCCCTTTCCTCCTCTCCCTAGAGGATGTGACTGAGGATAATGCTGGGTAGGGTCTTTTGACTTTGCTTCCATAACCCTATGCACTTCTGTCCGCAGGTTTTATATTGGGCTGGGTACTTTGACCTACAAGCCAGTAGATGGGGGCTTATGGGTAATAGCAGGTTGCAGCCAATGGGGCTGGGTATATACTCGATCCTCCTTTACTGGAAAAACACTGGGTAGGGCTGGACCTGGCAAGTCCATCTACAGGTCCCCCAATGATAGGCACAAGCACCAGCTCTGAGGGAGAGTCCAGTGGGCAGCCACCAAGTGTCCAGAGGCGTGCCTCGGCATGGAGGTAGGAAACCTCCTTGGCCCCAAGTTCTCTGCATAGGAGTGTCAGAGGCAGCCTGATCTCTTAATCCAGGAGAGTGGCTGCTCCAGATGCCTGGAGATCTGCCTGGTTGTGGAGTGGAGAGGGTCTCCTTGCACCACTATCGCTGCGCAGGAAGGATGGGGTGGCTCAAGCTACTTACTGCTCCAGGCAAGCAGGTGTTCCAAATACCTGGAAATCTGTGGAGCAGAGAGGGTCCCACTGCACCGCAATCTCTGCACCAGAAGAATGGAGCAGCTCAGACTGCTGATTCACGCTAATGGGCACTCTGAATCCCTGGATATCTGCCTGGGCAAGAAGTGGAGATGGCCCCCTTGCACAAGGATCTCTGCACAGGAAGGAAGGGGCAACCCAGGCTGCTAGCCCATGAGAGCGGGTGCTTTAAATGCTTGGAGATCTGCTTATATGTAGAATGGAGAAGGCCCTGCTACACCACAGTCTCAGGAAAGTAGGCTGGGACACCCAGCAATAACACACACAGACCAGTTCTAGTTCATCAGGCTGGCCCTGGCTGAAAGTCTCACTGCCCAGGAGAAACCACAGCCATAGCAGCTCTCCTCTTGCCCAAGGCCTGTGACTGGGGAAAGCACAATTCCCGTGCCTACTGTTGAGGTATTTTCCATGGTTCTGGCTGTGGAGGACCCTACCCTGATCCAGAGCAGGTGCTCCATTCTCTACCCCAATACTAAAATGCCTGCATGGCCACACTGCTGGGTTGCCAAAGAATGGCTGACTTTAGATGCACCCAAATTAAAAATGGTATCCTGTTCTCTGTCCTGGGACTGGGAAAATGCCTGTAGCTTTATCCAGTGTCTGTCCCTATCAGCATCTCCAAGCCTCTCCTGAAGTTAGCTCCAGGATTTGGGAGAAACAAAGTGCTGTCTCTCAGCCTGGATTGCTCTGATCCTCAGTGGAAACGTGAGTCACAGAGGGAAGCTTCTACCTCTCATGTGCTGGGACTTCATTCACTTTTCTCAGCTGGACAGCATTATGGTGGCTGTTTGCCAGCATTCTCCTTCTCAGGATCTGGAGTGTTCTTCACAATTCCAGTGGATCTCCATTTTCCTTCTTGAATTAAAGCTCACAGTATTTATCTTTATGCACTGCCTTGCTATTTCCAAGTGGCTGTGGCATGCTAAAAGCTTCTAATTGTCATCTTGAAAAAAAAATCTATGAACAATGTTTGATATGAGTTGGCCAATACTCAACTGAAAATAAAAAAATTTATATGCAAGGATAGTCTCTGAGGTTGAGCATTTTTGTTCAGTGATGAAGCATTTGAATTATCAACATGGTTAATGCTATGGAAATCTATGGAACCAATTCGTTTAAGAAATGGATTCGTATCTTAATAAAGAACATCTTTTTTATTGTTTAATTGCTGAAACAAGATGTCAGCCTATTACCCTAATTAACCAGTTCAATCACAGCCATTCACATCATCTAGTACCAAGTGGTATTTTTCAGAGAAATGAACATGAGGAGGGAAACTCCTTGACTGGAAAAAAAATTGATACATATAATCATTACAGAGCTGTATATTTATATAAGACCAACTGTGAGATGAATGAAGAAATCTCTGAGATTCACTGTTGAGTAGCTTAAAATTTCCAAGTCCTCTGCTAGACTTGAAAACTATTTAGTGTTGAACAAAAATAAGATACTATATCTCACAATTCCTATATGAATGCTTCCATTCCTACTTTATTTCTGCTTTCATTTTCACGGCTCATCTACAGTCTCTCTTCCAGCCTCCCATTTGTATTTTACAACATGCATAATTACAGATTTATTCTTTAATTATCTCATTTTCATACGATTTTTATATCTCTTGAAAGATTTCTTGGAAACTTCTGTCTTTTTTATTTTCCAGAGAGGCAGAGTATTTTTAGGCAATAATATTTTACCTTATCATGCCTTTCAACTATTACAAGAAAAAGGGAAAGTAGTAAAATAAATAAACAAATACAGACAGTCACCAACTTACAATGGTTTCACTTAAGATTTTCAACTGTATGATGGTGGGAAAGTGATACGTATTGAGTAGGAACCATATTTCAAGTACTCATGCTACCATTATATTTTTCATTTTCAGTACAGTACTCAATAAATTACATGAAATATTCAACAGTTTACTATAATATAGGCTTTGTGTAAGATTATTTTGCCCAACTGTAGGCTAATGTTAGTGTTCTAAGCACGGTTAAGGTGGGCTAGGCTAAGCTATGAAGTTGGGTAGGTTAGGTTTATTAAACATATCTTCAAGCCAGGTATAGTGGTTTGTGCCTATAGTCCCAGCTGCTCAGGAAGCTGAGGCAGGAGGATTGTTTGAGCTCAAGGAGTTTGAGACTATAGTGCACTATGAGCACACGTGAGAATAGCCACTGCACTCCAGCCTGGGCAACATGGCAAGAGTCTACATTTTGTTTAAAAAAAACAGCATCTTCAACTTAGAATAGTATCAACTTATGATGGGTTTATTGAAACATGATCTTATCATAAGTTGAAGAGTATCTTTATATAGTAGAATATAATAACATACTACAGACTTATTTTCTCAAAGCATAAAGATAAACCACACTAATGATCATCCATGGGAGAGGGACACCTAGACAATGTCCTGCAAAATGAGAAATACTTGTAAGACATACTTTACATTCCAGACTGAGTCTCTTTCACCATGAAATAAAATCATTAAGAAATTTTTAGTAATATTTTAATTAAAATTTTAAGTATAGAAAGAAGGTTGTATAGCTTTACATTAAAAATAAATTAGTACGTGACTTGGCTACTTGACACCAAAGTAGCTGGTGCCAGATTCACGCTTCCATCATAATTTGATTATGAGCATCATAATTGGAAGTTGACTTGGGACGCTGGAGCTTGGTGCGGGGAGGGGCATCTGCCATTACTGAGGCTTGAATAGGTGGTAAACAAAGCTGCTGGGAAGTTCAAACAGGGTAGAGCCCACTGCAGCTAGCAGCTCAGCAAAGCCACTGTAGCCAGACTGCCTCCCTGGATTCCTCCTCCCCGGGCAGGGCATCTCTGAAACAAAGGCAGCAGCCCAGTCAGGGGATTATAAATAAAACTCCCACCTCCCTGGGACAGAGCAGCTGGGGGAAAGGGTGGCTGTGGGCACAGCTTCAGCAGACTTAAACGTCCCTGCCTGCCAGCTCTGAATAGAGTAGTGGATCTCCCAGCACAGTGCTTAAGCTCTGCTAAGGGACAGACTGTGTCCTCAAGTGGGTCCCTGAACCCAGTGCATCCTGACTAGGAGACACCTCCCATTAGGGGTTGACAGACACCTCCTACAGGAGAGCTCAGGCTGACATCTGATAGGTGCCCCTCTAGGATGAAGCTTCTAGAGGAAGGAACAGGCAGCAATCTTTGTTGTTCTTCAGCCCTCGCTGGTGATACCCAGACAAACAAGGTCTGGAGTGGACCTCCAGCAAACTCCAGCAGACCTGCAGCAGAGGGGCCTGACTGTTAGAAGAAAAACTAACAAACAGAAAGGAATAGCATCAATTTCAACAAAAAGGACATCCACACTGAAACCCCATCTTCATGGGGTTTCATCTTCGATGTTGTAGGTCACCAACATCGAAGACCAAAGGTAGATAAATCCACAAAAATGAGGAAAAAGCAGTGCAAAATTGCCGAAAATGCCAAAAACCGGAAAGCCTCTTCTCCTCCAAAGGATCACAACTCCTCGCCAGCAAGGGAACAAAACTGCATGGAGAATGAGTGATGAATTGGCAGAAGTAGGCTTCAGAAGGTAGGTAAAACAAACCTCTCTGAGCTAAAGGTGCATGTTATAACCCAATGCAAGGAAGCTAAGAACCTTGAAAACACATTACAGGAATTGCCAACTAGAATAACCAGTTTAGAGAAGAACATAAATGACCTGATGGAGCTGAAAAACACAACACGATGACTTTGTGAAGCATACACAAGTATCAATAGCTGAATCAATCAAATGGAAGAAAGGATATCAGAGATTGAAGATCAACTTAATGAAATAAAGCATGAAGACAAGATTAGAGAAAAAAGAATGAAAAGGAATGAACAAAGCCTCCAAGAAATATGGGACTACATGAAAAGACCAAACCTACGTTTGATTGGTATACCTGAAAGTGACCAGGAGAATGGAACCAAGTTGGAAAACACACTTCAGGATATTATCCAGGAGAACTTCCCCAACCTAGCAAGACAGACCAACATTCAAATTCAGGAAATACAGAGAACACCACAAAGATACTCCTTGAGAAGAAAAACCCCAAGACAAATAATCATCAGATTCACCAAGGCTGAAATGAAGGAAAAACTGTTCAGGACAGCCAGAGAGAAAGGTCAGGTTATTCACAAAGGGAAACCCATCAGACTAACAGCAGACTTGGCAGGACCCTACAAGCAAGAAGAGAGTGGGGACCAATATTCCACATTCTTTTCTTTTTTTTTTCTTTTTTATTTTCTAGACCACTGAGAAAATCTTTGTTTACACTAAATTTCAACAAAATTTACATAAATACATTCCAAATGTACAATTTTCACCTCTGATTTTTTCACGTCATTTAAAAGGTTAGTCTGTCCTGTTCCTGTTTTTCCTTTCAGACACCAGTGTGGCACTGACGTTGGCAGGTGGAGGGGAGCTCCCAGGGAGCTGGGGGGTGCCTGAGGGCTCAGGCTGCTTGGGGCAGACTTCTGTCTGGGCCGCCAGCTTTTCAGCTGCATCCCTGCCCTCACATTCTTAAAGAAAAGAATTTTCAACCCAAAATTTCATATCCAGCCAAACTAAACTTCATAAGTGAAAGAGAAGTAAAATCCTTCACAGACAAGCAAATGCTCAGTGATTTTGTCACCACCAGGCCGGTGTTACAAAAGCTCCTGAAGGAAGCACTAAATGTGGAAAGGAACAACTGGTACCAGCCACTGCAAAAATGTACCAAATTGTAAAGACCATCAACACTATGAAGAAACTGCATCAACTAATAGGCAAAGTAACCAACTAACATCATAATGACACGATCAAATTCACACATAACAATATTAACCTTAAATGTAAACAAGCTAAATGTCCCAATTAAAAGACAGACTGGCAAATTGGATAAAGAGTCCAGACCCATCGGTGTGCTGTATTCAGGAGACCCATCTCATGTGCAAAGACACACACAGGCTCAAAATGAAGGGATGGGAGAAGATTTACCAAGAAAATAGAAAGCAAAAAAAAAAAAAAAAAAAAAAAAAAAAATCAGGGGTTGCAATTCTAGTCTCTGATAGAACAGACTGTAAACCAACAAAGATCAAAAAAGACAAATAAGGCATTACAAAATGGTAGAAGGATCAATGCAACAAGAAGAGCTATCTATGCTAGATATACATGCATCCAATACAGGAGCACCCAGATTCATAAAGCAAGTTCTTAGAGACCTACAAAGAGACTTAGACTCCCACACAATAATAGTGGGAGACTTTAACACCCTACTGTTGATGCTAAACAGATCAACAAGACAGAAAATTAACAATGATATTCTGGACTTGAACTCAGCTCTGGACCAAGTGGACCTAATAGACATCTACAGAACTCTGCATGCCAAATCAGCAGAATATACATTCTTCTCAGCACCACATCACACTTATTCTAAAATTGACCATATAATTGGAAGTAAAACACTCCTCAGCAAATGCAAAAGAAGGGAAATCATAACAAACAGTCTCTCAGACCACAGTGCAATCAAATTAGAACTCAGGATTAAGAAACTGACTCAAAACTGCACAACTGTATGGAAACTGAACAACATCCTCCTGAATGACTACTGAGTAAATAATAAAATTAAAACAGAAATAAATAAGTTCTTTGAAACCAATGAGAACAAAGACACAACGTACCAGAATCTCTGGGACACAGCTAAAGCAGTGTTTCGAGGGAAATTTATAGCAATAAAAGCCCACAGGAGAAAGTGGGAAAGATCTAAAACTGACACCCTAACATCACAATTCAAAGAACTAGAGAAGCAGGAGCAAACAAATTCAAAAGCTAGCAGAAGACAAGAAATAACTAAGATCAGAGCAGAACTGAAGGAGATAGAGATACGAAAAACCCTTTTAAAAAAATGAATCCAGGAGCTGTTTTTTTGCTTGTTTGTTTTTTGAAAAGATGAACAAAATAGACTGCTAGCTGGACTAATAAAGAAGAAAAGAGAGAAGAATCAAATAGACACAATAAAAATGATAAAGGGGATATCACTACTGATGCCACACAAATGCAAACTACCATCAGAGAATAGTATAAACACCTCTACGCAAATAAACTAGAAAATCTAGAAGAAATGGATACATTATCGGACACATACACCCTGCCAAGACTAAACCAGGAAGAACTCGATTCCCTGGATAGACCAATAACAAGTTCTGAAATTGAGGCAGTAATTAATAGCCTAGCAACCAAAAAAAACCCAGGACCAGATGGATTCACAGCTGAATTCTACCAGAGGTACAAAGAGGAGCTGATACCATTCCTTCAGAAACTATTCCAATCAATAGAAAAAGAGGACTCCTCCCTAACTCATTTTATGAGGCCAGCATCATCCTGATACCAAAACCTGGCAGAGACACAACAAAAAAAGAAAATTTCAGGCCAATATCCCTGATGAACATCGATGCAAAAATCCTCAATAAAATACTGGCAAACAGAATCCAGCAGCACATCAAAAAGCTTATCCACCACCATCAAGTTGGCTTTATCCCTGGGATGCAAGGCAGGTTCAACATATGCAAATCAATAAACGTAATCCGTAACATAAGCACAGCCAATGACAAAACCCACACAGTTATCTCAATAGATGCAAAAAAGGCCTTTGACAAAATTCAACAGCCTTTCATGCTAAAAACTCTCAATAAACTAGGTATTGATGGAACACATCTTAAAATAATAAGAGCTATCTGTGACAAACCCACAGCCAGTAATGTCCTAGGCCTTCATATTCACTCACCACTCACTCACTCACTAACTCGCCCAGGCAACTTCCAGTCCTGCAAGCTCCATTTATTGTAAGTTCCCTATACAGGTGTACCATCTTAAAAATCTTTTATATTTTCTACTGTACATTTCATGTATTTAGATATACTTAGTTACATAAATACCACAGTTGGTGACTATTACAAATTGTTACCATAAACATAACACTTACTGTGTTACAATTGCCTATAGTATTCACTACACTAATATGCTGCACAGGTTTGTCCCGTAGGAGCTATGAGCTCTTCCATATAGCCAAGGTGTATAGTGGCTACTATATATACCACCTAGGTTTCTGTAAGTACACTCTACGACATTTGCACAATGACAAATTCACTTGACAGCACATTTCTCAGAACATATCATTTAACGCATCGTTAAACAACACATGACTGTATAATGTTAGCTTTTTGTAGATGCTTTTTATCAAGTGGATAAAGTTTCCTCTATTCCTGCTTTATAGAGAGATTTTATCATGAATGGATATTGAAATGTGTTAAATTTGTTAAATGTTTATTATGCATCAACTGATGCAACGTAACTTTTCTTTTGTTTGTTAACATGGTGGATTATTTTGATTGACTTTTTGAGACTTAATCAGGCTTGTATTTCTGGAAACAACCCCCCTTGGACATGGGGTACATTTTTTTAATATACTGTAGAACTCTATTTGTTAATATTAAGTTATACATATCTTTACATATACACACACACACCCACTCTCTCTCCTGGTTTTGGTATCAGTGTAATAATAGCTTCAAAAAATAAATTGGGGAGTGTTCTCTCCTTTTCTGTTTTCTGGAAAAGATTGTGTAGAATTGGTGTTTTTTTTTTTAAACATGGTAGAATTCTCCAGTGAAACCATCTAAACCTAGAGATTCCTTTTCTGGTAGTTTTAAAATTATGAATTCAATTTTCTTAATGGTTATAGAGTTATTCAAATGATCTATTCATGCGTGGTGAGTTGAGTTTGCTTGTGTTGCAGGAGGAACACTGCATTTTGTCCATTTTGTCTAAGTTGTCTAATTTATGTGTGTGGAGTGGTTTGTAATATTCCTTGATTGTCCTTTGTTATATGTGGTGTCTGTAGTGATATCACCTGTTTCATTATGGTATTTAAAATTTATGCCTTTTCTTTTCCTTTTAATTTCTGTTTGAGTTTGCTAAATTTTATTAATCTTTTAACAGAACTATCCCTTTGTTTTATTGGTTTAACTATTTTTTCTCTTTTAAATATAAGTGTTTTCTTTTCTTATCTTCATTAATCTCCACCCTCTACTTGCTTTGAGTTTATTCTGCTCTTCTTTTTCTAGGTTCCTGAGGTGGAAATCTATTGCTCACTCGAGACTTTTCCTCTTTACTAATGCATGCATTTACTGCTATAAGTTTCCTTCTCAGTACATTGATATGTCACAGTTTCATGTTTATCCAGTTCAATGTATTTTTAAAATTTTTCCTTGAGACTTCTTCTTTGACCGATAGATTAGTTAGAAGTGTGTTTTTTTAATTTCCAAGTGTTTGGGAATTTTCATATCTTTCTTATGCTGATTTCCAATTGGATTCCCTACAATGGTTTCTGGTTTTCACCTGCTCTGGATGATTACGATCTCTTTTAAATTTGTTCTGGTGAGTTTTAGGGCCTAGGATAGCTCTATCTTGCCATGTGTTTCGTCAGCACTCAAAAAAAATGTGTATTCTGCTGTTGTTGTGTGGAATATTCTGTAAATGCCAAATAGATTCTTTTGGTTAATGGCATTTTGAGTTGTTTTATATTCTTGTTGATTTTCTTTTTTTTTCCCCCCTTTTAAAATATGAAACGCTTCACAAAATTTTGTGTAATCTATATGCAGGAGACGTGTTAATCTTGTCTGTGTCATTCTAATTTTAGAAAGTGCTGCCAAAGCCAACACTCCTTGCTGATTTTCTGTCTAGTTCTATCCATTATTGAAAAACGCAAGAGAAAATTTCCAACTATAATTGTGGATTCATCTATACCTACTTTCAGTTCTGGCAGTTTTCTTTTTAAA
The DNA here is from genome assembly GCF_000001405.40 of Homo sapiens. Classification (NCBI taxonomy): domain Eukaryota; kingdom Metazoa; phylum Chordata; class Mammalia; order Primates; family Hominidae; genus Homo; species Homo sapiens. Next base: position 299,171 of record NW_018654714.1, read on the forward strand.
AAAAAAATCAACTAAAGTTTATTAAATTAAGCATAAAGTTACTTTCACATTTATCTACAACCACAGTGAATACAGTTCTTGGCATGAAGACACCACAACCTTTAGAATTTAAAGCCTCCCCACCTGCAAGATTACATATATAAAACTCCCATTATTGTTTCTATAACAGTGGATTAATTCACCAAATTAAAATAGTTATATGATCTAGAATAATAAAATGGAATGATTTACTCATAAGATTCCTATTTAAAACATCTTTATTTACAAAATACTATCCTGAGAATTATAATTCCATTAAACTTCAATTTGAGCAAAAGTGCAATCACTTAAGTAATAGCAGTTACTTAAACTGAAAATGAGATCAGTCAAAATTACTTTTGAAGAAAGCAACAATATTGTCAGGTTTCTTTTGTGGTCCTGGATGTTCAGTAGCATTAAAGGCGGAATCAATCCTGAAGGGAACTCGCTTCTACCTTCAGAATGCGGGGTTGGGGTAAAATCCAGGTCTCGGGTGAAAGTAAGGAGGTAAACCCCTCGGTGGGTAGATGTTTCTCATTGCAAATGGAGCATGTGGTGGACCTGGGAAATCCCTTGGTGGAAAATAACCTCGAGAAGCTCCAAACATGGTTCCTGGAGGAGGTGGGGGGAAAGGAGGTCCTCTTCTCATGAACGGGCCCCTTGTATCCACTGGAAACAATGGTCCTCTGACTGGAGCAAGAGGTGGAGGAATAAAGCCAGGGCCAGTTGCTTCATTTTCAGCAGGGAGAGATGAATCAGGCACATTTAAATTACCAAGATCATCTTTGGCATCATTTCTACTGGATTCCATT